>NC_000014.9:16704448-17004448 GCF_000001405.40 Homo sapiens | reverse complement strand
ATATGAAGATATTCCCGTTTCCAACGAAATCTTCAAATCTATCCAAATGTCCACTTGCAGATTCAACAAAAAGTGTTTTTCAGAACTCCTCTATCAAGAGAAAGATCCACCTCTGTTAGCTGAGTTCACACATCACAAACAAGTTTATGAGAATGCTTCTGTCTAGTTTTTATTTGAAGATATTTCCTTTCTCACCATAGAGCTGAAAGCTGTCCTAATGTTCACTTCCAGATACTACAGAAAGAGTGTTTCAAAACTGCTGTACGAAAGGGAATGTTCAACTCTGTGACTTGAATGCACACATTACAAAGAAGTTTCTGAGGATGCTGCTGTCTACTTTTTATACGTAATCCCGTTTCCAACGAAATCCTCCAAGCTATCCAAATATCCACTTGCAGATTCCACAGAAAGACTGTTTCAAAACTGGTATGTCAATAGAAAAGTTCAACTCTGTTAGCTGTGTGCATATATCCCAAAGAAAATTCTGAGATTGCTTCTGTCTAGTTTTTATGGGAAGATATTTCCCTTTTCACCGTAGGTGTCAAGGCGCTCCAAATATCCACTTCCAGATACTACAAAAAGAGTGTTTCAAACCTACTCTGTGAAAGGGAATATTCAACTCTGTGACTCGAATGCACATATCACAAAGAAGTTTCTGAGAATGCTTCCTGTCGAGATTTTATATGAAGATATTCCCGTTTCCAACGAAATCCTAAAATCTATCCAAATATCCCCTCGCAGATTCTACAAAAAGAGTGTTTCAAAACTGCTCTGTAAAAAGAAAGGTTCAACTCTGTTAGTTGAGTACACACATCACAAACAAGTTTCACAGAATGCTTCTTTCTAGCTTGTAGGGGAATATATTCCCTTTATCACCATGGGTCTCAAACCCTCCGAAACGTCCACTTCCATATACTACAAAAAGAGCGTTTCAAACCTGCTCTAGGAAAGGCAATGTTCAACTCTGTGACTTGAATGCAGACATCACAGAGCAGTTTCTGAGAATGCTTCTGTCTAGGTTTTATAGGAAGATATTCCCGTTTCCAACGAAATCTTCACAGCTATCCAAATATCCACTTGCAGATAGTACAAAAAGAGTGTATCAAAAATGCTCTGTCAAAAGGAAAGTTCTTCTCTCTTAGTTGAGTACATACGTCATAAAGGAGTTTCTGAGAATGTTTCTGTCTAGTGGTTATGGGAAGATATTTGCTTTTTCACCCTAGGTCTCAGAGTGCTCCAAATATCCACTTGCACATACTACAAAAAGAGTGCTTCAAAGCTGCTCTCTGAAACGGAATGTTCAACTCTATGTGTTGAATGCAAACATCACAAAGACGTTTCCGAGAATGCTTCTGTCTAGATTTGATATGAAGATATTCCCGTTTGCAACGAAATCTTCAAATCTATCAAAATGTCCACTTGCAGATTCAACAAAACGTGTTTTTCAGAACTGCTCTATCAAAGGAAAGATACACCTCTGTTAGCTGAGTTCACACATCACAAACAAGTTTATGAGAATGCTTCTGTCTAGTTTTTATTTGAAGATATTTCCTTTCTCACCATAGACCTGAAAGCTGTCCTAATGTTCACTTCCAGATACTACAGAAAGAGTGTTTCAAAACTGCTGCACGAAAGCGAATGTTCAACTCTGTGACTTGAATGCACACCTCACAAAGAAGTTTCTGAGGATGCTGCTGTCTACTTTTCATACGTAATCCCGTTTCCAACGAAATCCTCCAAGCTATCCAAATATCCACTTGCAGATTCCACAGAAAGACTGTTTCAAAACTGCTCTGTCAATAGAAAGGTTCAACTCTGTTAGCTGCGTGCATATATCCCAAAGAAGATTCTGAGATTGCTTCTGTCTACTTTTTATGAGAAGATATTTTCCTTTTCACCGTAGGCGTCAGGGCGCTCCAAATGTCCACTTCCAGATACTACAAAAAGAGTGTTTCAAACCTACTCTGTGAAAGGGAATATTCAACTCTGTGACTTGAATGCACATATCACAAAGAAGTTTCTGAGAATGCTTCTGTCGAGATTTTATATGAAGATATTCCCGTTTCCAACGAAATCCTGAAATCTATCCAAATATCCCCTCGCAGATTCTACAAAAAGAGTGTTTCAAAACTGCTCTGTAAAAAGAAAGGTTCAACTCTGTTAGTTGAGTACACACATCACAAACTAGTTTCACAGAATGCTTCTTTCTAGCTTGTAGGGGAAGATATTCCCTTTATCACCATGGGCCTCCAACCGTCCGAAACATCCACTTCCATATGCTACAAAAAGAGCGTTTCAAACCTGCTCTATGAAAGGCAATGTTCAACTCTGTGACTTGAATGGAGACATCACAGAGCAGTTTCTGAGAATGCTTCTGTCTAGATTTTATAGGAAGATATTCCCGTTTCCAACGAAATCTTCACAGCTATCCAAATATCCACTTGCAGATTCCAGAAAAAGAGTGTATCAAAACTGCTCTGTCAAAAGGAAGGTTCTTTTCTGTTAGGTGAGTGCATACGTCATAAAGGAGTTTCTGAGAATGTTTCTGTCTAGTGGTTATGGGAAGATATTTGCTTTTTCACCTTAGGCCTCAGAGCGCTCCATATATCCCCTTGCACATACTACAAAAAGAGTGCTTCAAAGCTGCTCTCTGAAACGGAATGTTCAACTCTATGGGTTGAATGCAAACATCACAAAGACGTTTCTGAGAATGCTTCTGTCTAGATTTGATATGAAGATATTCCCGTTTCCAACGAAATCTTCAAATCTATCCAAATGTCCACTTGCAGATTCAACAAAAAGTGTTTTTCAGAGCTGCTCTATCAAAAGAAAGATCCACCTCTGTTAGCTGAGTTCACACATCACAAACAAGTTTATGAGAATGCTTCTGTCTAGTTTTTATTTGAAGATATTTCCTTTCTCACCATGGACCTGAAAGCTGTCCTAATGTTCACTTCCAGATACTACAGAAAGAGTGTTTCAAAACTGCTGTACGAAAGGGAATGTTCAAATCTGTGGCTTGAATGCACACATCACAAAGAAGTTTCTGAGGATGCTGCTGTCTACTTTTTATACATAATCCCGTTTCCAACGAAATCCTCCAAGCTATCCAAATATCCACTTGCAGATTCCACAGAAAGACTGTTTCAAAACTGCTCTGTCAATAGAAAGGTTCAACTCTGTTAGCTTCGTGCATATATCCCAAAGAAGATTCTGAGATTGCTTCTGTCTAGTTTTTATGGGAAGATATTTCCCTTTTCACCGTAGGTGTCAAGGCGCTCCAAATGTCCACTTCCAGATACTACAAAAAGAGTGTTTCCAACCTACTCTGTGAAAGGGAATATTCAACTCTGTGACTTGAATGCACATATCACAAAGAAGTTTCTGAGAATGCTTCTGTCGAGATTTTATATGAAGATATTCCCGTTTCCAACGAAATCCTGAAATGTATCCAAATATCCCCTCGCAGTTTCTACAAAAAGAGTGTTTCAAAACTGCTCTGTAAAAAGAAAGGTTCAACTCTGTTAGTTGAGTACACACATCACAAACAAGTTTCACACAATGCTTCTTTCTAGCTTGTAGGGGAAGATATTCCCTTTATCACCATGGGCCTCAAACCGTCTGAAACATCCACTTCCATATACTACAAAAAGAGCGTTTCAAACCTGCTCTATGAAAGGCAATGTTCAACTCTGTGACTTGAATGCAGACATCACAGAGCAGTTTCTGAGAATGCTTCTGTCTAGATTTTACAGGAAGATATTCCCGTTTCCAATGAAATCTTCACAGCTATCCAAATATCCACTTGCAGATTCTACAAAAAGAGTGTATCAAAACTGCTCTGTCAAAAGGAAGTTTCTTCTCTGTTAGGTGAGTGCATACGTCATAAAGGAGTTTCTGAGAATGTTTCTGTCTAGTGGTTATGGGAAGATACTTGCTTTTTCACCTTAGGCCTCAGAGCGCTCAAAATATCCCCTTGCACATACTACAAAAAGAGCGCTTCAAAGCTGCTCTCTGAAACGGAATGTTCAACTCTATGGGTTGAATGCAAACATCACAAAGACGTTTCTGAGAATGCTTCTGTCTAGATTTGATATGAAGATATTCCCGTTTCCAACGAAATCTTCAAATCTATCCAAATGTCCACTTGCAGATTCAACAAAAAGTGTTTTTCAGAACTGCTCTATCCAAAGAAAGATCCACCTCTGTTAGCTGAGTTCACACATCACAAACAAGTTTATGAGAATGCTTCTCTCTAGTTTTTATTTGAAGATATTTCCTTTCTCACCATAGAGCTGAAAGCTGTCCTAATGTTCACTTCCAGATACTACAGAAAGAGTGTTTCAAAACTGCTGTATGAAAGGGAATGCTCAACTCTGTGACTTGAATGCACACATCACAAAGAAGTTTCTGAGGATGCTGCTGTCTACTTTTTATACGTAATCCCGTTTCCAACGAAATCCTCCAAGCCATCGAAATATCCACTTGCAGATTCCACAGAAAGACTGTTTCAAAACTGCTCTGTCAATAGAAAGGTTCAACTCTGTTAGCTGCGTGCATATATCCCAAAGAAGATTCTGAGATTGCTTCTGTCTAGTTTTTATCGGAAGATATTTCCCTTTTCACCATAGGTGTCAAGGTGCTCCAAAAGTCCACTTCCAGATACTACAAAAAGAGTGTTTCAAACCTACTCTGTGAAAGGGAATATTCAACTCTGTGACTTGAATGCAGATATCACAAAGAAGTTTCTGAGAATGCTTCTGTCGAGATTTTATATGAAGATATTCCCGTTTCCAAGGAAATCCTGAAATCTATCCAAATATCCCCTCGCAGATTCTACAAAAAGAGTGTTTCAAAACTGCTCTGTGAAAAGAAAGGTACAACTCTGTTAGTTGAGTACACACATCACAAACAAGTTTCACAGAATGCTTCTTTCTAGCTTGTAGGGGAATATATTCCCTTTATCACCATGGGTCTCAAACCGTCCGAAACGTCCACTTCCATATACTACAAAAAGAGCGTTTCAAACCTGCTCTATGAAACGCAATGTTCAACTCTGTGAGTTGAATGCAGACTTCACAGAGCTGTTTCTGAGAATGCTTCTGTCTAGATTTTATAGGAAGATATTCCCGTTTCCATCGAAATCTTCACAGGTATCCAAATATCCACTTGCAGATTCTACAAAAAGAGTGTATCAAAACTGCTCTGTCAAAAGGAAGGTTCTTCTCTGTTAGGTGAGTGCATACGTCATAAAGGAGTTTCTGAGAATGTTTCTGTCTAGTGGTTATGGGAAGATATTTTCTTTTTCACCTTAGGCCTCAGAGCGCTCCAAATATCCACTTGCACATACTACAAAAAGAGTGTTTCAAAGCTGCTCTCTGAAAGGGAATGTTCAACTCTATGAGTTGAATGCAAACATGACAAAGACGTTTCTGAGAATGCTTCTGTCTAGATTTGGTATGAAGATATTCCCGTTTCCAACGAAATCTTCAAATCTATCCAAATGTCCACTTGCAGATTCAACAAAAAGTGTTTTTCAGAACTGCTCTATCAAAAGAAAGATCCACCTCTGTTAGCTGAGTTCACACATCACAAACAAGTTTATGAGAATGCTTCTGTCTAGTTTTTATTTGAAGATATTTCCTTTCTCACCATAGACCTGAAAGCTGTCCTAATGTTCACTTCCAGATACTACAGAAAGAGTGTTTCAAAACTGCTGTACGAAAGGGAATGTTCAACTCTGTGACTTGAATGCACACATCACAAAGAAGTTTCGGAGGATGCTGCTGTCTACTTTTTATACTTAATCCCGTTTCCAACGAAATCCTCCAAGCTATCCAAATATCCACTGGCAGATTCCACAGAAAGACTGTTTCAAAACTGCTCTGTCAATAGAAAGGTTCAACTCTGTTAGCTGCGTGCATATATCCCAAAGAAGATTCTGAGATTGCTTCTGTCTAGTTTTTATGGGAAGATATTTCCCTTTTCACCGTCGGCGTCAAGGCGCTCCAAATGTCCACTTCCAGATACTACAAAAAGAGTGTTTCAAACCTACTCTGTGAAAGGGAATATTCAACTCTGTGACTTGAATGCACATATCACAAAGAAGTTTCTGAGAATGCTTCTGTCGAGATTTTATATGAAGATATTCCCGTTTCCAACGAAATCCTGAAATCTATCCAAATATCCCCTCGCAGATTCTACAAAAAGAGTGTTTCAAAACTGCTCTGTAAAAAGAAAGGTTCAACTGCTGTTAGTTGAGTACACACATCACAAACAAGTTTCACAGAATGCTTCTTTCTAGCTTGTAGGGGAAGATATTCCCTTTATCACCATGGGCCTCAAACCGTCCGAAACGTCCACTTCCATATACTACAAAAAGAGCGTTTCAAACCTGCTCTAGGAAAGGCAATGTTCAACTCTGTGACTTGAATGCAGACATCACAGAGCGGTTTCTGAGAATGCTTCTGTCTAGATTTTATAGGAAGATATTCCCGTTTCCAACGAAATCTTCACAGCTATCCAAATATCCACTTGCAGATCCTACAAAAAGAGTGTATCAAAACTGCTCTGTCAAAAGGAAGGTTCTTCTCTGTTAGTTGAGTACATACGTCATAAAGGAGTTTCTGAGAATGTTTCTGTCTAGTGGTTATGGGAAGATATTTGCTTTTTCACCGTAGGCCTCAGAGCGCTCCAAATATCCACTTGCACATACTACAAAAAGAGTGCTTCAAAGCTGGTCTCTGAAACGGAATGTTCAACTCCATGAGTTGAATGCAAACATCACAAAGACGTTTCTGAGAATGCTTCTGTCTAGATTTTATAGGAAGATATTCCCGTTTCCAACGAAATCTTCAAATCTATCCAAATGTCCACTTGCAGATTCAACAAAAAGTGTTTTTCAAAACTGCTGTATCAAAAGAAAGATCCACGTCTGTTAGCTGAGTTCACACATCACAAACAAGTTTATGAGAATGCTTCTGTCTAGTTTTTATTTGAAGATATTTCCTTTCTCACCATAGACCTGAAAGCTGTCCTAATGTTCACTTCCAGATACTATAGAAAGAGTGTTTCAAAACTGCTGTACGAAAGGGAATGTTCAACTCTGTGACTTGAATGCACACATCACAAAGAAGTTTCTGAGGATGCTGCTGTCTACTTTTTATACGTAATCCCGTTTCCAACGAAATCCTCCAAGCTGTCCAAATGTCCACTTGCAGATTCCACAGAAAGACTGTTTCAAAACTGCTCTGTCAATAGAAAGGTTCAACTCTGTTAGCTGCGTGCATATATCCCAAAGAAGATTCTGAGATTGCTTCTGTCTAGTTTTTATGGGAAGATATTTCCCTTTTCACCGTAGGCGTCAAGGTGCTCCAAATGTCCACTTCCAGATACTACAAAAGGAGTGTTTCAAACCTACTCTGTCAAAGGGAATATTCAACTCTGTGACTTGAATGCAGATATCACAAAGAGGTTTCTGAGAATGTTTCTGTCGAGATTTTCTATGAAGATATTCCCGTTTCCAACGAAATCCTCAAATCTATCCAAATATCCCCTCGCAGATTCTACAAAAAGAGTGTTTCAAAACTGCTCTGTAAAAAGAAAGGTTCAACTCTGTTAGTTGAGTACACACATCACAAACAAGTTTCACAGAATGCTTCTTTCTAGCTTGTAGGGGAAGATATTCCCTTTATCACCATGGGCCTCAAACCGTCCGAAACGTCCACTTCCATATACTACAAAAAGAGCATTTCAAACCTGCTCTATGAAAGGCAATGTTCAACTCTGTGACTTGAATGCAGACATCACAGAGCAGTTTCTGAGAATGCTTCTGTCTAGATTTTATAGGAAGATATTCCCGTTTCCAACGAAACCTTCACAGCTATCCAAATATCCACTTGCAGATTCTACAAAAAGAGTGTATCAAAACTGCTCTGTCAAAAGGAAGGTTCTTCTCTGTTAGGTGAGTGCATACGTCATAAAGGAGTTTCTGGGAATGTTTCTGTCTAGTGGTTATGGGAAGATATTTGCTTTTTCACCGTAGGCCTCAGAGCGCTCCAAATATCCACTTGCACATACTACAAAAAGTGTGCCTCAAAGCTGCTCTCTGAAACGGAATGTTCAACTCTATGAGTTGAATGCAAACATCACAAAGACGTTTTCTGAGAATGCTTCTGTCTAGATTTGTTATGAAGATATACCCGTTTCCAACGAAATCTTCAAATCTATCCAAATGTCCACTTGCAGATTCACCAAAGTGTTTTTCAAAACTGCTGTATCAAAAGAAAGATCCACCTGTGTTAGCTGAGTTCACACTTCACAAACAAGTTTATCAGAATTCTTCTGTCTAATTTTTATTTGAAGATATTTCCTTTCTCACCATAGACCTGAAAGCTGTCCTAATGTTCACTTCCAGATACTATAGAAAGAGTGTTTCAAAACTGCTGTACGAAAGGGAATGTTCAACTCTGTGACTTGAATGCACACATCACAAAGAAGTTTCTGAGGATGCTGCTGTCTACTTTTTATACGTAATCCCATTTCCAAAGAAATCCTCCAATCTATCCAAATATCCACTTGCAGATTCCACAGAAAGACTGTTTCAAATCTGCTCTCTCAATAGAAAGATTCAACTCTGTTAGCTGCGTGCATATATCCCAAAGAAGATTCTGAGATTGCTTCTGTCTAGTTTTTATGGGAAGATATTTCCCTTTTCACCGTAGGCGTCAAGGCGCTCCAAATGTCCACTTCCAGATACTACAAAAAGAGTGTTTCAAACCTACTCTGTGAAAGGGAATATTCAACTCTGTGACGTGAATGCACATATCACAAAGAAGTTTCTGAGAATGCTTCTGTCGAGATTTATATATGAAGATATTCCCGTTTCCAACGAAATTCCTGAAATCTATCCAAATATCCCCTCGCAGATTCTACAAAAAGAGTGTTTCAAAACTGCTCTGTAAAAAGAAAGGTTCAACTCTGTTAGTTGAGTACACACATCACAAACAAGTTTCACAGAATGCTTCTTTCTAGCTTGTAGGGGAAGATATTCCCTTTATCACCATGGGCCTTAAACCGTCCGATAAGTCCACTTCCATATACTACAAAAAGAGCGTTTCAAACCTGCTCTATGAAAGGCAATGTTCAACTCTGTGACTTGAATGCAGACATCACAGAGCAGTTTCTGAGAATGCTTCTGTCTAGATTTTATAGGAAGATATTCCCGTTTCCAACGAAATCTTCACAGGTATCCAAATATCCACTTGCAGATTCTACAAAAAGAGTGTATCAAAACTGCTCTGTCAAAAGGAAGGTTCTTCTCTGTTAGGTGAGTGCATACGTCATAAAGGAGTTTCTGAGAATGTTCTGTCTAGTGGTTATGGGAAGATATTTGCTTTTTCCCCGTAGGCCTCAGGGCGCTCCAAATGTCCACTTGCACATGCTACAAAAAGAGTGCTTCAAAGCTACTCTCTGGAAGGGAATGTTCAACTCTATGAGTTGAATGCAAACATCACAAAGACGTTTCTGACAATGCTTCTGTCTAGATTTGATATAAAGATATTCCCGTTTCCAACGAAATCTTCAAATCTATCCAAATGTCCACTTGCAGATTCAACAAAAAGTGTTTTTCAGAACTGCTCTATCAAAAGAAAGATAGACCTCTGTTAGCTGAGTTCACACATCACAAACAAGTTTATGAGAATGCTTCTGTCTAGTTTTTATTTGAAGATATTTCCTTTCTCACCATAGACCTGAAAGATGTCCTAATATTCACTTAGAGATACTACAGAAAGAGTGTTTCAAAACGGCTGTACGAAAGGGAATGTTCAACACTGTGACATGAATGCACACATCACAAAGAAGTTTCTGAGGATGCTGCTGTCTACTTTTTATACGTAATCCCGTTTCCAACGAAATCCTCCAAGCTATCCAAATATCCACTTGCAGATTCCACAGAAAGACTGTTTCAAAACTACTCTGTCAATAGAAAGGTTCAACTCTGTTAGCTGCGTACATATATCCCAAAGAAGATTCTGAGATTGCTTCTGTCTACTTTTTATGAGAAGATATTTCCCTTTTCACCGTAGGCGTCAAGGTGCTCCAAATGTCCACTTCCAGATACTACAAAAAGAGTGTTTCAAACCTACTCTGTGAAAGGGAATATTCAACTCTGTGACTTGAATGCACATATCACAAAGAAGCTTCTGAGAATGCTTCTGTCGAGATTTTATATGAAGATATTCCCGTTTCCAACGAAATCCTGAAATGTATCCAAATATCCCCTCGCAGATTCTACAAAAAGAGTGTTTCAAAACTGCTCTGTAAAAAGAAAGGTTCAACTCTGTTAATTGAGTACACACATCACAAACAAGTTTCACAGAATGCTTCTTTCTAGCTTGTAGGGGAAGATATTCCCTTTATCACCATGGGCCTCAAAGCGTCGGAAACGTCCACTTCCATATACTACAAAAAGAGCGTTTCAAACCTGCTCTAGGAAAGGCAATGTTCAACTCTGTGACTTGAATGCAGACATCACAGAGCAGTTTCTGAGAATGCTTCTGTCTAGATTTTATAGGAAGATATTCCCGTTTCCAACGAAATCTTCACAGCTATCCAAATATCCACTTGCAGATTCTACAAAAAGAGTGTATCAAAACTGCTCTGTCAAAAGGAAGGTTCTTCTCTGTTAGCTGAGTGCATACGTCATAAAGGAGTTTCTGAGAATATTTCTGTCTAGTGGTTATGGGAAGATATTTGCTTTTTCCCCGTAGGCCTCATAGCGCTCCAAATGTCCACTTGCACATATTACAAAAAGAGTTCTTCAAAGCTGCTCTCTGAAAGGGAATATTCAACTCTATGAGTTGAATGCAAACATGACAAAGACGTTTCTGAGAATGCTTCTGTCTAGATTTGATATGAAGATATTCCCGTTTCCAACGAAATCTTCAAATCTATCCAAATGTCCACTTGTAGATTCAACAAAAAGTGTTTTTCAGAACTGCTCTATCAAAAGAAAGATCCACCTCTGTTAGCTGAGTTCACACATCACAAACCAGTTTATGAGAATGCTTCTGTCTAGTTTTTATTTGAAGATATTTCCTTTCTCACCATAGACCTGAAAGCTGTCCTAATGTTCACTTCCAGATACTACAGAAAGAGTGTTTCAAAACTGCTGTACGAAAGGGAAAGTTCAACTCTGTGACTTGAATGCACACATCACAAAGAAGTTTCTGAGGATGCTGCTGTCTACTTTTTATACGTAATCCCGTTTCCAACGAAATCCTCCAAGCTATCCAAATATCCACTTGCAGATTCCACAGAAAGACTGTTTCAAAACTGCTCTCTCAATAGAAAGGTTCAACTCTGTTAGCTGCGTACATATATCCCAAAGAAGATTCTGAGATTGCTTCTGTCTACTTTTTATGAGAAGATATTTCCCTTTTCACCGTAGGCGTCAAGGTGCTCCAAATGTCCACTTCCAGATACTACAAAAAGAGTGTCTCAAACCTACTCTGTGAAAGGGAATATTCAACTCTGTGACTTGAATGCACATATCACAAAGAAGCTTCTGAGAATGCTTCTGTCGAGATTTTATATGAAGATATTCCCGTTTCCAACGAAATCCTGAAATGTATCCAAATATCCCCTCGCAGATTCTACAAAAAGAGTGTTTCAAAACTGCTCTGTAAAAAGAAAGGTTGAACTCTGTTAGTTGAGTACACACATCACAAACAAGTTTCACAGAATGCTTCTTTCTAGCTTGTAGGGGAAGATATTCCCTTTAAAACCATGGGCCTCAAACCGTCTGAAACGTCCACTTCCATATACTACAAAAAGAGCATTTCAAACCTGCTCTATGAAAGGCAATGTTCAACTCTGTGACTTGAATGCAGACATCACAGAGCAGTTTCTGAGAATGCTTCTGTCTAGATTTTATAGGAAGATATTCCTGTTTCCAACGAAATCTTCACAACTATCCAAATATCCACTTGCAGATTCTACAAAAAGAGTGTATCAAAACTGCTCTGTCAAAAGGAAGGTTCTTTTCTGTTAGGTGAGTGCATACGTCATAAAGGAGTTTCTGAGAATGTTTCTGTCTAGTGGTTATGGGAAGATATTTGCTTTTTCACCGTAGGCATCACAGCGCTCCAAATATCCACTTGCACATACTACAAAAAGAGTGCTTCAAAGCTGCTCTCTGAAACGGAATGTTCAACTCTATGAGTTGAATGCAAACATCACAAAGACGTTTCTGAGAATGCTTCTGTCTAGATTTGATATGAAGATATTCCTGTTTCCAACGAAATCTTCAAATCTATCCAAATGTCCACTTGCAGATTCAACAAAGTGTTTTTCAAAACTGCTGTATCAAAAGAAAGATCCACCTCTGTTAGCTGAGTTCACACTTCACAAACAAGTTTATCAGAATTCTTCCATCTAGTTTTTATTTGAAGATATATCCTTTCTCACTATAGACCTGAAAGCTGTCCTAAAGTTCACTTCCAGATACTACAGAAAGAGTGTTTCAAAACTGCTGTACGAAAGGGAATGTTCAACTCTGTGACTTGAATGCACACATCACAAGGATGTTTCTGAGGATGCTGCTGTCTACTTTTTATACGTAATCCCGTTTCCAACGAAATCCTCCAAGCTATCCAAATATCCACTTGCAGATTCCCCAGAAAGACTGTTTCAAAACTGCTCTGTCAATAGAAAGGTTCAACTCTATTAGCTGCGTACATATATCCCAAAGAAGATTCTGAGATTGCTTCTGTCTACTTTTTATGAGAAGATATTTCCCTTTTCACCGTAGGCGTCAAGGTGCTCAAAATGTCCACTTCCAGATAATACAAAAAGAGTGTTTCAAACCTACTCTGTGAAAGGGAATATTCAACTCTGTGACTTGAATGCACATATCACAAAGAAGCTTCTGAGAATGCTTCTGTCGAGATTTTAAATGAAGATATTCCCGTTTCCAACGAAATCCTGAAATCTATCCAAATATCCCCTCGCAGATTCTACAAAAAGAGTGTTTCAAAACTGCTCTGTAAAAAGAAAGGTTCAACTCTATTAGTTGAGTACACACATCACAAACAAGTTTCACAGAATGCTTCTTTCTAGCTTGTAGGGGAAGATATTCCCTTTATCACCATGGGCCTCAAACCGTCCGATATGTCCACTTCCATATACTACAAAAAGAGCGTTTCAAACCTGCTCTATGAAAGGCAATGTTCAACTCTGTGACTTGAATGCAGACATCACAGAGCAGTTTCTGAGAATGCTTCTGTCTAGATTTTATAGGAAGATATTCCCGTTTCCAAAGAAATCTTCACAGCTATCCAAATATCCACTTGCAGATTCTACAAAAAGAGTGTATCAAAACTGCTCTGTCAAAAGGAAGGTTCTTCTCTGTTAGGTGAGTACATACGTCATAAAGGAGTTTCTGAGAATGTTTCTGTCTAGTGGTTATGGGAAGATATTTGCTTTTTCACTGTAGGCCTCACAGCGCTCCAAATATCCACTTGCACATACTACAAAAAGAGTGCTTCAAAGCTGCTCTCTGAAACGGAATGTTCAACTCTATGAGGTGAATGCAAACATCACAAAGACGTTTCTGAGAATGCTTCTGTCTAGATTTGATATGAAGATATTCCCTTTTCCAAAGAAATCTTCAAATCTATCCAAATGTCCACTTGCAGATTCAACAAAACGTGTTTTTCAGAACTGCTCTATCAAAAGAAAGATCCACCTCTGTTAGCTGAGTTCACACATCACAAACAAGTTTATGAGAATGCTTCTGTCTAGTTTTTATTTGAAGATATTTCCTTTCTCACCATAGACCTGAAAGCTGTCCTAATGTTCACTTCCAGATACTACAGAAAGAGTGTTTCAAAACTGCTGTACGAAAGGGAATGTTCAAATCTGTGGCTTGAATGCACACATCACAAAGAAGTTTCTGAGGATGCTGCTGTCTACTTTTTACACGTAGTCCCATTTCCAAAGAAATCCTCCAAGCTATCCAAATATCCACTTGCAGATTCCACAGAAAGACTGTTTCAAAACTGCTCTGTCAATAGAAAGGTTCAACTCTGTTAGCTGCGTGCATATATCCCAAAGAAGATTCTGAGATTGCTTCTGTCTAGTTTTTATGGGAAGATATTTCCCTTTTCACCGTAGGCGTCAAGGCGCTCCAAATGTCCACTTCCAGATACTACAAAAAGAGTGTTTCAAACCTACTCTGTGAAAGGGAATATTCAACTCTGTGACTTGAATGCAGATATCACAAAGAAGTTTCTTAGAATGCTTCTGTCGAGATTTTATATGAAGATATTCCCGTTTCCAACGAAATCCTGAAATGTATCCAAATATCCCCTCGCAGATTCTACAAAAAGAGTGTTTCAAAACTGCTCTGTAAAAAGAAAGGTTCAACTCTGTTAGTTGAGTACACACATCACAAACAAGTTTCACAGGAATGCTTCTTTCTAGCTTGTAGGGGAAGATATTCCCTTTATCACCATGGGCCTCCAAGCGTCCGAAACATCCACTTCCATATACTACAAAAAGAGCGTTTCAAACCTGCTCTATGAAAGGCAATTTTCAACTCTGTGACTTGAATGCAGACATCACAGAGCAGTTTCTGAGAATGCTTCTGTCTAGATTTTATAGGAAGATATTCCCGTTTCCAACGAAATATTCACAGGTATCAAAATATCCACTTGCAGATTCTACAAAAAGAGTGTATCAAAACTGCTCTGTCAAAAGGAAGGTTCTTCTCTGTTAGGTGAGTGCATACGTCATAAAGGAGTTTCTGAGAATGTTTCTGTCTAGTGGTTATGGGAAGATATTTGCTTTTTCACCGTAGGCCTCAGAGCACTCCAAATATCCACTTGCACATACTACAAAAAGAGTGCTTCAAAGCTGCTCTCTGAAAGGGAATGTTCAACTCTATGAGTTGAATGCAAACATCACAAAGACGTTTCTGAGAATGCTTCTGTCTAGATTTGATATGAAGATATTCCCGTTTCCAACGAAATCTTCAAATCTATCCAAATGTCCACTTGCAGATTCAACAAAAAGTGTTTTTCAGAACTGCTCTATCAAAAGAAAGATCCACCTCTGTTAGCTGAGTTCAGACATCACAAACAAGATTATGAGAATGCTTCCTGTCTAGTTTTTATTTTTAGATATTTCCTTTCTCACCGCAGACCTGAAAGCTCTCCTAATGTTCACTTCTAGATACTACAGAAAGAGTGTTTGAAACCTGCTGTATGAAAGGGAATGTTGAACTCTGTGACATGAATGCACACATCACAACGAAGTTTCTGAGAATGCTGCTGTCTACTTTTTATACTTAATCCCGTTTCCAACGAAATCCTCCAAGCTATCCAAATATCCACTTGCAGATTCCACAGAAAGACTGTTTCAAAACTGCTCGGTCAATAGAAAGGTTCAACTCTGTTAGCTGCGTGCATATATCCCAAAGAAGATTCTGAGATTGCTTCTGTCTAGTTTTTATGGGAAGATATCTCCCTTTTCACCGTAGGTGTCAAGGCGCTCCAAATATCCACTTCCAGATACTACAAAAAGAGTGTTTCAAACCTACTCTGTGAAAGGGAATATTCAACTCTGTGACTTGAATGCACATATCACAAAGAAGTTTCTGAGAATGCTTCTGTCGAGATTTTATATGAAGATATTCCCGTTTCCAACGAAATGCTGAAATCTATCCAAATATCCCCTCGCAGATTCTACGAAAAGAGTGTTTCAAAACTGCTCTGTGAAAAGAAAGGTTCAACTGCTGTTAGTTGAGTACACACATCACAAACAAGTTTCACAGAATGCTACTTTCTAGCTTGTAGGGGAAGATATTCCCTTTATCACCATGGGCCTCCAACCGTCCGAAACATCCACTTCCATATACTACAAAAAGAGCGTTTCAAACCTGCTCTATGAAAGGTAATTTTCAACTCTGTGACTTGAATGCAGACATCACAGAGCAGTTTCTGAGAATGCTTCTGTCTAGATTTTATAGGAAGATATTCCCTTTTCCAACGAAATCTTCACAGCTATCCAAATATCCACTTGCAGATTCTACAAAAAGAGTGTATCAAAACTGCTCTGTCAAAAGGAAGGTTCTTCTCTGTTAGGTGAGTGCATACGTCATAAAGGAGTTTCTGAGAATGTTTCTGTCTAGTGGTTATGGGAAGATATTTGCTTTTTCACCGAAGGCCTCAGAGCGCTCCAAATATCCACTTGCACATACTACAAAAAGAGTGCCTCAAAGCTGCTCTCTGAAACGGAATGTTCAACTCTATGAGTTGAATGCAAACATCACAACGACGTTTCCGAGAATGCTTCTGTCTAGATTTGATATGAAGATATTCCCGTTTCCAACGAAATCTTCATATCTATCAAAATGTCCACTTGCAGATTCAACAAAAAGTGTTTTTCAGAACTGCTCTATCAAAAGAAAGATCCACCTCTGTTAGCTGAGTTCACACATCACAAAGAAGTTTATGAGAATGCTTCTGTCTAGTTTTTATTTGAAGATATTTCCTTTCTCACCATAGACCTGAAAGCTGTCCTAATGTTCACTTCCAGATACTACAGAAAGAGTGTTTCAAAACTGCTGTACGAAAGGGAATGATCAACTCTGTGACTTGAATGCACACATCACAAAGAAGTTTCTGAGGATGCTGCTATCTACTTTTTATACGTAATCCCGTTTCCAAAGAAATCCCCCAAGCTATCCAAATATCCACTTGCAGATTCCACAGAAAGACTGTTTCAAAACTGCTCTGTCAATAGAAAGGTTCAACTCTGTTAGCTGCGTGCATATATCCCAAAGAAGATTCTGAGATTGCTTCTGTCTAGTTTTTATGGGAAGATATTTCCCTTTTCACCGTAGGTGTCAAGGCGCTCCAAATGTCCACTTCCAGATACTACAAAAAGAGTGTTTCAAACCTACTCTGTGAAAGGGAATATTCAACTCTGTGACTTGAATGCAGATATCAGAAAGAAGTTTCTGAGAATGCTTCTGTCGAGATTTTCTATGAAGATATTCCCGTTTCCAACGAAATCCTGAAATCTATCCAAATATCCCCTCGCAGATTCTACAGAAAGAGTGTTTCAAAACTGCTCTGTAAAAAGAAAGGTTCAACTCTGTTAGTTGAGTACACACATCACAAACAAGTTTCACAGAATGCTTCTTTCTAGCTTGTAGGGGAAGATATTCCCTTTATCACCATGGGCCTCAAACCGTCCGAAACTTCTACTTCCATATACTACAAAAAGAGCGTTTCAAACCTGCTCTATGAAAAGCAATGTTCAACTCTGTGACTTGAATGCAGACATCACAGAGCAGTTTCTGAGAATGCTTCTGTCTAGATTTTATAGGAAGATATTCCCGTTTCCAACGAAATCTTCACAGCTATCCAAATATCCACTTGCAGATTCTACAAAAAGAGTGTATCAAAACTGCTCTGTCAAAAGGAAGGTTCTTCTCTGTTAGGTGAGTACAAACGTCATAAAGGAGTTTCTGAGAATGTTTTTGTCTAGTGGTTATGGGAAGATATTTGCTTTTTCCCCGTAGGCCTCAGAACGCTCCAAATATCCACTTGCACATACTACAAAAAGAGTGCTTCAAAGCTGCTCTCTGAAACGGAATGTTCAACTCTATGAGTTGAATGCAAACATCACAAAGACGTTTCTGAGAATGCTTCTGTCTAGATTTGATATGAAGATATTCCCGTTTCCAACGAAATCTTCAAATCTATCCAAATGTCCACTTGCAGATTCAACAAAGTGTTTTTCAGAACTGCTCTATCAAAAGAAAGATCCACCTCTGTTAGCTGAGATCACACTTCACAAACAAGTATATCAGAATGCTTCTGTCTAGTTTTTATTTGAAGATATTTCCTTTCTCACCATAGACCTGAAAGCGGTCCTAATGTTCACTTCCAGATACTACAGAAAGAGTGTTTCAAAACTGCTGTACGAAAGGGAATGTTCAACTCTGTGACTTGAATGCACACATCACAAAGAAGTTTCTGAGGATGCTGCTGTCTACTTTTTATACGTAATCCCGTTTCCAACGAAATCCTCCAATCTATCCAAATATCCACTTGCAGATTCCACAGAAAGACTGTTTCAAAACTGCTCTGTCAATAGAAAGGTTCAACTCTATTAGCTGCGTACATATATCCCAAAGAAGATTCTGAGATTGCTTCTGTCTAGTTTTTATGGGAAGATATTTCCCTTTTCACCGTAGGCGTCAAGGCGCTCCAAATGTCCACTTCCAGATACTACAAAAAGAGTGTTTCAAACCTACTCTGTGAAAGGGAATATTCAACTCTGTGACTTGAATGCAGATATCACAATGAAGTTTCTGAGAATGCTTCTGTCGAGATTTTATATGAAGATATTCCCGTTTCCAACGGAATCCTGAAATCTATCTAAATACCCCCTCGCAGATTCTACAAAAAGAGTGTTTCAAAACTGCTCTGTAAAAAGAAAGGTTCAACTCTGTTAGTTGAGTACACACATCACAAACAAGTTTCACAGAATGCTTCTTTCTAGCTTGTAGGGGAAGATATTTCCTTTATCACCATGGGCCGTAAACCGTCCGAAAGGTCCACTTCCATATACTAAAAAAAGAGTGTTTGAAACCTGCTCTATGAAAGGCAATGTTCAACTCTGTGACTTGAATGCAGACATCACAGAGCAGTTTCTGAGAATGCTTCTGTCTAGATTTTATAGGAAGATATTCCCGTTTCCAACGAAATCTTCACAGCTATCCAAATATCCACTTGCAGATTCTACAAAAAGAGTGTATCAAAACTGCTCTGTCAAAAGGAAGGTTCTTCTCTGTTAGTTGAGTACATACTTCATAAAGGAGTTTCTGAGAATGTTTCTGTCTAGTCGTTATGGGAAGATATTTGGTTTTTCACCGTAGGCCTCAGAGCGCTCCAAATATCCCCTTGCACATACTACAAAAAGAGTGCTTCAGAGCTGCTCTCTGAAAGGGAATGTTCAACTCTATGAGTTGAATGCAAACATCAAAAAGACGTTTCTGAGAATGCTTCTGTCTAGACTTGATATGAAGATATTCCCGTTTCCAAAGAAATCTTCAAATCTATCCAAATGTCCACTTGCAGATTCAACAAAAAGTGTTTTTCAGAACTGCTCTATCAAAAGAAAGATCCACCTCTGTTAGCTGAGTTCACACATCCAAAACAAGTTTATGAGAATGCTTCTGTCTAGTTTTTATTTGAAGATATTTTCTTTCTCACCATAGACCTGAAAGCTGTCCTAATGTTCACTTCCAGATACTACAGAAAGAGTGTTTCAAAACTGCTGTACGAAAGGGAATGTTCAACTCTGTGACTTGAATGCACACATCACAAAGATGTTTCTGAGGATGCTGCTGTGTACTTTTTATACGTAATCCCGTTTCCAACGAAATCCTCCAATCTATCCAAATATCCACTTGCAGATTCCACAGAAAGACTGTTTCAAATCTGCTCAGTCAATAGAAAGGTTCAACTCTGTTAGCTGCGTGCATATATCACAAAGAAGATTCTGAGATTGCTTCTGTCTAGTTTTTATGAGAAGATATTTCCCTTTTCACCGTAGGTGTCAAGGCGCTCCAAATGTCCACTTCCAGATACTACAAAAAGAGTGTTTCAAACCTACTCTGTGAAAGGGAATATTCAACTCTGTGACTTGAATGCAGATATCACAAAGAAGTTTCTGAGAATGCTTCTGTCGAGATTTTATATGAAGATATTCCCGTTTCCAACGAAATCCTGAAATCTATCCAAATATCCCCTCGCAGATTCTACAAAAAGTGTGTTTCAAAACTGCTCTGTAAAAAGAAAGGTTCAACTCTGTTAGTTGAGTACACACAGCACAAACAAGTTTCACAGAATGCTTCTTTCTAGCTTGTAGGGGAAGATATTCCCTTTATCACCATGGGCCTCCAACCGTCCGAAACATCCACTTCCATATACTACAAAAAGAGCGTTTCAAACCTGCTCTATGAAAGACAATGTTCAACTCTGTGACTTGAATGCAGACATCACAGAGCAGTTTCTGAGAATGCTTCTGTCTAGATTTTATAGGAAGATATTCCCGTTTCCAACGAAATCTTCACAGCTATCCAAATATCCACTTGCAGATTCTACAAAAGGAGTGTATCAAAACTGCTCTGTCAAAAGGAAGGTTCTTCTCTGTTAGGTGAGTGCATACGTCATAAAGGAGTTTCTGAGAATGTTTCTGTCTAGTGGTTATGGGAAGATATTTGCTTTTTCACCGTAGACCTCAGAGCGCTCCAAATATCCACTTGCACATACTACAAAAAGAGTGCCTCAAAGCTGCTCTCTGAAACGGAATGTTCAACTCTATGAGTTGAATGCAAACATCACAAAGACGTTTCTGAGAATGCTTCTGTCTAGATTTGATATGAAGATATTCCCGTTTCCAACGAAATCTTCAAATCTATCCAAATGTCCACTTGCAGATTCAACAAAAAGTGTTTTTCCGAACTGCTCTATCAACAGAAAGATCCGCCTCTGTTAGCTGAGTTCACACATCACAAACAAGTTTATGAGAATGCTTCTGTGTAGTTTTTATTTGAAGATATTTCCTTTCTCACCATAGACCTGAAAGCTGTCCTAATGTTCACTTCCAGATACTACAGAAAGAGTGTTTCAAAACTGCTGTACGAAAGGGAATGTTCAACTCTGTGACTTGAATGCACACATCACAAAGAAGTTTCTGAGGATGCTGCTGTCTACTTTCTATACGTAATCCCGTTTCCAACGAAATCCTCCAAGCTATCCAAATATCCACTTGCAGATTCCACAGAAAGACTGTTTCAAAACTGCTCTGTCAATAGAAAGGTTCAACTCTGTTAACTGCGTGCATATATCCCAAAGAAGATTCTGAGATTGCTTCTGTCTAATTTTTATGAGAAGATATTTCCCTTTTCACCGTAGGCGTCAAGGCGCTCCAAATGTCCACTTCCAGATACTACAAAAAGAGTGTTTCAAACCTACTCTGTGAAAGGGAATATTCAACTCTGTGACTTGAATGCACATATCACAAAGAAGTTTCTGAGAATGCTTCTGTCGAGATTTTATATGAAGATATTCCCGTTTCCAACGAAATCCTGAAATGTA
Source organism: Homo sapiens (assembly GCF_000001405.40). Classification (NCBI taxonomy): domain Eukaryota; kingdom Metazoa; phylum Chordata; class Mammalia; order Primates; family Hominidae; genus Homo; species Homo sapiens. Next base: position 16,983,266 of record NC_000014.9, on the reverse strand, counting down.
TCCAAATATCCCCTTGCAGATTCTACAAAAAGAGTGTTTCAAAACTGCTCTGTAAAAAGAAAGGTTCAACTCTGTTAGTTGAGTACACACATCACAAACAAGTTTATGAGAATGCTTCTTTCTAGCTTGTAGGGGAAGATATTCCCTTTATCACCATGGGCTTCAAACCGTCCGAAACATCCACTTCCATATACTACAAAAAGAGCGTTTCAAACCTGCTCTATGAAAGGCAATGTTCAACTCTGTGACTTGAATGCAGACATCACAGAGCAGTTTCTGAGAATGCTTCTGTCTAGATTTTATAGGAAGATGTTCCCGTTTCCAACGAAATCTTCACAGCTATCCAAATATCCACTTGCAGATTCTACAAAAAGAGTGTATCAAAACTGCTCTGTCAAAAGGAAGGTTCTTCTCTGTTAGGTGAGTGCATACGTCATAAAGGAGTTTCTGAGAATGTTTCTGTCTAGTGGTTATGGGAAGATATTTGCTTTTTCACCGTAGGCCTCAGAGCGCTCCAAATATCCACTTGCACATACTACAAAAAGAGTGCTTCAAAGCTGCTCTCTGAAACGGAATGTTCAACTCTATGAGTTGAATGCAAACATCACAAAGACGTTTCTGAGAATGCTTTCTGTCTAGATTTGATACGAAGATATTCCCGTTTCCAACGAAATCTTCAAATCTATCCAAATGTCCACTTGCAGATTCAACAAAAAGTGTTTTTCAGAACTGCTCTATCAAAAGAAAGATCCACCTCTGTTAGCTGAGTTCACACAACACAAACAAGTTTATGAGAATGCTTCTGTCTAGTTTTTATTTGAAGATATTTCCTTTCTCACCATAGAGCTGAAAGCTGTCCTAATGTTCACTTCCAGATACTACAGAAAGAGTGTTTCAAAACTGCTGTACGAAAGGGAATGTTCAACTCTGTGACTTGAATGCACACATCACAAAGAAGATTCTGAGGATGCTGCTGTCTACTTTTTATACGTAATCCCGTTTCCAACGAAATCCTCCAAGCTATCCAAATATCCACTTGCAGATTCCACAGAAAGACTGTTTCAAAACTGCTCTGTCAATAGAAAGGTTCAACTCTGTTAGCTGCGTGGATATATCCCAAAGAAAATTCTGAGATTGCTTCTGTCTAGTTTTTATGGGAAGATATTTCCCTTTTTACCGTAGGTGTCAAGGCGCTCAAAATGTCCACTTCCAGATACTACAAAAAGAGTGTTTCAAACCTACTCTGTGAAAGGGAATATTCAACTCTGTGACTTGAATGCAGATATCACAAAGAAGTTTCTGAGAATGCTTCTGTCGAGATTTTATATGAAGATACTCCCGTTTCCAACGAAATCCTGAAATCTATCCAAATATCCCTTCGCAGATTCTACAAAAAGAGTGTTTCAAAATTGCTCTGTAAAAAGAAAGGTTCAACTCTGTTAGTTGAGTACACACATCACAAACAAGTTTCACAGAATGCTTCTTTCTAGCTTGTAGGGGAAGATATTCCCTTTAACACCATGGGCCTCAAACCGTCTGAAACGTCCACTTCCATATACTAAAAAAGATCATTTCAAACCTGCTCTAGGAAAGGCAATGTTCAACTCTGTGACTTGAATGCAGACATCACAAAGCAGTTTCTGAGAATGCTTCTGTATAGATTTTATAGGAAGATATTCCCGTTTCCAACGAAATCTTCACAGCTATCCAAATATCCACTTGCAGATTCTACAAAAAGAGTGTATCAAAACTGCTCTGTCAAAAGGAAGGTTCTTACTCCTGTTAGGTGAGTGCATACGTCATAAAGGAGTTTCTGAGAATGTTTCTGTCTAGTGGTTATGGGAAGATATTTGCTTTTTCCCCGTAGGCCTCAGAGCGCTCCAAATATCCACTTGCACATACTACAAAAAGAGTGCTTCAAAGCTGCTCTCTGAAACGGAATTTTCAACTCTATGAGTTGAATGCAAACATCACAAAGACGTTTCTGAGAATGCTTCTGTCTAGATTTGATATGAAGATATTCCCGTTTCCAACGAAATCTTCATATCTATCCAAATGTCCACTTGCAGATTCAACAAAAAGTGTTTTTCAAAACTGCTCTATCAAAAGAAAGATCCACGTCTGTTAGCTGAGTTCACACATCACAAACAAGTTTATGAGAATGCTTCTGTCTAGTTTTTATTTGAAGATATTTCCTTTCTCACCATAGACCTGAAAGCTGTCCAAATGTTCACTTCCAGATACTACAGAAAGAGTGTTTCAAAACTGCTGTACGAAAGGGAATGTTCAACTCTGTGATTTGAATGCAGACATCACAAAGAAGTTTCTGAGGATGCTGCTGTCTACTTTTTATACGTAATCCCGTTTCCAACGAAATCCTCCAAGCTATCCCAAATATCCACTTGCAGATTCCACAGAAAGACTGTTTCAAAACTGCTCTGTCAATAGAAAGGTTCAACTCTGTTAGCTGCGTGCATATATCCCAAAGAAGATTCTGAGATTGCTTCTGTCTAGTTTTAATGGGAAGATATTTCCCTTTTCACCGTAGGCGTCAAGGCGCTCCAAATGTCCACTTCCAGATTCTACAAAAAGAGTGTTTCTAACCTACTCGGTGAAAGGGAATATTCAACTCTGTGACTTGAATGCAGATATCACAAAGAAGTTTCTGAGAATGCTTCTGTCGAGATTTTATATGAAGATATTCCCGGTTCCAACGAAATCCTGAAATCTATCCAAATATCCCCTCGCAGATTCTACAAAAAGAGTGTTTCAAAACTGCTCTGTAAAAAGAAAGGTTCAACTCTGTTAGTTGAGTACACACATCACAAACAAGTTTCACACAATGCTTCTTTCTAGCTTGTAGGGGAAGATATTCCCTTTATCACCATGGGCCTCAAACCGTCCGATAAGTCCACTTCCATATACTATAAAAAGAGCGTTTCAAACCTGCTCTATGAAAGGCAATGTTCAACTCTGTGACTTGAATGCAGACATCACAGAGCAGTTTCTGAGAATGCTTCTGTCTAGATTTTATAGGAAGATATTCCCGTTTCCAACGAAATCTTCACAGCTATCCAAATATCCACTTGCAGATTCTACAAAAAGAGTGTATCAAAACTGCTCTGTCAAACGGAAGGTTCTTCTCTGTTAGGTGAGTGCATACGTCATAAAGGAGTTTCTGAGAATGTTTCTGTGTAGTGGTTATGGGAAGATATTTGCTTTTTCACCGTAGGCCTCAGAGCGCTCCAAATATCCACTTGCACATACTACAAAAAGAGTGCTTCAAAGCTGCTCTCTGAAAGGGAATGTTCAACTCTATGAGTTGAATGCAAACATCACAAAGACGTTTCTGAGAATGCTTCTGTCTAGATTTTACATGAAGATATTCCCGTTTCCAACGAAATCTTCAAATCTATCCACATGTCCACATGCAGGTTCAACAAAAAGTGTTTTTCAAAACTGCTGTATGAAAAGAAAGATCCACCTATGTTAGTTGAGTTCACACATCACAAACAAGTTTATGAGAATGCTTCTGTCTAGTTTTTATTTGAAGATATTTCCTTTCTCACCATAGACCTGAAAGCTGTCCTAATGTTCACTTCCAGATACTACAGAAAGAGTGTTTCAAAACTGCTGTACGAAAGGGAATGTTCAACTCTGTGACTTGAATGCACACATCACAAAGAAGTTTCAGAGGATGCTGCTGTCTACTTTTTATACGTAATCCCGTTTCCAACGAAATCCTCCAAGCTATCCAAATATCCACTTGCAGATTCCACAGAAAGACTGTTTCAAAACTGCTCTGTCAATAGAAAGGTTCAACTCTATTAGCTGCGTACATATATCCCAAAGAAGATTCTGAGATGGCTTCTGTCTAGTTTTTATGGGAAGATATTTCCCTTTTCACCGTAGGCGTCAAGGCGCTCCAAATGTCCACTTCCAGATACTACAAAAAGAGTGTTTCAAACCTTCTCTGTGAAAGGGAACATTCAAATCTGTGACTTGAATGCACATATCACAAAGAAGTTTCTGAGAATGCTTCTGTCGAGATTTTATATGAAGATATTCCCGTTTCCAATGAAATGCTGAAATGTATCCAAATATCCCCTCGCAGATTCTACAAAAAGAGTGTTTCAAAACTGCTCTGTAAAAAGAAAGGTTCAACTCTGTTAGTTGAGTACACACATCACAAACAAGTTTCACAGAATGCTTCTTTCTAGCTTGTAGGGGAAGATATTCCCTTTATCACCATGGGCCTGAAACCGTCCGAAACGTCTACTTCCATATACTACAAAAAGAGCGTTTCAAACCTGCTCTATGAAAGGCAATGTTCAACTCTGTGACTTGAATGCAGACATCACAGAGCAGTTTCTGAGAATGCTTCTGTCTAGATTTTATAGGAAGATATTCCCGTTTCCAACGAAATCTTCACAGCTATCCAAATATCCACTTGCAGATTTTACAAAAAGAGTGTATCAAAACTGCTCTGTCAAAAGGAAGGTTCTTCTCTGTTAGGTGAGTGCATACGTCATAAAGGAGTTTCTGAGAATGTTTCTGTCTAGTGGTTATGGGAAGATACTTGCTTTTTCACCGTAGGCCTCAGAGCGCTCCAAATATCCACTTGCACATACTACAAAAAGAGTGCCTCAAAGCTGCTCTCTGAAACGGAATGTTCAACTCTATGAGTTGAATGCAAACATCACAAAGACGTTTCTGAGAATGCTTCTGTCTAGATTTGATATGAAGATATTCCCGTTTCCAACGAAATCTTCAAATCTATCGAAATGTCCACTTGCAGATTCAACAAAAAGTGTTTTTCAGAACTGCTCTATCAAAAGAAAGATCCACCTCTGTTAGCTGAGTTCACACATCACAAACAAGTTTATGAGAATGCTTTCTGTCTAGTTTTTATTTGAAGATATTTCCTTTCTCACCATAGAGCTGAAAGCTGTCCTAATGTTCACTTCCAGATACTATAGAAAGAGTGTTTCAAAACTGCTGTACGAAAGGGAATGTTCAACTCTGTGACTTGAATGCACACATCACAAAGAAGTTTCTGAGGATGCTGCTGTCTACTTTTTATACGTAATCCCGTTTCCAACGAAATCCTCCAAGCTATCCAAATATCCACTTGCAGATTCCCCAGAAAGACTGTTTCAAAACTGCTCTGTCAATAGAAAGGTTCAACTCTGTTAGCTGCGTGCATATATCCCAAAGAAGATTCTGAGATTGTTTCTGTCTAGTTTTTATGGGAAGATATTTCCCTTTTCACCGTAGGCGTCAAGGTGCTCCAAATGTCCACATCCGGATACTACAAAAAGAGTGTTTCAAACCTACTCTGTGAAAGGGAATATTCAATTCTGTGACTTGAATGCACATATCACAAAGAAGTTTCTGAGAATGCTTCTGTCGAGATTTTCTATGAAGATATTCCAGTTTCCAACGAAATCCTGAAATCTATCCAAATATCCCCTCGCAGATTCTACAAAAAGAGTGTTTCAAAACTGCTCTGTAAAAAGAAAGGTTCAACTCTGTTAGTTGAGTACACACATCACAAACAAGTTTCACAGAATGCTCCTTCTAGCTTGTAGGGGAAGATATTCCCTTTATCACCATGGGCCTCAAACCGTCCGAAACGTTTACTTCCATGTACTACAAAAAGAGCGTTTCAAACCTGCTCTATGAAAGGCAATGTTCAACTCTGTGACTTGAATGCAGACATCACAGAGCAGTTTCTGAGAATGCTTCTGTCTAGATTTTATAGGAAGATATTCCCGTTTCCAACGAAACCTTCACAGCTATCCAAATATCCACTTGCAGATTCTACAAAAAGAGTGTATCAAAACTGCTCTGTCAAAAGGAAGGTTCTTCTCTGTTAGGTGAGTGCATACATCATAAAGGAGTTTCTGAGAATGTTTCTGTCTAGTGGTTATGGGAACATATTTGCTTTTTCACCGTAGGCCTCAGAGCGCTCCAAATATCCACTTGCACATACTACAAAAAGAGTGCCTCAAAGCTGCTCTCTGAAACGGAATGTTCAACTCTATGAGTTGAATGCAAACATCGCAAAGACGTTTCTGAGAATGCTTCTGTCTAGATTTGATATGAAGATATTCCCGTTTCCAACGAAATCTTCAAATCTATCCAAATGTCCACTTGCAGATTCAACAAAGTGTTTTTCAATACTGCTGTATCAAAAGAAAGATCCACCTGTGTTAGCTGAGTTCACACTTCACAAACAAGTTTATGAGAATGCTTCTGTCTAGTTTTTATTTGAAGATATTTCCTTTCTCACCATAGAGCTGAAAGCTGTCCTAATGTTCTCTTCCAGATACTACAGAAAGAGTGTTTCAAAACGGCTGTACGAAAGGGAATGTTCAACTCTGTGACTTGAATGCACACATCACAAAGAAGTTTCGGAGGATGCTGCTGTCTACTTTTTATGCGTAATCCCTTTTCCAACGAAATCCTCCAAGCTATCCAAATATCCACTTGCAGATTCCACAGAAAGACTGTTTCAAAACTGCTCTGTCAATAGAAAGGTTCAACTCTGTTAGCTGCGTGCATATATCCCAAAGAAGATTCTGAGATTGCTTCTGTCTAGTTTTTATGGGAAGATATTTCCCTTTTCACCGTAGGCGTCAAGGCGCTCCAAATGTCCACTTCCAGATACTACAAAAAGAGTGTTTCAAACCTACTGTGTGAAAGGGAATATTCAACTCTGTGACTTGAATGCACATATCACAAAGAAGTTTCTGAGAATGCTTCTGTCGAGATTTTATATGAAGATATTCCCGTTTCCAACGAAATGCTGAAATGTATCCAAATATCCGCTCGCAGATTCTACAAAAAGAGTGTTTCAAAACTGCTCTGTAAAAAGAAAGGTTCAACTCTGTTAGTTGAGTACACACATCACAAACAAGTTTCACAGAATGCTTCTTTCTAGCTTGTAGGGGAAGATATTCCCTTTATCACCATGGGCCTCCAACCGTCCGAAACATCCACTTCCATATACTACAAAAAGAGCGTTTCAAACCTGCTCTATGAAAGGCAATGTTTAACTCTGTGACTTGAATACAGACATCACAGAGCAGTTTCTGAGAATGCTTCTGTCTAGATTTTATAGGAAGATATTCCCGTTTCCAACGAAATATTCACAGCTATCCAAATATCCACTTGCAGATTCTACAAAAAGAGTGTATCAAAACTGCTGTGTCAAAAGGAAGGTTCTTCTCTGTTAGGTGAGTGCATACGTCATAAAGGAGTTTCTGAGAATGTTTCTGCCTAGTGGTTATGGGAAGATATTTGCTTTTTCACCGTAGGCCTCAGAGCGCTCCAAATATCCACTTGCACATACTACAAAAAGAGTGCTTCAAAGCTGCTCTCTGAAAGGGAATGTTCAACTCTATGAGTTGAATGCAAACATCACAAAGACGTTTCTGAGAATGCTGCTGTCTAGATTTGATATGAAGATATTCCCGTTTCCAACGAAATCTTCAAATCTATCCAAATGTCCACTTGCAGATTCAACAAAAAGTGTTTTTCAGAAATGCTCTATCAAAAGAAAGATCCACCTCTGTTAGCTGAGTTCACACATCACAAACAAGTTTATGAGAATGCTTCTGTCTAGTTTTTATTTGAAGATATTTCCTTTCTCACCATAGAGCTGAAAGCTGTCCTAATGTTCACTTCCAGATACTACAGAAAGAGTGTTTGAAAACTGCTGTACAAAAGGGAATGTTCAACTCTGTGACTTGAATGCACACATCACAAAGAAGTTTCTGAGGATGCTGCTGTCTACTTTTTATACGTAATCCCGTTTCCAACGAAATCCTCCAAGCTATCCAAATATCCACTTGCAGATTCCACAGAAAGACTGTTTCAAAACTACTCTGTCAATAGAAAGGTTCAACTCTGTTAGCTGCGTGCATATATCCCAAAGAAGATTCTGAGATTGCTTCTGTCTAGTTTTTATGGGAAGATATTTCCCTTTTCACCGTAGGTGTCAAGGCGCTCCAAATGTCCACTTCCAGATACTACAAAAAGGGTGTTTCAAACCTACTCTGTGAAAGGGAATATTCAACTCTGTGACTTGAATGCACATATCACAAAGAAGTTTCTGACAATGCTTCTGTCGAGATTTTATATGAAGATATTCCCGTTTCCAACGAAATCGTGAAATCTATCCAAATATCCCCTCGCAGATTCTACAAAAAGAGTGTTTCAAAACTGCTCTGTAAAAAGAAAGGTTCAACTCTGTTAGTTGAGTACACACATCACAAACAAGTTTCACAGAATGCTTCTTTCTAGCTTGTAGGGGAAGATATTCCCTTTATCACCATGGGCCTCAAACCGTCCGAAACGTCTACTTCCATATACTACAAAAAGAGCGTTTCAAACCCGCTCTATGAAAAGCAATGTTCAACTCTGTGACTTGAATGCAGACATCACAGAGCAGTTTCTGAGAATGCTTCTGTCTAGATTTTATAGGAAGATATTCCCGTTTCCAACGAAATCTTCACAGCTATCCAAATATCCACTTGCAGATTCTTCAAAAAGAGTGTATCAAAACTGCTCTGTCAAAAGGAAGGTTCTTTTCTGTTAGGTGAGTGCATACGTCATAAAGGAGTTTCTGAGAATGTTTCTGTCTAGTGGTTATGGGAAGATATTTGCTTTTTCACCGTAGGCCTCAGAGCGCTCCAAATATCCACTTGCACATACTACAAAAAGAGTGCCTCAAAGCTGCTCTCTGAAACCGAATGTTCAACTCCATGAGTTGAATGCAAACATCACAAAGACGTTTCTGAGAATGCTTCTGTCTAGATTTGATATGAAGATATTCCCGTTTCCAACGAAATCTTCAAATCTATCCAAATGTCCACTTGCAGATTCAACAAAAAGTGTTTTTCAGAACTGCTCTATCAAAAGAAAGATCCACCTCTGTTAGCTGAGTGCACACATCACAAACAAGTTTATGAGTATGCTTCTGTCTAGTTTTTATTTGAAGATATTTCCTTTCTCACCATAGACCTGAAAGATGTCCTAATGTTCACTTAGAGATACTACAGAAAGAGTGTTTCAAAACTGCTGTACGAAAGGGAATGTTCAACACTGTGACATGAATGCACACATCACAAAGAAGTTTCTGTGGATGCTACTGTCTACTTTTTATACGTAAACCCGTTTCCAACGAAATCCTCCAAGCTATCCAAATATCCACTTGCAGATTCCACAGAAAAACTGTTACAAAACTGCTCTGTCAATAGAAAGGTTCAACTCTGTTAGCTGCGTGCATATATCCCAAAGAAGATTCTGAGATTGCTTCTGTCTAGTTTTTATGGGAAGATATTTCCCTTTTCACCGTAGGCGTCAAGGCGCTCCAAATGTCCACTTCCAGATACTACAAAAAGAGTGTTTCAAACCTACTCTGTGAAAGGGAATATTCACCTCTGTGACTTGAAGGCAGATATCACAAAGAAGTTTCTGAGAATGCTTCTGTCGACATTTTATATGAAGATATTCCCGTTTCCAACGAAATCCTGAAATGTATCCAAATATCCCCTCGCAGATTCTACAAAAAGAGTGTTTCAAAACTGCTCTGTAAAAAGAAAGGTTCAACTCTGTTAGTTGAGTACACACATCACAAACTAGTTTCACACAATGCTTCTTTCTAGCTTGTAGGGGAAGATATTTCCTTTATCACCATGGTCCTCAAACCGTCCGAAACGTCCACTTCCATATACTAAAAAAAGAGTGTTTGAAACCTGCTCTATGAAAGGCAACGTTCAACACTGTGACTTGAATGCAGACATCACAGAGCAGTTTCTGAGAATGCTTCTGTCTAGATTTTATAGGAAGATATTCCCGTTTCCAACGAAATCTTCACAGCTATCCAAATATCCTCTTGCAGATTCTACAAAAAGAGTGTATCAAAACTGCTCTGTCAAAAGGAAGGTTCTTCTTCTGTTAGGTGAGTGCATACGTCATAAAGGAGTTTCTGAGAATGTTTCTGTCTAGTGGTTATGGGAAGATATTTGCTTTTTCCCCGTAGGCGTCAGAGCGCTCCAAATATCCACTTGCACATACTACAAAAAGAGTGCTTCAAAACTGCTCTCTGAAAGGGAATGTTCAACTCTATGAGTTGAATGCAAACATCACAAAGACGTTTCTGAGAATGCCTCTGTCTAGATTTGATATGAAGATATTCCCGTTTCCAACGAAATCTTCAAATCTATCCAAATGTCCTCTTGCAGATTCAACAAAAAGTGTTTTTCAGAACTGCTCTATCAAAAGAAAGATCCACGTGTGTTAGCTGAGTTCACGCATCACGAACAAGTTTATGAGAATGCTTCTGTCTAGTTTTTATTTGAAGATATTTCCTTTCTCACCATATACCTGAAAGCTGTCCTAATGTTCACTTCCAGATACTACAGAAAGAGTGTTTCAAAACTGCTGTACGAAAGGGAATGTTCAACACTGTGACTTGAATGCACACATCACAAAGAAGTTTCTGAGGATGCTGCAGTCTACTTTTTATACGTAATCCCGTTTCCAACGAAATCCTCCAAGCTATCCAAATATCCACTTGCAGATTCCACAGAAAGACTGTTTCAAAACTGCTCTGTCAATAGAAAGGTTCAACTCTGTTAGCTGCGTGCATATATCCCAAAGAAGATTCTGAGATTGCTTCTGTCTAGTTTTTATGGGAAGATATTTCCCTTTTCACCATAGGCGTCAAGGCGCCCCAAATGTCCACTTCCAGATACTACAAAAAGAGTGTTTCAAACCTACTCTGTGAAAGGGAATATTCAACTCTGTGACTTGAATGCACATATCACAAAGAAGTTTCTGAGAATGCTTCTGTCGAGATTTTATATGAAGATATTCCCGTTTCCAACGAAATCCTGAAATCTATACAAATATCCCCTCGCAGATTCTACAAAAAGAGTGTTTCAAAACTGCTCTGTAAAAAGAAAGGTTCAACTCTGTTAGTTGAGTACACACATCACAAACAAGTTTCACAGAATGCTTCTTTCTAGCTTGTAGGGGAAGATATTCCCTTTATCACCATGGGCCTCAAACCGTCCGAAACGTCCACTTCCATATACTACAAAAAGAGTGTTTCAAACCTGCTCTAGGAAAGGCAATGTTCAACTCTGTGACTTGAATGCAGACATCACATAGCAGTTTCTGAGAATGCTTCTGTCTAGATTTTATAGGAAGATATTCCCGTTTCCAACGAAATCTTCACAGCTATCCAAGTATCCACTTGCAGATTCTACAAAAAGAGTGTATCAAAACTGCTCTGTCAAAAGGAAGGTTCTTCTCTGTTAGGTGAGTGCATACGTCATAAAGGAGTTTCTGAGAATGTTTCGGTCTAGTGGTTATGGGAAGATATTTGCTTTTTCACCGTAGGCCTCAGAGCGCTCCAAATATCCACTTGCACATACTAGAAAAAGAGTGCCTCAAAGCTGCTCTCTGAAACGGAATGTTCAACTCTATGAGTTGAATGCAAACATCACAAAGACGTTTCTGAGAATGCTTCTGTCTAGATTTGATATGAAGATATTCCCGTTTCCAACGAAATCTTCAAATCTATCCAAATGTCCACTTGCAGATTCAACAAAAAGTGTTATTCAGAACTGCTCTATCAAAAGAAAGATCCACCTCTGTTAGCTGAGTTCACACATCACAAAGAAGTTTATGAGAATGCTTCTGTCTAGTTTTTATTTGAAGATATTTCCTTTCTCCCCATAGACCTGAAAGCTGTCCTAATGTTCACTTCCAGATACTACAGAAAGAGTGTTTCAAAACTGCTGTACGAAAGGGAATGTTCAACTCTGTGACTTGAATGCACACATCACAAAGAAGTTTCTGAGGATGCTGCTGTCTACTTTTTATACGTAATCCCGTTTCCAACGAAATCCTCCAAGCTATCCAAATATCCACTTGCAGATTCCACAGAAAGACTGTTTCTAAACTGCTCTGTCAATAGAAAGGTTCAACTCTGTTAGCTGCGTGCATATATCCCAAAGAAGATTCTGAGATTGCTTCTGTCTAGTTTTTATGGGAAGATATTTCCCTTTTCACCGTAGGTGTCACGGCGCTCCAAATGTCCACTTCCAGATACTACAAAAAGAGTGTTTCAAACCTACTCTGTGAAAGGGAATATTCAACTCTGTGACTTGAATGCAGATATCACAAAGAAGTTTCTGAGAATGCTTCTGTCGAGATTTTATATGAAGATATTCCCGTTTCCAACGAAATCCTGAAATCTATCCAAATATCCCCTCGCAGATTCTACAAAAAGAGTGTTTCAAAACTGCTCTGTAAAAAGAAAGGTTCAACTGTGTTAGTTGAGTACACACATCACAAACAAGTTTCACAGAATGCTTCTTTCTAGCTTGTAGGGGAAGATTTTCCCTTTATCACCATGGGCCTCCAACCGTCCGAAACATCCACTTCCATATACTACAAAAAGAGCGTTTCAAACCTGCTCTAGGAAAGGCAATGTTCAACTCTGTGACTTGAATGCAGACATCACAGAGCAGTTTCTGAGAATGCTTCTGTCTAGATTTTATAGGAAGGTATTCCCGTTTCCAACGAAATCTTCACAGCTATCCAAATATCCTCTTGCAGATTCTACAAAAAGAGTGTATCAAAACTGCTCTGTCAAAAGGACGGTCCTTCTCTGTTATTTGAGTACATACGTCATAAAGGGGTTTCTGAGAATGTTTCTGTCTATTGGTTATGGGAAGATATTTGCTTTTTCACCTTAGGACTCAGAGCGCTCCAAATATCCCCTTGCACATACTACAAAAAGAGTGCTTCAAAGCTGCTCTCTGAAACGGAATGTTCAACTCTATGAGTTGAATGCAAACATCACAAAGACGTTTCCGAGAATGCTTCTGTCTAGATTTGATATGAAGATATTCCCGTTTCCAACGAAATCTTCAAATCTATCCAAATGTCCACTTGCAGATTCAACAAAAAGTGTTTTTCAAAACTGCTATATCAAAAGAAAGATCCACGTCTGTTAGCTGATTTCACACATCACAAACAAGTTTATGAGAATGCTTCTGTCTAGTTTTTATTTGAAGATATTTCCTTTCTCACCATAGAGCTGAAAGCTGTCCTAATGTTCACTTCCAGATACTACAGAAAGAGTGTTTCAAAACTGCTGTACGAAAGGGAATGTTCAACTCTGTGACTTGAATGCACACATCACAAAGAAGTTTCTGACGATGCTGCTGTCTACTTTCTATACGGTAATCCCGTTTCCAACGAAATCCTCCAAGCTATCCAAATATCCACTTGCAGATTCCACAGAAAGACTGTTTCAAAACTGCTCTGTCAATAGAAAGGTTCAACTCTGTTAACTGCGTGCATATATCCCAAAGAAGATTCTGAGATTGCTTCTGTCTAGTTTTTATGGGAAGATATTTCCCTTTTCACCGTAGGCGTCAAGGCGCTCCAAATATCCACTTCCAGATACTACAAAAAGAGTGTTTCAAACCTACTCTGTGAAAGGGAATATTCAACTCTGTGACTTGAATGCACATATCACAAAGAAGTTTCTGAGAATGCTTCTGTCGAGATTTTATATGAAGATATTCCCGTTTCCAACGAAATCCTGAAATGTATCCAAATATACCCTCGCAGATTCTACAAAAAGAGTGTTTCAAAACTGCTCTGTAAAAAGAAAGGTTCAACTCTGTTAGTTGAGTACACACATCACAAACAAGTTTCACAGAATGCTTCTTTCTAGCTTGTAGGGGAAGATATTCCCTTTATCACCATGGGCCTCAAACCGTCTGAAACGTCCACTTCCATATACTACAAAAAGAGTGTTTGAAACCTCCTCTATGAAAGGCAATGTTCAACTCTGTGACTTGAATGCAGACATCACAGAGCAGTTTCTGAGAATGCTTCTGTCTAGATTTTATAGGAAGATATTCCCGTTTCCAACGAAATCTTCACAGCTATCCAAATATCCACTTGCAGATTCTACAAAAAGAGTGTATCAAAACTGCTCTGTCAAAAGGAAGGTTTTTCTCTGTTAGTTGAGTACATACGTCATAAAGGAGTTTCTGAGAATGTTTCTGTCTACTGGTTATGGGAAGATATTTGCTTTTTCACCGTAGGCCTCAGAGCGCTCCAAATATCCACTTGCACATACTACAAAAAGAGTGCTTCAAAGCTGCTCTCTGAAAGGGAATGTTCAACTCTATGAGTTGAATGGAAACATCACAAAGACGTTTCTGAGAATGCTTCTGTCTAGATTTGATATGAAGATATTCCCGTTTCCAACGACATCTTCAAATCTATCCAAATGTCCACTTGCAGATTCAACAAAACGTGTTTTTCAGAACTGCTCTATCAAAAGAAAGATCCACCTCTGTTAGCTGAGTTCACACATAACAAACAAGTTTATGAGAATGCTTCTGTCTAGTTTTTGTTTGAAGATATTTCCTTTCTCACCATAGAGCTGAAAGCTGTCCTAATGTTCACTTCCAGATACTACAGAAAGAGTGTTTCAAAACTGCTGTACGAAAGGGAATGTTCAACTCTGTGACTTGAATGCACACATCACAAAGAAGTTTCTGAGGATGCTGCTGTCTACTTTTTATACGTAATCCCGTTTTTAACGAAATCCTCCAAGCTATCCAAATATCCACTTGCAGATCCCACAGAAAGACTGTTTCAAAACTGCTCTGTCTATAGAAAGGTTCAACTCTGTTAGCTGCGTGCATATATCCCAACGACGATTCTGAGATTGCTTCTGTCTAGTTTTTATGGGAAGATATTTCCCTTTTCACCGTAGGCGTCAAGGCGCTCCAAATGTCCACTTCCAGATACTACAAAAAGAGTGTTTCAAACCTACTCTGTGAAAGGGAATATTCAACTCTGTGACTAGAATGCACATATCACAAAGAAGTTTCTCAGAATGCATCTGTCGAGATTTTATATGAAGATATTCCCGTTTCCAACGAAATCTTGAAATCTATCCAAATATCCCCTCGCAGATTCTACAAAAAGAGTGTTTCAAAACTGCTCTGTAAAAAGAAAGGTTCAACTCTGTTAGTTGAGTACACACATCACAAACAAGTTTCACACAATGCTTCTTTCTAGCTTGTAGGGGAAGATATTCCCTTTATCACCATGGGCCTCCAACCGTCCGAAACATCCACTTCCATATACTACAAAAAGAGCATTTCAAACCTGCTCTATGAAAGGCAATGTTCAACTCTGTGACTTGAATGCAGACATCACAGAGCAGTTTCTGAGAATGCTTCTGTCTAGATTTTATAGGAAGATATTCCCGTTTCCAACGAAATCTTCACAGCTATCCAAATATCCACTTGCAGATTCTACAAAAAGAGTGTATCAAACCTGCTCAGTCAAAAGGAAGGTTCTTCTCTGTTAGGTGAGTGCATACGTCATAAAGGAGTTTCTGAGAATGTTTCTGTCTAGTGGTTATGGGAAGATATTTGCTTTTTCACCTTAGGCCTCAGAGCGCTCCAAATATCAACTTGCACATACTACAAAAAGAGTGCTTCAAAGCTGCTCTCTGAAAGGGAATGTTCAACTCTATGAGTTGAATGCAAACATCACAAAGACGTTTCTGAGAATGCTTCTGTCTAGATTTGATATGAAGATATACCCGTTTCCAACGAAATCTTCAAATCTATCCAAATGTCCACTTGCAGATTCAACAAAGTGTTTCTCAAAACTGCTGTATCAAAAGAAAGATCCACCTCTGTTACCTGAGTTCACACTTCGCAAACAAGTTTATCAGAACTCTTCTGTCTAGTTTTTATTTGAAGATATATCCTTTCTCACTATAGACCTGAAAGCTCTCATAAAGTTCACTTCCAGATACTACAGAAAGAGTGTTTCAAAAATGCTGTACGAAAGGTAATGTTCAACTCTGTGACTTGAATGCACACATCACAAGGAAGTTTCTGAGGATGCTGCTGTCTAATTTTTATACGTAATCCCGTTTCCAACGAAATCCTCCAAGCTATCCAAATATCCACTTGCAGATTCCACAAAAGAGTGTTTCAAAGCTGCTCTGTCAATAGAAATGTTCAACTCTGTTAGCTGCGTGCATATATCACAAAGAAGATTCTGAGATTGCTTCTGTCTAGTTTTTATGGGAAGATATTTCCCTTTTCACCGTAGGTGTCAAGGCGCTCCAAATGTCCACTTCCAGATACTACAAAAAGAGTGTTTCAAACCTACTCTGTGAAAGGGGATATTCAACTCTGTGACTTAAAGGCAGATATCACAAAGAAGTTTCTGAGAATGCTTCTGTCGAGATTTTATATGAAGATATTCCCGTTTCCAACGAAATCCTGAAATGTATCCAAATATCCCCTCGCAGATTCTACAAAAAGAGTGTTTCAAAACTGCTCTGTAAAAACAAACGTTCAACTCTGTTAGTTGAGTACACACATCACAAACAAGTTTCACACAATGCTTCTTTCTAGCTTGTAGGGGAAGATATTCCCTTTATCACCATGGGCCTCAAACCGTCCGAAACGTCTACTTACATATACTACAAAAAGAGCGTTTCAAACCTGCTCTATGAAAGGCAATGTTCAACTCTGTGACTTGTATGCAGACATCACAGAGCAGTTTCTGAGAATGCTTCTGTCTAGATTTTACAGGAAGATATTCCCGTTTCCAGCGAAATCTTCACAGCTATCCAAATATCCACTTGCAGATTCTACAAAAAGAGTGTATCAAAACTGCTCTGTCAAATGGAAGGTTCTTCTCTGTTAGGTGAGTGCATACGTCATAAAGGAGTTTCTGAGAATGTTTCTGTCTAGTGGTTATGGGAAGATATTTGCTTTTTCACCGTAGGCCTCAGAGCGCTCCAAATATCCACTTGCACATACTACAAAAAGAGTGTTTCAAAGCTGCTCTCTGAATGGGAATGTTCAACTCTATGAGTTGAATGCAAACATGACAAAGACGTTTCTGAGAATGCTTCTGTCTAGATTTGATATGAAGATATTCCCGTTTCCAACGAAATCTTCAAATCTATCCAAATGTCCACTTCCAGATTCAACAAAGTGTTTTTCAGAACTGCTCTATCAAAAGAAAGATCCACCTCTGTTAGCTGAGATCACACTTCACAAACAAGTTTATCAGAATGCTTCCGTCTAGTTTTTATTTGAAGATATATCCTTTCTCACTATAGACCTGAAAGCTGTCCTAAAATTCACTTCCAGATACTACAGAAAGAGTGTTTCAAAACTGCTGTACGAAAGGGAATGTTCAACTCTGTGACTTGAATGCACACATCACAAGGATGTTTCTGAGGATGCTGCTGTCTACTTTTTATACGTAATCCCGTTTCCAACGAAATCCTCCAAGCTATCCAAGTATCCACTTGCAGATTCCACAGAAAGACTGTTTCAAAACTGCTCTGTCAATAGAAAGGTTCAACTCTGTTAGCTGCGTGCATATATCCCAAAGAAGATTCTGAGATTGCTTCTGTCTACTTTTTATGAGAAGATATTTCCCTTTTCACCGTAGGTGTAAAGGCGCTCCAAATGTCCACTTCCAGATACTACAAAAAGTGTGTTTCAAACCTACTCTGTGAAAGGGAATATTCAACTCTGTGACTTGAATGCACATATCACAAAGAAGTTTCTGAGAATGCTTCTGTCGAGATTTTATATGAAGATATTCCCGTTTCCAACGAAATCCTGAAATCTATCCAAATATCCCCTCGCAGATTCTACAAAAAGAGTGTTTCAAAACTGCTCTGTAAAAAGGAAGGTTCAACTCTGTTAGTTGAGTACACACATCACAAACAAGTTTCACAGAATGCTTCTTTCTAGCTTGTAGGGGAAGATATTCCCTTTAGCACCATGGGCCTCCAACCGTCCGATAAGTCCACTTCCATATACTACAAAAAGAGCGTTTCAAACCTGCTCTATGAAAGGCAATGTTCAACTCTGTGACTTGAATGCAGACATCACAGAGCAGTTTCTGAGAATGCTTCTGTCTAGATTTTATAGGAAGATATTCCCGTTTCCAAAGAAATCTTCACAGCTATCCAAATATCCACTTGCAGATTCTACAAAAAGAGTGTATCAAAACTGCTCTGTCAAAAGGAAGGTTCTTCTCTGTTAGGTGAGTGCATACGTCATAAAGCAGTTTCTGAGAATGTTTCTATCTAGTGGTTATGGGAAGATATTTGCTTTTTCCCCGTAGGCCTCAGGGCGCTCCAAATGTCCACTTGCACATGCTTCAAAAAGAGTGCTTCAAAGCTGCTCTCTGAAAGGGAATGTTCAACTCTATGAGTTGAATGCAAACATCACAAAGACGTTTCTGAGAATGCTTCTGTCTAGATTTGATATGAAGATATTCCCGTTTCCAACGAAATCTTCAAATCTATCCAAATGTCTACTTGCAGATTCAACAAAAAGTGTTTTTCAAAACTGCTGTATCAAAAGAAAGATCCACGTCTGTTAGCTGAGTTCACACATCACAAACAAGTTTATGAGAATGCTTCTGTCTAGTTTTTATTTGAAGGTATTTCCTTTCTCACCATAGACCTGAAAGCTGTCCTAATGTTCACTTCCAGATACTACAGAAAGAGTGTTTCAAAACTGCTGTACGAAAGGGAATGTTCAACTCTGTGACTTGAATGCACACATCACAAGGAAGTTTCTGAGGATGCTGCTGTCTACTTTTTATACGTAATCCCGTTTCCAACGAAATCCTCCAAGCTATCCAAATATCCACTTGCAGATTCCACAGAAAGACTGTTTCAAAACTGTTCTGTCAATAGAAAGGTTCAACTCTGTTACTTGAGTACACACATCACAAACAAGTTTCACAGAATGCTTCTGTCTAGTTTTTATGGGAAGATATTTGCCTTTTCACCGTAGGCGTCCAGGCGCTCCAAATGTCCACTTCCAGATACTACAAAAAGAGTGTTTCAAACCTACTCTGTGAAAGGGAATATTCAACTCTGTGACTTGAATGCACATATCACAAGGAAGTTTCTGAGAATGCTTCTGTCGAGATTTTATATGAAGATATTCCCGTTTCCAACGAAATCCTGAAGTCTCTCCAAATATCCCCTCGCAGATTCTACAAAAACAGTGTTTCAAAACTGCTCTGTAAAAAGAAAGGTTCAACTCTGTTAGTTGAGTACACACATCACAAACAAGTTTCACAGAATGCTTCTTTCTAGCTTGTAGGGCAAGATATTCCCTTTATCACCATGGGCCTCAAACCGTCCGAAACGTCTACTTCCATATACTACAAAAAGAGCGTTTCAAACCTGCTCTATGAAAGGCAATGTTCAACTCTGTGACTTGAATGCAGACATCACAGAGCAGTTTCTGAGAATGCTTCTGTCTAGATTTTATAGGAAGATATTCCCGTTTCCAAAGAAATCTTCACAGCTATCCAAATATCCACTTGCAGATTCTACAAAAAGAGTGTATCAAAACTGCTCTGTCAAAAGGAAGGTTCTTCTCTGTTAGTTGAGTACATACGTCATAAAGGAGTAATCTGAGAATGTTCCTGTCTAGTGGTTATGGGAAGATATTTGCTTTTTCCCTGTAGGCCTCAAAGCGCTCCAAATGTCCACTTGCACATACTACAAAAAGAGTGCTTCAAAGCTGCTCTCTGAAAGGGAATGTTCAACTCTATGAGTTGAATGCTAACATCACAAAGTCGTTTCTGAGAATGCTTCTGTCTAGATTTGATATGAAGATATTCCCGTTTCCAACGAAATCTTCAAATCTATCCAAATGGCCACTTGCAGATTCAACAAAAAGTGTTTTTCAGAACTGCTCTATCAAAAGAAAGATCCACCTCTGTTAGCTGAGTTCACACATCACAAACAAGTTTATGAGAATGCTTCTGTCTAGTTTTTATTTGAAGATATTTCCTTTCTCACCATAGACCTGAAAGCTGTCCTAATGTTCACTTCCAGATACTACATAAAGAGTGTTTCAAAACTGCTGTACGAAAGGGAATGTTCAACTCTGTGACTTGAATGCACACATCCCAAAGAAGTTTCTGAGGATGCTGCTGTCTACTTTTTATACGTAATCCTGTTTCCAACGAAATCCTCCAAGCTATCCAAATATCCACTTGCAGATTCCACAGAAAGACTGTTTCAAAACTGCTGTCAATAGAAAGGTTCAACTCTGTTAGCTGCGTGCATATATCCCAAAGAAGATTCTGAGATTGCTTCTGTCTAGTTTTTATGGGAAGATATTTCCCTTTTCACCGTAGGTGTCAAGGTGCTCCAAATGTCCAATTCCAGATACTACAAAAAGAGTGTTTCAAACCTACTCTGTGAAAGGGAATATTCAACCCTGTGACTTGAATGTAGATATCACAAAGAAGTTTCTGAGAATGCTTCTGTCGAGATTTTATATGAAGATATTCCCGTTTCCAACGAAATCCTGAAATCTATCCAAATATCCCCTCGCAGATTCTACAAAAAGAGTGTTTCAAAACTGCTCTGTAAAAAGAAAGGTTCAACTCTGTTAGTGGAGTACACACATCACAAACAAGTTTCACAGAATGCTTCTTTCTAGCTTGTAGGGGAAGAAATTTCCTTTATCACCATGGGCCTCAAACCGTCCGAAACGTCCACTTCCATATACTAACAAAAGAGTGTTTGAAACCTGCTCTATGAAAGGCAATGTTCAACTCTGTGACTTGAATGCAGACATCACAGAGCAGTTTCTGAGAATGCTTCTGTCCTGACTTTATAGGAAGATATTCCCGATTCCAACGAAATCTTTACAGCTATCCAAATATCCACTTGCAGATACTACAAAAGAGTGTATCAAAAAAGCTCTGTCAAAAGGAAAGTTCTTCTCTGCTAGTTGAGTACATACGTCATAAAGAAGTTTCTGAGAATGTTTCTGTCTAGTGGTTATGGGAAGATATTTGCTTTTTCACCTTAGGCCTCAGAGCGCTCCAAATGTCCACTTGCACATACTACAAAAAGAGTGCTTCAAAGCTGCTCTCTGAAAGGGAATGTTCAACTCTATGAGTTGAATGCAAACATCACAAAGACGTTTCTGAGAATGCTTCTGTCTAGATTTGATATGAAGATATTCCCGTTTCCAACGAAATCTTCATATCTATCCAAATGTCCACTTGCAGATTCAACAAAAAGTGTTTTTCAGAACTGCTCTATCAAAAGAAAGATCCACCTCTGTTAGGTGAGTTCACACATCACAAAGAAGTTTATGAGAATGCTTCTGTCTAGTTTTTATTTGAAGATATATCCTTTCTCACTATAGACCTGAAAGCTGTCCTAAAGTTCACTTCCAGATACTACAGAAAGAGTGTTTCAAAACTGCTGTACGAAAGGTAATGTTCAACTCTGTGACTTGAATGCACACATCACAAGGATGTTTCTGAGGATGCTTCTGTCTAGTTTTTGTGGGAAGATATTTCCCTTTTCACCGTAGGTGTCAAGGCGCTCCAAATGTCCACTTCCAGATACTACAAAAAGAGTGTTTCAAACCTACTCTGTGAAAGGGAATATTCAACTCTGTGACTTGAATGCACATATCACAAAGAAGTTTCTGAGAATGCTTCTGTCGAGATTTTATATGAAGATATTCCCGTTTACAACGAAATCCTGAAATCTATCCAAATATCACCTCGCAGATTCTACAAAAAGAGTGTTTCAAAACTGCTCTGTAAAAAGAAAGGTTCAACTCTGTTAGTTGAGTACACACATCACAAACAAGTTTCACAGAATGCTTCTTTCTAGCTTGTAGGGGAAGATATTCCCTTTATCACCATGGGCCTCAAACCGTCCGAAACGTCCACTTCCATATACTACAAAAAGAGCGTTTCAAACCTGCTCTATGAAAGGTAATGTTCAACTCTGTGACTTGAATGCAGACATCACAGAGCAGTTTCTGAGAATGCTTCTGTCTAGATTTTATAGGAAGATATTCCCGTTTCCAACGAAATCTTCAGAGCTATCCAAATATCCACTTGCAGATTCTACAAAAAGAGTGTATCAAAACTGCTCTGTCAAAAGGAAGGTTCTTCTCTGTTAGGTGAGTGCATACGTCGTAAAGGAGTTTCTGAGAATGTTTCTGTCTAGTCGTTATGGGAAGATATTTGCTTTTTCACCGTAGGCCTCAGAGCGCTCCAAATATCCCCTTGCACATACTACAAAAAGAGTGCTTCAGAGCTGCTCTCTGAAAGGGAATGTTCAACTCTATGAGTTGAATGCAAACATCACAAAGACGTTTCTGAGAATGCTTCTCTCTAGATTTGATATGAAGATATTCCCGTTTCCAACGAAATCTTCAAATCTATCCAAATGTCCACTTGCAGATTCAACAAAACGTGTTTTTCAGAACTGCTCAATCAAAAGAAAGATCCACCTGTGTTAGCCGAGTTCACACATCACAAACAAGTTTATGAGAATGCTTCTGTCTAGTTTTTATTTGAAGATATTTCCTTTCTCACCATAGAGCTGAAAGCTGTCCTAATGTTCACTTCCAGATACTACAGAAAGAGTGTTTCAAAACTGCTGTACGAAAGGGAATGTTCAACTATGTGACTTGAATGCACACATCACAAAGGAGTTTCTGAGGATGCTGCTGTCTACTTTTTATACGTAATCCCGTTTCCAACGAAATCCTCCAAGCTATCCAAATATCCACTTGCAGATTCCACAGAAAGGCTGTTTCAAAACTGCTCTGTCAATAGAAAGGTTCAACTCTGTTAGCTGCGTGCATATATCCCAAAGAAGATTCTGAGATTGCTTCTGTCTAGTTTTTATGGGAAGATATTTCCCTTTTCTCCGTAGGGGTCAAGGCGCTCCAAATGTCCACTTCCAGATACTACAAAAAGAGTGTTTCAAACCTACTCTGTGAAAGGGAATATTCAACTCTGTGACTTGAATGCAGATATCATAAAGAAGTTTCTGAGAATGCTTCTGTCGAGATTTTATATGAAGATATTCCCGTTTCCAACGAAATGCTGAAATCTATCCAAATATCCCCTCGCAGATTCTACAAAAAGAGTGTTTCAAAACTGCTCTGTAAAAAGAAAGGTTCAACTCTGTTAGTTGAGTACACACATCACAAATAAGTTTCACACAATGCTTCTTTCTAGCTTGTAGGGGAAGATATTCCCTTTATCACCATGGGCCTCAAACCGTCCGATAAGTCCACTTCCATATACTACAAAAAGAGCGTTTCAAACCTGCTCTATGAAAGGCAACGTTCAACTCTGTGACTTGAATGCAGACATCACAGAGCAGTTTCTGAGAATGCTTCTGTCTAGATTTTATAGGAAGATATTCCCGTTTCCAACGAAATCTTCACAGCTATCCAAATATCCACTTGCAGATTCTACAAAAAGAGTGTATCAAAACTGCTCTGTCAAAAGGAAGGTTCTTTTCTGTTAGGTGAGTGCATACGTCATAAAGGAGTTTCTGGGAATGTTTCAGTCTAGTGGTTATGGGAAGATATTTGCTTTTTCCCCGTAGGCCTCAGAGCGCTCCAAATATCCACTTGCACATACTACAAAAAGAGTGCTTCAAAGATGCTCTCTGAAACGGAATGTTCAACTCTATGAGTTGAATGCAAACATCACAAAGACGTTTCTGGGAATGCTTCTGTCTAGATTTGATATGAAGATATTCCCGTTTCCAACGAAATCTTCAAATCTATCCAAATGTCCTCTTGCAGATTCAACAAAAACTGTTTTTCAGAACTGCTCTATCAAAAGAAAGATCCACGTGTGTTAGCTGAGTTCACACATCACGAACAAGTTTATGAGAATGCTTCTGTCTAGTTTTTATTTGAAGATATTTCCTTTCTCACCATAGACCTGAAAGCTGTCCTAATGTTCACTTCCAGTTACTACAGAAAGAGTGTTTCAAAACTGCTGTATGAAAGGGAATGTTCAACTCTGTGACTTGAATGCACACATCACAAAGAAGTTTCTGAGGATGCTGCTGTCTACTTTTTATATGTAATCCCGTTTCCAATGAAATCCTCCAAGCTATCCAAATATCCACTTGCAGATTCCACAGAAAGACTGTTTCAAAAGTGCTCTGTCAATAGAAAGGTACAACTCTGTTAGCTGCGTGCATATATCCCAAAGAAGATTCTGAGATTGCTTCTGTCTAGTTTTTATGGGAAGATATTTCCCTTTTCACCGTAGGCGTCACGGCGCTCCAAATGTCCACTTCCAGATACTATAAAAAGAGTGTTTGAAACCTACTCTGTGAAAGGGAATATTCAACTCTGTGACTTGAATGCAGATATCACAAAGAAGTTTCTGAGAATGCTTCTGTCGAGATTTTATATGAAGATATTCCCGTTTCCAATGAAATCCTGAAATCTATCCAAATATCCCCTTGCAGATTCTACAAAAAGAGTGTTTCAAAACTGCTCTGTAAAAAGAAAGGTTCAACTCTGTTAGTTGAGTACACACATCACAAACAAGTTTCACACAATGCTTCTTTCTAGCTTGTAGGGGAAGATATTCCCTTTATCACCATGGGCCTCAAACAGTCCGAAACGTCCACTTCCATATACTACAAAAAGAGCGTTTCAAACCTGCTCTAGGAAAGGCAATGTTCAACTCCGTGACTTGAATGCAGACATCCCAGAGCAGTTTCAGAGAATGCTTCTGTCTAGATTTTATAGGAAGATATTCCCGTTTCCAACGAAATCTTCACAGCTATCCAAATATCCACTTGCAGATTCTACAAAAAGAGTGTATCAAAACTGCTCTGTCAGAAGGAAGGTTCTTTTCTGTTAGGTGAGTGCATACGTCATAAAGGAGTTTCTGAGAATGTTTCTGTCTAGTGGTTATGGGAAGATATTTGCTTTTTCACCGTAGGCCTCACAGCGCTCAAAATATCCCCTTGCACATACTACAAAAAGAGTGCTTCAAAGCTGCTCTCTGAAACGGAATGTTCAACTCTATGAGTTGAATGCAAACGTGACAAAGACGTTTCCGAGAATGCTTCTGTCTAGATTTGATATGAAGATATTCCCGTTTCCAACGAAATCTTCATATCTATCCAAATGTCCACTTGCAGATTCAACAAAACGTGTTTTTCAGAACTGCTCTATCAAAAGAAACATCCACCTCTGTTAGCTGAGTTCACACATCACAAACAAGTTCTTGAGAATGCTTCTGTCTAGTTTTTATTTGAAGATATTTCCTTTCTCACCATAGACCTGAATGCTGTCTTAATGTTCACTTCCAGATACTACAGAAAGAGTGTTTCAAAACTGCTGTACGAAAGGGAATGTTCAACTCTGTGACTTGAATGCACACATCACAAAGAAGTTTCTGAGGATGCTGCTGTCTACTTTTTATACGTAATCCCGTTTCCAACGAAATTCTCCAAGCTATCCAAATGTCCACTTGCAGATTCCACAGAAAGACTGTTTCAAAACTGCTCTGTCAATAGAAAGGTTCAACTCTGTTAGCTGCGTGCATATATCCCAAAGAAGATTCTGAGATTGCTTCTGTCTAGTTTTTATTGGAAGATATTTCCCTTTTCACCGTAGGCGTCAAGGCGCTCCAAATGTCCACTTCCAGATACTACAAAAAGAGTGTTTCAAACCGACTCTGTTAAAACGAATATTCAACTCTTTGACTTGAATGCACATATCACAAAGAAGTTTCTGAGAACGCTTCTGTCGAGATTTTATATGAAGATATTCCCCTTTCCAACGAAATCCTGAAATCTATTCAAATATCCCCTTGCAGATTCTACAAAAAGAGTGTTTCAAAACTGCTCTGTAAAAAGAAAGGTTCAACTCTGTTAGTTGAGTACACACATCACAAACAAGTTTCACAGAATGCTTCTTTCTAGCTTGTAGGGGAAGATATTCCCTTTATCACCATGGGCCTCAAACCGTCCGAAACGTCCACTTCCATATACTACAAAAAGAGCGTTTCAAACCTGCTCTATGAAAGGCAATGTTCAACTCTGTGACTTGAATGCAGACAGAACAGAGCAGTTTCTGAGAATGCTTCTGTCTAGATTTTATAGGAAGATATTCCCGTTTCCAACGAAATCTTCACAGCTATCCAAAGATCCACTTGCAGATTCTACAAAAAGAGTGTATCAAAACTGCTCTGTCAAAAGGAAGGTTCTTCTCTGTTAGGTGAGTGCATACGTCATAAAGGAGTTTCTGAGAATGTTTCCGTCTAGTGGTTATGGGAAGATATTTGCTTTTTCACCGAAGGCCTCAGAGCGCTCCAAATATCCACTTGCACATACTACAAAAAGAGTGCCTCAAAGCTGCTCTCTGAAACGGAATGTTCAACTCTATGAGTTGAATGCAAACATCGCAAAGACGTTTCTGAGAATGCTTCTGTCTAGATTTGATATGAAGATATTCCCGTTTCCTACGAAATCTTCAAATCTATCCAAATGTCCACTTGCAGATTCAACAAAAAGTGTTTTTCAGAACTGCTCTATCAAAAGAAAGATCCACCTCTGTTAGCTGAGTTCACACATCACAAACAAGTTTATGAGAATGCTTCTGTCTAGTTTTTATTTGAAGATATTTCCTTTCTCACCATAGACCTGAAAGCTGTCCTAATGTTCACTTCCAGATACTACAGAAAGAGTGTTTCAAAACTGCTGTACGAAAGGGAATGTTCAACCCTGTGACTTGAATGCACACATCACAAAGAAGTTTCTGAGGATGCTGCTGTCTACTTTTTATACGTAATCCCGTTTCCAACGAAATCCTCCAATCTATCCAAATATCCACTTGCAGATTCCACAGAAAGACTTTTTCAAAACTGCTCTGTCAATAGAAAGGTTCAACTCTGTTAGCTGCGTGCATGTATCCCAAAGAAGATTCTCAGATTGCTGCTGTCTAGTTTTTATGGGAAGATATTTCCCTTTTCACCGTAGACGTCAAGGCGCTCCAAATGACCACTTCCAGATACTACAAAAAGAGTGTTTCAAACCTACTCTGTGAAAGGGAATATTCAACTCTGTGACTTGAATGCAGATATCACAAAGTACTTTCTGAGAATGCTTCTGTCGAGATTTTCTATGAAGATATTCCCGTTTCCTACGAAATCCTGAAATCTATCCAAATATCCCCTCGCAGATTCTACAAAAAGAGTGTTTCAAAACTGCTCTGTAAAAAGAAAGGTTCAACTCTGTTAGTTGAGTACACACATCACAAACAAGTTTCACAGAATGCTTCTTTCTAGCTTGTAGGGGAAGATATTCCCTTCATCACCATGGGCCTCAAACCGTCCGAAACGTCCACTTCCATATACTACAAAAAGAGTGTTTCAAACCTGCTCTATGAAAGGCAATGTTCAACTCTGTGACTTGAATGCAGACATCACAGAGCAGTTTCTGAGAATGCTTCTGTCTAGATTTTATAGGAAGATATTCCCGTTTCCAACGAAATCTTCACAGGTATCCAAATATCCACTTGCAGATTCTACAAAAAGAGTGTATCAAAACTGCTCTGTCAAAAGGAAGGTTCTTCTCTGTTAGGTGAGTACATACGTCATAAAGGAGTTTCTGAGAAAGTTCTGCCTAGTGGTTATGGGAAGATATTTGCTTTTTCACCGTAGGCCTCAGAGCGCTCCAAATATCCACTTGCACATACTACAAAAAGAGTGCTTCAAAGCTGCTCTCTGAAAGGGAATGTTCAACTCTATGAGTTGAATGCAAACATCACAAAGACGTTTCTGAGAATGCTTTCTATCTAGATTTGATATGAAGATATTCCCGTTTCCAATGAAATCTTCAAATCTATCCAAATGTCCACTTGCAGATTCAACAAAAAGTGTTTTTCAAAACTGCTGTATCAAAAGAAAGATCCACGTCTGTTAGCTGAGTTCACATATCACAAACTATTTTATGAGAATGCTTCTGTCTAGTTTTTATTTGAAGATATTGCCTTTCTCACCATAGACCTGAAAGCTGTCCTAATGTTCACTTCCAGATACTACAGAAAGAGTGTTTCAAAACTGCTGTACGAAAGGGAATGTTCAACTCTGTGACTTGAATGCACACATCACAAAGAAGTTTCTGAGGAGGCTGCTGTCTACTTTTTATACGTAATCCCGTTTCCAACGAAATCCTCCAAGCTATCCAAATATGCACTTGCAGATTCCACAGAAAGACTGTTTCAAAACTGCTCTGTCAATAGAAAGGTTCAACTCTGTTAGCTGCGTGCATATATCCCAAAGAAGATTCTGAGATTGCTTCTGTCTAGTTTTTATGGGAAGATATTTCCCTTTTCACCGTAGGTGTCAAGGCGCTCCAAATGTCCACTTACAGATACTACAAAAAGAGTGTTTCAAACCTACTCTGTGAAAGGGAATATTCAACTCTGTGACTTGAATGCACATATCACAAAGAAGTTTCTGAGAATGCTTCTGTCGAGATTTTATATGAAGATATTCCCGTTTCCAACGAAATGCTGAAATCTATCCAAATATCCCCTCGTAGATTCTACAAAAAGAGTGTTTCAAAACTGCTCTGTGAAAAGAAAGGTTCAACTCTGTTAGTTGAGTACACACATCACAAACAAGTTTCACAGAATGCTTCTTTCTAGCTTGTAGGGGAAGATATTCCCTTTATCACCATGGGCCTCAAACCGTCCGAAACGTCCACTTCCATATACTACAAAAAGAGCCTTTCAAACATGCTCTATGAAAGGCAATTTTCAACTCTGTGACTTGAATGCAGACATCACAGAGCAGTTTCTGAGAATCCTTCTGTCTAGATTTTATAGGAAGATATTCCGGTTTCCAACGAAATCTTCACAGCTATCCAAATATCCACTTGCAGATTCTACAAAAAGAGTGTATCAAAACTGCTCTGTCAAAAGGAAGGTTCTTCTCTGTTAGGTGAGTGCATACGTCATAAAGGAGTTTCTGAGAATGTTTCTGTCTAGTGGTTATGGGAAGATATTTGCTTTTTCACCGTAGGCCTCAGAGGGCTCCAAATATCCACTTGCACATGCTACAAAAAGAGTGCTTCAAAGCTGCTCTCTGAAAGGGAATGTTCAACTCTATGAGTTGAATGCAAACATCACAAAGACGTTTCTGAGAATGCTTCTGTCTAGATTTGATATGAAGATATTCCCGTTTCCAACGAAATCTTCAAATCTATCCAAATGTCCACTTGCAGATTCAACAAAAAGTGTTTTTCAGAACTGCTCTATCAAAAGAAAGATCCACCTCTGTTAGCTGAGTTCACACATCACAAATAAGTTTATGAGAATGCTTCTGTCTAGCTTTTATTTGAAGATATATCCTTTCTCACAATATACCTGAAAGCTCTCTTAAAGTTCACTTCCAGATACTACAGAAAGAGTGTTTCAAAACTGCTGTATGAAAGGGAATGTTCAACTCTGTGACTTGAATGCACATATCACAAAGAAGTTTCTGAGGATGCTGCTGTCTACTTTTTATACGTAATCCCGTTTCCAACGAAATCCTCCAAGCTATCCAAATATCCACTTGCAGATTCCACAGAAAGAATGTTTCAAAACTGCTCTGTCAATAGAAAGGTTCAACTCTGTTAGCTGCGTGCATATATCCCAAAGAAGATTCTGAGATTGCTTCTGTCTAGTTTTTATGGGAAGATATTTCCCTTTTCACCGTAGGCGTCAAGGCGCTCCGAATGTCCACTTCCAGATACTACAAAAAGAGTGTTTCAAACCTACTCTGTGAAAGGGAATATTCAACTCTGTGACTTGAATGCACATATCACAAAGAAGTTTCTGAGAATGCTTCTGTCGAGATTTTATATGAAGATATTCCCGTTTCCAACGAAATCCTGAAATCTATCCAAATATCCCCTCGCAGATTCTACAAAAAGAGTGTTTCAAAACTGCTCTGTAAAAAGAAAGGTTCAAGTCTGTTAGTTGAGTACACACATCACAAACAAGTTTCACAGAATGCTTCTTTCTAGCTTGTAGGTGAAGATATTCCCTTTATCACCATGGGCCTCAAACCGTCCGAAACGTCCACTTCCATATACTACAAAAAGAGCGTTTCAAACCTGCTCTAGGAAAGGCAGTGTTCAACTCTGTGACTTGAATGCAGACATCACAGAGCAGTTTCTGAGAATGCTTCTGTCTAGATTTCATATGAAGATATTCCTGTTTCCAACGAAATCTTCACAGCTATCCAAATATTCACTTGCAGATACTACAAAAAGAGTGTATCAAAAATGCTCTGTCAAAAGGAAAGTTCTTCTCTGCTAGTTGAGTACATACGTCATAAAGAAGTTTCTGAGAATGTTTCTGTCTAGTGGTTATGGGAAGATATTTGCTTTTTCACCTTAGGCCTCAGAGCGATCCAAATATCCACTTGCACATACTACAAAAAGAGTGCTTCAAAGCTGCTCTCTGAAAGGGAATGTTCAACTCTATGAGTTGAATGCAAATATCACAAAGACGTTTCTGAGAATGCTTCTGTCTAGATTTGATATGAAGATATTCCCGTTTCCAACGAAATCTTCAAATCTATCCAAATGTCCACTTGCAGATTCAACAAAAAGTGTTTTTCAGAACTGCTCTATCAAAAGAAAGATCCACCTCTGTTAGCAGAGTTCACACATCACAAACAAGTTTATGAGAATGCTTCCGTCTAGTTTTTATTTGAAGATATTTCCTTTCTCTCCATAGACCTGAAAGCTGTCCTAATGTTCACTT
This sequence comes from Homo sapiens, assembly GCF_000001405.40. Lineage (NCBI taxonomy): Eukaryota > Metazoa > Chordata > Mammalia > Primates > Hominidae > Homo > Homo sapiens. The sequence goes on along the minus strand of NC_000014.9, from coordinate 16,952,559 downwards.
CCAGTTACTACAGAAAGAGTGTTTCAAAACTGCTGTACGAAAGGGAATGTTCAACTCTGTGACTTGAATGCACACATCACAAAGAAGTTTCTGAGGATGCTGCTGTCTAATTTTTATACGTAATCCCGTTTCCAACGAAATCCTCCAAGCTATCCAAATATCCACTTGCAGATTCCACAGAAAGACTGTTTCAAAACTGCTATGTCAATAGAAAAGTTCAACTCTGTTAGCTGTGTGCATATATCCCAAAGAAAATTCTGAGATTGCTTCTGTCTAGTTTTGATGGGAAGATACTTCCCTTTTCACCGTAGGTGTCAAGGCGCTCCAAATGTCCACTTCCAGATACTACAAAAAGAGTGTTTCAAACCTACTCTGTGAAAGGGAATATTCAACTATGTGACTTGAATGCACATATCACAAAGAAGTTTCTGAGAATGCTTCTGTCGAGATTTTATATGAAGATATTCTCGTTTCCAACGAAATGCTGAAATGTATCCAAATATCCCCTCGCAGATTCTACAAAAAGAGTGTTTCAAAACTGCTCTGTAAAAAGAAAGGTTCAACTCTGTTAGTTGAGTACACACATCACAAACAAGTTTCACAGAATGCTTCTTTCTAGCTTGTAGGGGAAGATATTCCCTTTATCACGATGGGCCTCAAACCGTCCGAAACATCCACTTCCATATACTACAAAAAGAGCATTTCAAACCTGCTCTATGAAAGGCAATGTTCAACTCTGTGACTTGAATGCAGACATCACAGAGCAGTTTCTGAGAATGCTTCTGTCTAGATTTTATAGGAAGATATTCCCGTTTCCAACGAAATCTTCACAGCTATCCAAATATCCACTTGCAGATTCTCCAAAAAGAGTGTATCAAAACTGCTCTGTCAAAAGGAAGGTTCTTCTCTGTTAGGTGAGTGCATACGTCATAAAGGAGTTTCTGAGAATGTTTCTGTCTAGTGGTTATGGGAAGATATTTGCTTTTTCACCTTAGGCCTCAGAGAGCTCCAAATATCCCCTTGCACATACTACAAAAAGAGTGCTTCAAAGCTGCTCTCTGAAAGGGAATGTTCAACTCTATGAGTTGAATGCAAACATCACAAAGACGTTTCTGAGAATGCTTCTGTCTAGATTTGATATGAAGATATTCCCGTTTCCAAAGAAATCTTCAAATCCATCCAAATGTCCACTTGCAGATTCAACAAAAAGTGTTTTTCAGAACTGCTCTATCAAAAGAAAGATCCACCTCTTTTAGCTGAGTTCACACATCACAAACAAGTTTATGAGAATGCTTCTGTCTAGTTTTTATTTGAAGATATTTCCTTTCTCACCATAGACCTGAAATCTGTCCTAATGTTCACTTCCAGATACTACAGAAAGAGTGTTTCAAAACTGCTGTACGAAAGGGAATGTTCAACTCTGGGACTTGAATGCATACATCACAAAGAAGTTTCTGAGGATGCTGCTGTCTACTTTTTATACATAATCCCGTTTCCAACGAAATCCTCCAAGCTATCCAAATATCCACTTGCAGATTCCACAGAAAGACTGTTTCAAAACTGCTCTGTCAATAGAAAAGTTCAACTCTGTTAGCTGTGTGCATATATCCCAAAGAAAATTCTGAGATTGCTTCTGTCTAGTTTTTAGGGGAAGATATTTCCCTTTTCACCGTAGGTGTCAAGGCGCTCCAAATGTCCACTTCCAGATACTAGAAAAAGAGTGTTTCAAACCTACTCTGTGAAAGGGAATATTCAACTCTGTGACTTGAATGCACATATCACAAAGAAGCTTCTGAGAGTGCTTCTGTCGAGATTTTTTATGAAGATATTCCCGTTTCCAACGAAATCCTGAAATCTATCCAAATATCCCCTCGCAGATTCTACAAAAAGAGTGTTTCCAAACTGCTCTGTAAAAAGAAAGGTTCAACTCTGTTAGTTGAGTACACACATCACAAACAAGTTTCACAGAATGCTTCTTTCTACCTTGTAGGGGAAGATATTCCCTTTATCACCATGGGCCTCAAACCGTCCGAAACGTCCACTTCCATATACTACAAAAAGAGCGTTTCAAACCTGCTCTATGAAAGGCAATGTTCAACTCTGTGACTTGAATGCAGACATCACAGAGCAGTTTCTGAGAATGCTTCTGTCTAGATTTTATAGGAAGATATTCCCGTTTCCAACGAAATCTTCACAGCTATCCAAATATCCACTTGCAGATTCTACAAAAAGAGTGTATCAAAACTGCTCTGTCAAAAGGAAGGTTCTTCTCTGTTAGGTGAGTGCATACGTCATAAAGGAGTTCCTGAGAATGTTTCTGTCTAGTGGTTATGGGAAGATATTTGCTTTTTCACCGTAGGCCTCAGAGCGCTCCAAATATCCACTTGCACATACTTCAAAAAGAGTGTTTCAAAGCAGCTCTCTGAAAGGGAATGTTCAACTCTATGAGTTGAATGCAAACATGACAAAGACGTTTCTGAGAATGCTTCTGTCTAGATTTGATATGAAGATATTCCCGTTTCCAACGAAATCTTCATATCTATCCAAATGTCCACTTGCAAATTCAACAAAAAGTGTTTTTCAAAACTGCTGTATCAAAAGAAAGATCCACCTCTGTTAGCTGAGTTCACACATCACAAACAAGTTTATGAGAATGCTTCTGTCTAGTTTTTATTTAAAGATATTTCCTTTCTCACCATAGACCTGAAAGCTGTCCTAATGTTCACTTCCAGATACTACAGAAAGAGTGTTTCAAAACTGCTGTACGAAAGGGAATGTTCAACTCTGTGACTTGAATGCACACATCACAAAGAAGTTTCTGAGGATGCTGCTGTCTACTTTTTATACGTAATCCCGTTTCCAACGAAATCCTCCAAGCTATCCATATATCCACTTCCAGATTCCACAGAAAGACTGTTTCAAAACTGCTCTGTCAATAGAAAGGTTCAACTCTGTTAGCTGCGTGCATATATCCCAAAGAAGATTCTGAGATTGCTTCTGTCTAGTTTTTATGGGAAGATCTTTCCCTTTTCACCGTAGGCGTCAAGGCGCTCCAAATGTCCACTTCCAGATACTACAAAAAGAGTGTTTCAAACCTACTCTGTGAAAGGGAATATTCAACTCTGTGACTTGAATGCACATATCACAAAGAAGTTTCTGAGAATGCTTCTGTCGAGATTTTATATGATGATATTCCCCTTTCCAACGAAATCCAGAAATCTATCCAAATATCCCCTCGCAGATTCTACAAAAAGAGTGTTTCAAAACTGCTCTGTAAAAAGAAAGTTTCAACTCTATTAGTTGAGTACACACATCACAAACAAGTTTCACAGAATGCTTCTTTCTAGCTTGTAGGGGAAGATATTCCCTTTATCACCATGGGCCTCAAACCGTCCGAAACGTCCACTTCCATATACTACAAAAAGAGCGTTTCTAAACTGCTCTAGGAAAGGCAATGTTCAACTCTGTGACTTGAATGCAGACATCACAGAGCAGTTTCTGAGAATGCTTCTGTCTAGATTTTATAGGAAGATATTCCCGTTTCCAACGAAATCTTCACAGCTATCCAAATATCCACTTGCAGATTCTACAAAAAGAGTGTATCAAAACTGCTCTGTCAAAAGGAAGGTTCTTCTCTGTTAGATGAGTACATACGTCATAAAGGAGTTTCTGAGAATGTTTCTGTCTAGTGGTTATGGGAAGATATTTGCTTTTTCACCTTAGGCCTCAGAGCGCTCCAAATATCCACTTGCACATACTACAAAAAGAGTGCTTCAAAGCTGCTCTCTGAAACGGAATGTTCAACTCTATGAGTTGAATGCAAACATCACAAAGACGTTTCTGAGAATCCTTCTGTCTAGATTTGATATGAAGATATTCCCGTTTCCAACGAAATCATCAAATCTATCCAAATGTCCACTTGCAGATTCAACAAAAAGTGTTTTTCAGAACTGCTCTATCAAAAGAAAGATCCACCTCTGTTAGCTGGGTTCACACATCACAAACAAGTTTATGAGAATGCTTCTGTCTAGTTTTTATTTGAAGATATTTCCTTTCTCAAAATAGACCTGAAAGCTGTCCTAATGTTCACTTCCAGATACTACAGAAAGAGTGTTTCAAAACTGCTGTACGAAAGGGAATGTTCAACTCTGTGACTTGAATGCACACATCACAAAGAAGTTTCTGAGGATGCTGCTGTCTACTTTTTATACGTAATCCCGTTTCCAACGAAATCCTCCAAGCTATCCAAATATCCACTTGCAGATTCCACAGAAAGACTGTTTCAAAACAGCTCTGTCAATAGAAAGGTTCAACTCTGTTAGCTGCGTGCATATATCCCAAAGAAGATTCTGAGATTGCTTCTGTCTAGTTTTTATGGGAAGATATTTTCCTTTTCACCGTAGGCGTCAAGGCGTTCCAAATGTACACTTCCAGATACTTCAAAAAGAGTGTTTCAAACCTACTCTGTGAAAGGGAATATTCAACTCTGTGACTTGAATGCAGATATCACAAAGAAGTTTCTGAGAATGCTTCTGTCGAGATTTTATATGAAGATATTCCCGTTTCCAACGAAATCCTGAAATCTATCCAAATATCCCCTCGAAGATTCTACAAAAAGAGTGTTTCAAAACTGCTCTATAAAAAGAAAGGTTCAACTCTGTTAGTTGAGTACACACATCACAAACAAGATTCACAGAATGCTTCTTTCTAGCTTGTAGGGGAAGATATTCCCTTTATCACCATGGGCCTCAAACCGTCCGAAACGTCTACTTCCATATACTACAAAAAGAGCGTTTCAAACCTGCTCTATGAAAGGCAATGTTCAACTGTGTGACTTGAATGCAGACATCACAGAGCAGTTTCTGAGAATGCTTCTGTCTAGATTTTATAGGAAGATATTCCCGTTTCCAACGAAATCTTCACAGCTATACAAATATCCACTTGCAGATTCTACAAAAAGCGTGTATCAAAACTGCTCTGTCAAAAGGAAGGTTCTTTTCTGTTAGGTGAGTGCATACGTCATAAAGGAGTTTCTGAGAATGTTTCTGTCTAGTGGTTATGGGAAGATATTTGCTTTTTCCCCGTAGGCCTCAAAGCGCTCCAAATCTCCACTTGCACATACTACAAAAAGAGTGCTTCAAAGCTGCTCTCTGAAAGGGAATGTTCAACTCTATGAGTTGAATGCAAGCATCACAAAGACGTTTCTGAGAATGCTTCTGTCTAGATTTGATATGAAGATATTCCCGTTTCCAAAGAAATCTTCAAATCTATCCAAATGTCCACTTGCAGATTCAACAAAAAGTGTTTTTCAAAAGTGTTGTATCAAAAGAAAGATCCACCTCTGTTAGCTGAGTTCACACATCAAAACAAGTTTATGAGAATGCTTCTGTCTAGTTTTTATTTGAAGATATTTCCTTCCTCACCATAGACCTGAAAGCTGTCCTAATGTTCACTTCCAGATACTACAGAAAGAGTGTTTCAAAACTGCTGTACGAAAGGGAATGTTCAACTCTGTGACTTGAATGCACACATCACAAAGAAGTTTCTGAGGATGCTGCTGTCTACTTTTTATACGTAATCCCGTTTCCAATGAAATCCTCCAAGCTATCCAAATATCCACTTGCAGATTCCACAGAAAGACTGTTTCAAAACTGCTCTGTCAATAGAAAGGTTCAACTCTGTTAGCTGCATGCATATATCCCAAAGAAGATTCTGAGATTGCTTCTGTCTAGTTTTTAGGGGAAGATATTTCCCTTTTCACCGTAGGTGTCAAGGCACTCCAAATGTCCACTTACAGATACTACAAAAAGAGTGTTTCAAACCTACTCTGTGAAAGGGAATATTCAACTCTGTGACTTGAATGCAGATATCACAATGAAGTTTCTGAGAATGCCTCTGTCGCGATTTTATATGAAGATATTCCCGTTTCCAACAAAATCCTGAAATCTATCCAAATATCTCCTCGCAGATTCTACAAAAAGAGTGTTTCAAAACTGCTCTGTAAAAAGAAAGGTTCAACTCTGTTAGTTGAGGACACACATCACAAACAAGTTTCACAGAATGCTTCTTTCTAGCTTGTAGGGGAAGATATTCCCTTTATCACCATGGGCCTCAAACCGTCCGAAACGTCCACTTCCATATACTACAAAAAGAGCGTTTCAAACCTGCTCTATGAAAGGCAATGTTCAACTCTGTGACTTGAATGCAGACTTCACAGAGCAGTTTCTGAGAATGCTTCTGTCTAGATTTTATATGAAGATATTCCCGTTTCCAACGAAATCTTCACAGCTATCCAAATATCCACTTGCAGATTCTACAAAAAGAGTGTATCAAAACTGCTCTGTCAAAAGGAAGGTTCTTCTCTGTTAGGTGAGTGCATACATCATAAAGGAGTTTCTGAGAATGTTTCTGTCTAGTGGTTATGGGAAGATATTTGCTTTTTCACCGTAGGCCTCAGAGCGCTCCAAATATGCACTTGCACATACTACAAAAAGAGTGCTTCAAAGCTGCTCTCTGAAAGGGAATGTTCAACTCTATGAGTTGAATGCAAACATCACAAAGACGTTTCTGAGAATGCTTCTGTCTAGATTTGATATGAAGATATTCCCGTTTCCAACGAAATCTTGAAATCTATCCAAATGTCCACTTGCAGATTCATACAAAGTGTTTTTCAGAACTGCTCTATCAAAAGAAAGATCCACCTCTGTTAGCTGAGATCACACTTCACAAACAAGTTTATCAGAATGCTTCTGTCTAGTTTTTATTTGAAGATATTTCCTTTCTCACCATAGAGCTGAAAGCTGTCCTAATGTTCACTTCCAGATACTACAGAAAGAGTGTTTCAAAACTGCTGTACGAAAGGGAATGTTCAACTCTGTGACTTGGATGCACACATCACAAAGAAGTTTCTGAGGATGCTGCTGTCTACTTTTTATACGTAATCCCGTTTCCAACGAAATCCTCCAAGCTATCCAAATATCCACTTGCAGATTCCACAGAAAGACTGTTTCAAAACTGCTCTGTCAATAGAAAGGTTCAACTCTGGTAGCTGCGTGCATATATCCCAAAGAAGATTCTGAGATTGCTTCTGTCTAGTTTTGATGGGAAGATATTTCCCTTTTCACCGTAGGTGTCAAGGCGCTCCAAATGTCCACTTCCAGATACTACAAAAAGAGTGTTTCAAACCTACTCTGTGAAAGGGAATATTCAACTCTGTGACTTGAATGCACATATCACAAAGAAGTTTCTGAGAATGCTTCTGTCGAGATTTTATATGAAGATATTCACGTTTCCAACGAAATCCTGAAATCTATCCAAATATCCCCTCGCAGATTCTACAAAAAGAGTGTTTCAAAACTGCTCTGTGAAAAGAAAGGTTCAACTCTGTTAGTTGAGTACACACATCACAAACAAGTTTCACAGAATGCTTCTTTCTAGCTTGTAGGGGAAGATATTCCCTTTATCACCATGGGCCTCAAACCGTCCGAAACGTCCACTTCCATATACTACAAAAAGAGCGTTTCAAACCTGCTCTAGGAAAGGCAATGTTCAACTCTGTGACTTGAATGCAGACATCAGATAGCAGTTTCTGAGAATGCTTCTGTCTAGATTTTATAGGCAAGATATTCCCGTTTCCAACGAAATCTTCACAGCTATCCAAATATCCACTTGCAGATTCTACAAAAAGAGTGTATCAAAACTGCTCTGTCAAAAGGAAGGTTCTTCTCTGTTAGGTGAGTGCATACGTCATAAAGGAGTTTCTGAGAATGTTTCTGTCTAGTGGTTATGGGAAGATATTTGCTTTTTCACCGTAGGCCTCAGAGTGCTCCAAATATCCACTTGCACATACTACAAAAAGAGTGCCTCAAAGCTGCTCTCTGAAACGGAATGTTCAACTCTATGAGTTGAATGCAAACATCACAAAGACGTTTCTGAGAAAGCTTCTGTCTAGATTTGATATGAAGATATTCCCGTTTCCAACGAAATCTTCAAATCTATCCAAATGTCCACTTGCAGATTCAACAAAAAGTGTTTTTCAGAACTGCTCTATCAAAAGAAAGATCCACGTTCGTTAGCTGAGTTCACACATCACAAACAAGTTTATGAGAATGCTTCTGTCTAGTTTTTATTTGAAGATATTTCCTTTCTCACCATAGACCTGAAAGCTGTCCTAATGTTCACTTCCAGATACTACAGAAAGAGTGTTTCAAAACTGCTATACGAAAGGGAATGTTCAACTCTGTGACTTGAATGCACACATCACAAAGAAGTTTCTGAGGATGCTGCTGTCTACTTTTTATACGTAATCCCGTTTCCAACGAAATCCTCCAAGCTATCCAAATATCCACTTGCAGATTCCACAGAAAGACTGTTTCAAAAGTGCTCTGTCAATAGAAAGGTTCAACTCTGTTAGCTGCGTGCATATATCCCAAAGAAGATTCTGAGATTGCTTCTGTCTACTTTTTATGAGAAGATATTTCCCTTTTCACCGTAGGCGTCAAGGCGCACCAAATGTCAACTTCCAGATACTACAAAAAGAGTGTTTCAAACCTACTCTGTGAAAGGGAATATTCAACTCTGTGACTTGAATGCAGATATCACAAAGAAGTTTCTGAGAATGCTTCTGTCGAGATTTTATATGAAGATATTCCCGTTTCCAACGAAATCCTGAAATCTATCCAAATATCCCCTCGCAGATTCTACAAAAAGAGTGTTTCAAAACTGCTCTGTAAAAAGAAAGGTTCAACTCTGTTAGTTGAGTACACGCATCACAAACAAGTTTCACAGAATGCTTCTTTCTAGCTTGTAGGGGAAGATATTCCCTTTATCACCATGGGCCTCCAACCGTCCGAAACATCCACTTCCATATACTACAAAAAAGCGTTTCAAACCTGCTCTATGAAAGGCAATGTTCAACTCTGTGACTTGAATACAGACATCACAGAGCAGTTTCTGAGAATGCTTCTGTCTAGATTTTATAGGAAGATATTCCCGTTTCCAACGGAATCTTCACAGCTATCCAAATATCCACTTGCAGATTCTACAAAAAGAGTGTATCAAAACTGCTCTGTCAAAAGGAAGGTTCTTCTCTGTTAGGTGAGTGCATACGTCATAAAGGAGTTTCTGAGAATGTTTCTGTCTAGTGGTTATGGGAAGATATTTTCTTTTTCACCGTAGGCCTCAGAGCGCTCCAAATATCCACTTGCACATACTACAAAAAGAGTGTTTCAAAGCTGCTTTCTGAAAGGGAATGTTCAACTCTATGAGTTGAATGCAAACAGGACAAAGACGTTTCTGAGAATGCTTCTGTCTAGATTTGATATGAAGATATTCCCGTTTCCAATGAAATCTTCAAATCTATCCAAATGTCCACTTGCGGATTCAACAAAAAGTGTTTTTCAAAACTGCTGTATCAAAAGAAAGATCCACCTCTGTTAGCTGAGTTCACACATCACAAACAAGTTTATGAGAATGCTTCTGTCTAGTTTTTATTTGAAGATATTTCCTTTCTCACCATAGACCTGAAAGCTGTCCTAATGTTCACTTCCAGATGCTACAGAAAGAGTGTTTCAAAACTGTTGTACGAAAGGGAATGTTCAACTCTGTGACTTGAATGCACACATCACAAAGAAGTTTCTGAGGATGCTGCTGTCTACTTTTTATACATAATCCCGTTTCCAACGAAATCCTCCAAGCTATCCAAATATCCACTTGCAGATTCCACAGAAAGACTGTTTCAAAACTACTCTGTCAATAGAAAGGTTCAACTCTGTTAGCTGCGTGCATGTATCCCAAAGAAGATTCTGAGATTGCTTCTGTCTAGTTTTTATGGGAAGATATTTCCCTTTTCATCGTAGGGGTCAAGGCGCTCCAAATGTCCACTTCCAGATACTACAAAAAGAGTGTTTCAAACCTACTCTGTGAAAGGGAATATTCAACTCTGTGACTTGAATGCAGATATCACAAGAAGTTTCTGAGAATGCTTCTGTCGAGATTTTATATGAAGATATTCCCGTTTCCAACGAAATGCTGAAATGTATCCAAATATCCCCTCGCAGATTCTACAAAAAGAGGGTTTCAAAACTGCTCTGTAAAAAGAAAGGTTCAACTCTGTTAGTTGAGTACACACATCACAAACAAGTTTCACAGAATGCTTCTTTCTAGCTTGTAGGGGAAGATATTCCCTTTATCACCATGGTCCTCAAACCGTCCGAAACGTCCACTTCCATATACTACAAAAAGAGCGTTTCAAACCTGCTCTAGGAAAGGTAATGTTCAACTCTGTGACTTGAATGCAGACATCACAGAGCAGTTTCTGAGAATGCTTCTGTCTAGATCTTATAGGAAGATATTCCCGTTTCAAACGAAATCTTCACAGCTATCCAAATATCCACTTGCAGATTCTACAAAAAGAGTGTATCAAAACTGCTCTGTCAAAAGGAAGGTTCTTCTCTGTTAGGTGAGTGCATACGGTCATAAAGGATTTTCTGAGAATGTTTCTGTCTAGTGGTTATGGGAAGATATTTGCTTTTTCCCCGTCGGCCTCAGGGCGCTCCAAATGTCCACTTGCACATGCTACAAAAAGAGTGCTTCAAAGCTGCTCTCTCAAAGGGAATGTTCAACTCTATGAGTTGAATGCAAACATCGCAAAGACGTTTCTGAGAATGCTTCTGTCTAGATTTGATATGAAGATATTCCCGTTTCCAACGAAATCTTCAAATCTATCCAAATGTCCACTTGCAGATTCAACAAAAAGTGTTTTTCAGAACTGCTCTATCAAAAGAAAGATCTACCTCTGTTAGCTGAGTTCACACATCACAAACAAGTTTATGAGAATGCTTCTGTCTAGTTTTTATTTGAAGATATTTCCTTTCTCACCATAGACCTGAAAGCTGTCCTAATGTTCACTTCCAGATACTACAGAAAGAGTGTTTCAAAACTGCTGTACGAAAGGGAATGTTCAACTCTGTGACTTGAATGCACACATCACAAGGATGTTTCTGAGGATGCTGCTGTCTACTTTTTATACGTAATCCCGTTTCCAACGAAATCCTCCAAGCTATCCAAATATCCCCTTGCAGATTCCACAGAAAGACTGTTTCAAAACTGCTCTGTCAATAGAAAGGTTCAACTCTATTAGCTGCGTACATATATCCCAAAGAAGATTCTGAGATTGCTTCTGTCTAGTTTTTATGGGAAGATATTTCCCTTTTCACCGTAGGCGTCAAGGCACTCCAAATGTCCACTTCCAGATACTACAAAAAGAGTGTTTCAAACCTACTCTGTGAAAGGGAATATTCAACTCTGTCACTTGAAGGCAGATATGACAAAGAAGTTTCTGAGAATGCTTCTGTCGAGATTTTATATGAAGATATTCCCGTTTCCAACGAAATGCTGAAATCTATCCAAATATCCCCTCGCAGATTCTACAAAAAGAGTGTTTCAAAACTGCTCTGTAAAAAGAAAGGTTCAACTCTGTTAGTTGAGTACACACATCACAAACAAGTTTCACAGAATGCTTCTTTCTAGCTTGTAGGGGAAGATATTCCCTTTATCACCATGGGTCTCAAACCGTCCGAAACGTCCACTTCCATATACTACAAAAAGAGCGTTTCAAACCTGCTCTATGAAAGGCAATGTTCAACTCTGTGACTTGAATGTAGACATCACAGAGCTGTTTCTGAGAATGCTTCTGTCTAGATTTTATAAGAAGATATTCCCGTTTCCAACGAAATCTTCACAGCTATCCAAATATCCACTTGCAGATTCTACAAAAAGAGTGTATCAAAACTGCTCTGTCAAAAGGAAGGTTCTTCTCTGTTAGGTGAGTGCATACGTCATAAAGCAGTTTCTGAGAATGTTTCTGTCTAGTGGTTATGGGAAGATATTTTCTTTTTCCCCGTAGGCCTCAGGGCGCTCCAAATGTCCACTTGCACATGCTACAAAAAGAGTGCTTCAAAGCTGCTCTCTTAAAGGGAATGTTCAACTCTATGAGTTGAATGCAAACATCACAAAGACGTTTCTGAGAATGCTTCTGTCTAGATTTGATATGAAGATATTCCCGTTTCCAAGGAAATCTTCAAATCTATCCAAATGTCCACTTGCAGATTCAACAAAAAGTGTTTTTCAGAACTGCTCTATCAAAAGAAAGATCCACTTCTGTTAGCTGAGTTCACACATCACAAACAAGTTTATGAGAATGCTTCTGTCTAGTTTTTATTTGAAGATATTTCCTTTCTCACCATAGAGCTGAAAGCTGTCCTAATGTTCACTTCCAGATACTACAGAAAGAGTGTTTCAAAACTGCTGTACGAAAGGGAATGTTCAAGTCTGTGACTTGAATGCACACATCACAAAGAAGTTTCTGAGGATGCTGCTGTCTACTTTTGATACGTAATCCCGTTTCCAACGAAATCCTCCAAGCTATCCAAATATCCACTTGCAGATTCCACAGAAAGACTGTTTCAAAACTGCTCTGTCAATAGAAAGGTTCAACTCTGTTAGCTGCGTGCATATATCCCAAAGAAGATTCTGAGATTCCTTCTGTCTACTTTTTATGGGAAGATATTTCCCTTTTCACCATAGGTGTCAAGGCGCTCCAAATGTCCACTTCCAGATACTACAAAAAGAGTGTTTCAAACCTACTCTGTGAAAGGGAATATTCAACTCTGTGACTTGAATGCACATATTACAAAGAAGTTTCTGAGAATGCTTCTGTCGAGATTTTATATGAAGATATTCCCGTTTCCAACGAAATCCTGAAATCTATCCAAATATCCCCTTGCAGATTCTACAAAAAGAGTGTTTCAAAACTGCTCTGTAAAAAGAAAGGTTCAACTCTGTTAGTTGAATACACACATCACAAACAAGTTTCACAGAGTGCTTCTTTCTATCTTGTAGGGGAAGATATTCCCTTTATCACTATGGGCCTCAAACCGTCCGAAAAGTCTACTTCCATATACTACAAAAAGAGCGTTTCAAACGTGCTCTATGAAAGGCAATGTTCAACTCTGTGACTTGAATGCAGACATCACAGAGCAGTTTCTGAGAATGCTTCTGTCTAAATTTTATAGGAAGATATTCCCGTTTCCAACGAAATCTTCACAGCTATCCAAATATCCACTTGCAGATTCTACAAAAAGAGTGTATCAAAACTGCTCTGTCAAAAGGAAGGTTCTTTTCTGTTAGGTGAGTGCATACGTCATAAAGGAGTTTCTGAGAATGTTTCTGTCTAGTGGTTATGGGAAGATATTTGCTTTTTCACCGTAGGCCTCAGAGCGCTCCAAATATCCACTTGCACATACTACAAAAAGAGTGCTTCAAAGCTGCTCTCTGAAAGGGAATGTTCAACTCTATGAGTTGAATGCAAACATCACAAAGACGTTTCTGAGAATGCTTTCTGTCTAGATTTGATATGAAGATCTTCCCGTTTCCAACGAAATCTTCAAATCTATCCAAATGTCCACTTGCAGATTCAACAGAAAGTGTTTTTCAGAACTGCTCTATCAAAAGAAAGATCCACCTCTGTTAGCTGAGTTCACACATCACAAACAAGTTTATGAGAATGCTTCTGTCTAGTTTTTATTTGAAGAATATTTCCTTTCTCACCATAGACCTGAAAGCTGTCCTAATGTTCACTTCCAGATACTACAGAAAGAGTGTTTCAAAACTGCTGTACGAAAGGGAATGTTGAACTCTGTGACTTGAATGCACACATCACAAAGAAGTTTCTGAGGATGCTGCTGTCTACTTTTTATACGTAATCCCGTTTCCAACGAAATCCTCCAACCTATCCAAATATCCACTTGCAGAATCCACAGAAAGACTGTTTCAAAACTGCTCTGTCAATAGAAAGGTTCAACTCTGTTAGCTGCGTGCATATATCCCAAAGAAGATTCTGAGATTGCTTCTGTCTAGTTTTTATGGGAAGATATTTCCCTTTTCACCGTAGGTGTCAAGGCGCTCCAAATGTCCACTTCCAGATACTACAAAAAGAGTGTTTCAAACCTACTCTGTGAAAGGGAATATTCAGCTCTGTGACTTGAATGCACATATCACAAAGAAGTTTCTGAGAATGCTTCTGTCGAGATTTTATATGAATATATTCCCGTTTCCAACGAAATGCTGAAATGTATCCAAATATCCCCTCGCAGATTCTACAAAAAGAGTGTTTCAAAACTGCTCTGTAAAAAGAAAGGTTCAACTCTGTTAGTTGAGTACACACATCACAAACAAGTTTCACACAATGCTTCTTTCTAGCTTGTAGGGGAAGATATTCCCTTTATCACCATGGGCCTCAAACCGTCCGAAACGTCTACTTCCATATACTACAAAAAGAGAGTTTCAAACCTGCTCTATGAAAGGCAATGTTCAACTCTGTGACTTGAATGCAGACATCACAGAGCAGTTTCTGAGAATGCTTGTCTGTCTACATTTTATAGGAAGATATTCCCGTTTCCAACGAAATCTTCACAGCTATCCAAATATCCACTTGCAGATTCTACAAAAAGAGTGTATCAAAACTGCTCTGTCAAAAGGAAGGTTCTTCTCTGTTAGGTGAGTACATACGTCATAAAGGAGTTTCTGAGAATGTTTCTGTCTAGTGGTTATGGGAAGATATTTGCTTTTTCACCTTAGGCCTCAGAGCGCTCCAAATATCCCCTTGCACATACTACAAAAAGAGTGCTTCAAAGCTGCTCTCTTAAACGGAATGTTCAACTCTATGAGGTGAATGCAAACATGACAAAGACGTTTCCGAGAATGCTTCTGTCTAGATTTGATATAAAGATATTCCCGTTTCCAACGAAATCTTCAAATCTATCCAAATGTCCACTTGGAGATTCAACAAAAAGTGTTTTTCCGAACTGCTCTATCAAAAGAAAGATCCACCTCTGTTAGCTGAGTTCACACATCACAAACAAGTTTATGAGAATGCTTATCTGTCTAGTTTTTATTTGAAGATATTTCCTTTCTCACCATAGAGCTGAAAGCTGTCCTAATGTTCACTTCCAGATACTACAGAAAGAGTGTTTCAAAACTGCTGTACGAAAGGGAATGTTCAACTCTGTGAGTTGAATGCACACATCACAAAGAAGTTTCTGAGGATGTTGCTGTCTACTTTTTATACGTAATCCCGTTTCCAGCGAAATCCTCCAATCTATCCAAATATCCACTTGCAGATTCCACAGAAAGACTGTTTCAAAACTGCTCTGTCAATAGAAAGGTTCAACTCTGTTAGCTGCCTGCATATATCCCAAAGAAGATTCTGAGATTGCTTCTGTCTAGTTTTTATGGGAAGATATTTCCCTTTTCACCGTAGACGTCAAGGCGCTCCAAATGTCCACTTCCAGATATTACAAAAAGAGTGTTTCAAACCTACTCTGTGAAAGGGAATATTCAACTCTGTGACTTGAATGCAGATATCACAAAGAAGTTTCTGAGAATGCTTCTCTGTCGAGATTTTATATGAAGATATTTTCCCGTTTCCAACGAAATCCTGAAATCTATCCAAATATCCCCTCGCAGATTCTACAAAAAGAGTGTTTCAAAACTGCTCTGTGAAAAGAAAGGTTCAACTCTGTTAGTTGAGTACACACATCACAAACAAGTTTCACAGAATGCTTCTTTCTAGCTTGTAGGGGAAGATATTCCCTTTATCACCATGGGCCTCAAACCGTCCGAAATGTCCACTTCCATATACTACAAAAAGAGCATTTACAACCTGCTCTATGAAAGGCAATGTTCAACTCTGTGACTTGAATGCAGACATCACAGAGCAGTTTCTGAGAATGCTTCTGTCTAGATTTTATAGGAAGATATTCCCGTTTCCAACGAAATCTTCACAGCTATCCAAATATCCACTTGCAGATTCTACAAAAAGAGTGTATCAAAACTGCTCTGTCAAAAGGAAGGTTCTTCTCTGTTAGGTGAGTGCATATGTCATAAAGGAGTTTCTGAGAATGTTTCTGTCTAGTGGTTATGGGAAGATATTTGCTTTTTCACCATAGGCCTCAGAGCGCTCCAAATATCCACTTGCACATACTACAAAAAGAGTGCTTCAAAGCTGCTCTCTGAAAGGGAATGTTCAACTCTATGAGTTGAATGCAAACATCACAAAGACTTTTCTGAGAATGCTTCTGTCTAGATTTGATATGAAGATATTCCCGTTTCCAACGAAATCTTCAAATCTATCCAAATATCCACTTGCAGATTCAACAAAAAGTGTTTTTCAGAACTGCTCTATCAAAAGAAAGATCCACCTCTGTTAGCTTAGTTCACACATCAGAAACAAGTTTATGAGAATGCTTCTGTCTAGTTTTTATTTGAAGATATTTCCTTTCTCACCATAGACCTGAAAGCTGTCCTAATGTTCACTTCCAGATACTACAGAAAGTGTTTCAAACTGCTGTACGAAAGGGAATGTTCAACTCTGTGACTTGAATGCACACATCACAAAGAAGTTTCTGAGGATGCTGCTGTCTACTTTTTATACGTAATCCCGTTTACAACGAAACCCTCCAAGCTATCCAAATATCCACTTGCAGATTCCACAGAAAGACTGTTTCAAAACTGCTCTGTCAATAGAAAGGTTCAACTCTGTTAGCTGCGTGCATATATCCCAAAGAAGATTCTGAGATTGCTTCTGTCTAGTTTTTATGGGAAGATATTTCCCTTTTCACCGTAGGAGTCAAGGCGCTCCAAATGTCCACTTCCAGATGCTACAAAAAGAGTGTTTCAAACCTACTCTGTGAAAGGGAATATTCAACTCTGTGACTTGAATGCACATATCACAAAGAAGTTTCTGAGAATGCTTCTGTCGAGATTTTGTATGAAGATATTCCCGTTTCCAACGAAATCCTGAAATGTATCCAAATTTCCCCTCGCAGATTCTACAAAAAGAGTGTTTCAAAACTGCTCTGTGAAAAGAAAGGTTCAACTCTGTTAGTTGAGTACACACATCACAAACAAGTTTCACAGAATGCTTCTTTCTAGCTTGCAGGGGAAGATATTCCCTTTATCACCATGGGCCTCAAACCGTCCGATAAGTCCACTTCCATATACTACAAAAAGAGCGTTTCAAACCTGCTCTATGAAAGGCAATGTTCAACTCTGTGACTTGAATGCAGACATCACAGAGCAGTTTCTGAGAATGCTTCTGTGTAGATTTTATAGGAAGATATTCCCGTTTCCAACGAAATCTTCACAGCTATCCAAATATCCACTTGCAGATTGTACAAAAAGAGTGTATCAAAACTGCTCTGTCAAAAGGAAGGTTCTTCTCTGTTAGGTGAGTGCATACGTCATAAAGGAGTTTCTGAGAATGTTTCTGTCTAGTGGTTACGGGAAGATATTTGCTTTTTCCCCGTAGGCCTCAGGGCACTCCAAATGTCCACTTGCACATGCTACAAAAAGAGTGCTTCAAAGCTGCTCTCTGGAAGGGAATGTTCAACTCTATGAGTTGAATGCAAACATCACAAAGACGTGTCTGAGAATACTTCTGTCTAGATTTGATATGAAGATATTCCCGTTTCCAACGAAATCTTCAAATCTATCCAAATGTCCACTTGCAGATTCAACAAAAAGTGTTTTTCCGAACTGCTCTATCAAAAGAAAGATCCGCCTCTGTTAGCTGAGTTCACATATCACAAACATGTTTATGAGAATGCTTCTGTCTAGTTTTTATTTGAAGATATTTCCCTTCTCACCATAGACCTGCAAGCTGTCCTAATGTTCACTTCCAGATACTACAGAAAGAGTGTTTCAAAACTACTGTACGAAAGGGAATGTTCAACACTGTGACTTGAAAGCACACATCACAAAGAAGTTTCTGAGGATGCTGCTGTCTACTTTTTATACGTAATCCCGTTTCCAACGAAATCCTCCAAGCTATCCAAATATCCACTTGCAGGTTCCACAGAAAGACTGTTTCAAAACTGCTCTGTCAATAGAAAGGTTCAACTCTGTTAGCTGCGTGCATATATCCCAAAGAAGATTCTGAGATTGCTTCTGTCTAGTTTTTATGGGAAGATATTTCCCTTTTCACTGTAGGCGTCAAGGCGCTCCAAATGTCCACTTCCAGATACTACAAAAAGAGTGTTTCAAACCTACTCTGTGAAAGGGAGTATTCAACTCTGTGACTTGAATACACATATTCCAAAGAAGTTTCTGAGAATGCTTCTGTCGAGATTTTATATGAAGATATTCCCGTTTCCAACGAAATCCTGAAATCTATCCAAATATCCCCTTGCAGATTCTACAAAAAGAGTGTTTCAAAACTGCTCTGTGAAAAGAAAGGTTCAACTCTGTTAGTTGAGTACACACATCACAAACAAGTTTCACACAATGCTTCTTTCTAGCTTGTAGGGGAAGATATTCCCTTTATCACCATGGGCCTCAAACCGTCCGAAACGTCAACTTCCATATACTACAAAAAGAGCGTTTCAAACCTGCTCTAGGAAAGGCAATGTTCAACTCTGTGACTTGAATGCAGACATCACAGAGCAGTTTCTGAGAATGCTTCTGTCTAGATTTTATAGGAAGATATTCCCGTTTTCAACGAAATCTTCACAGCTATCCAAATATCCACTTGCAGATTCTACAAAAAGAGTGTATCAAAACTGCTCTGTCAAAAGGAAGGTTCTTCTCAGTTAGGTGAGTGCATACGTCATAAAGGAGTTTCTGAGAATGTTTGTGTCTAGTGGTTATGAGAAGATATTTGCTTTTTCACCTTAGGCCTCACAGCGCTCAAAATATCCCCTTGCACATACTACAAAAAGAGTGCTTCAAAGCTGCTCTCTGAAAGGGAATGTTCAACTCTATGAGTTGAATGCAAACATCACAAAGACGTTTCTGAGAATGCTTCTGTCTAGATTTGATATGAAGATATTCCCGTTTCCAAAGAAATCTTCAAATCTATCCAAATATCCACTTGCAGATTCAACAAAAAGTGTTTTTCAGAACTGCTCTATCAAAAGAAAGATCCACCTCTGTTAGCTGAGTTCACACATCACAAACAAGGTTATGAGAATGCTTCTGTCTAGTTTTTATTTGAAGATATTTCCTTTCTCACCATAGAGCTGAAAGCTGTCTTAATGTTCACTTCCAGATACTACAGAAAGAGTGTTTCAAAACTGCTGTACGAAAGGGAATGTTCAACTCTGTGACTTGAATGCACACATCACAAAGAAGTTTCTGAGGATGCTGCTGTCTACTTTTTATGCGTAATCCCGTTTCCAACGAAATCCTCCAATCTATCCAAATATCCACTTGCAGATTCCACAGAAAGACTGTTTCAAAACTGCTCTGTCAATAGAAAGGTTCAACTCTGTTAGCTGCGTGCATATATCCCAAAGAAGATTCTGAGATTGCTTCTGTCTAGTTTTTATGAGAAGATATTTCCCTTTTCACCGTAGGCGTCAAGGCGCTCCAAATGTCCACTTCCAGATACTACAAAAAGAGTGTTTCAAACCTACTCTGTGAAAGGGAATATTCAACTCTGTGACTTGAATGCAGATATCACAAAGAAGTTTCTGAGAATGCTTCTGTCGAGATTTTATATGAAGATATTCCCGTTTCCAACGAAATCCTGAAATGTATCCAAATATCCCCTCGCAGATTCTACAAAAAGAGTGTTTCAAAACTGCTCTTTAAAAAGAAAGGTTCAACTCTGTTAGTTGAGTACACACATCACAAACAAGTTTCACAGAATGCTTCTTTCTAGCTTGTAGGGGAAGATATTCCCTTTATCACCATGGGCCTCAAACCGTCCGAAACGTCTACTTCCATATACTACAAAAAGAGCGTTTCAAACCTACTCTATGAAAGGCAATGTTCAACTCAGTGACTTGAATGCAGACATCGCAGAGCAGTTTCTGAGAATGCTTCAGTCTAGATTTTATAGGAAGATATTCCCGTTTCCAACGAAATCTTCACAGCTATCCAAATATCCACTTGCAGATTCTACAAAAAGAGTGTATCAAAACTGCTCTGTCAAAAGGAAGGTTCTTCTCTGTTAGGTGAGTGCATACGTCATAAAGGAGTTTCTGAGAATGTTTCTGTCTAGTGGTTATGGGAAGATATTTGCTTTTTCACCTTAGGCCTCAGAGCGATCCAAATATCCACTTGCACATACTACAAAAAGAGTGCTTCAAAGCTGATCTCTGAAACGGAATGTTCAACTCTATGAGTTGAATGCAAACATCACAAAGACGTTTCTGAGAATGCTTCTGTCTAGATTTGATATGAAGATATTCCCGTTTCCAACGAAATCTTCAAATCTATCCAAATGTCCACTTGCAGATTCAACGAAAAGTGTTTTTCAGAACTGCTGTATCAAAAGAAAGATCCACCTCTGTTAGCTGAGTTCACACATCACAAACAAGTTTATGAGAATGCTTCTGTCTAGTTTTTATTTGAAGATATTGCCTTTCTCACCCTAGACCTGAAAGCTGTCCTAATGTTCTCTTCCAGATGCTACAGAAAAAGTGTTTCAAAACTGCTGTACGAAAGGGAATGTTCAACTCTGTGACTTGAATGCACACATCACAAAGAAGTTTCTGAGGATGCTGCTGTCTACTTTTTATACGTAATCCCGTTTCCAACGAAATCCTCCAAGCTATCCAAATATCCACTTGCAGATTCCACAGAAAGACTGTTTCAAAACTGCTCTGTCAACAGAAAGGTTCAACTCTGTTAGCTGCGTGCATATATCCCAAAGAAGATTCTGAGATTGCTTCTGTCTAGTTTTTATGGGAAGATATTTCCCTTTCCACCGTAGGCGTCAAGGCGCTCCAAATGTCCACTTCCAGATACTACAAAAAGAGTGTTTCAAACCTACTCTGTGAAAGGGAATATTCAACTCTGTGACTTGAATGCACATATCACAAAGAAGTTTCTGAGAATTCTTCTGTCGAGCATTTTATATGAAGATATTCCCGTTTCCAACGAAATCCTGAAATCTATCCAAATATCCGCTCGCAGATTCTACAAAAAGAGTGTTTCAAAACTGCTCTGTGAAAAGAAAGGTTCAACTCTGTTAGTTGAGTACACACATCACAAACAAGTTTCACAGAATGCTTCTTTCTAGCTTGTAGGGGAAGATATTCCCTTTATCACCATGGGCCTCAAACCGTCTGAAACGTCTACTTCCATATACTACAAAAAGAGCGTTTCAAACCTGCTCTATGAAAGGCAATGTTCAACTCTGTGACTTGAATGCAGACATCACAGAGCAGTTTCTGAGAATGCTTCTGTCTAGATTTTATAGGAAGATATTCCCGTTTCCAACGAAATCTTCACAGCTATCCAAATATCCACTTGCAGATTCTACAAAAAGAGTGTTTCAAAACTGCTCTGTCAAAAGGAAGGTTCTTTTCTGTTAGGTGAGTGCATACGTCATAAAGGAGTTTCTGAGAATGTTTCTGTCTAGTGGTTATGGGAAGATATTTGCTTTTTCACCTTAGGCCTCAGAGCGCTCAAAATATCCCCTTGCACATACTACAAAAAGAGTGCTTCAAAACTGCTCTCTGAAACGGAATGTTCAACTCTATGAGTTGAATGCCAACATCACAAAGACGTTTCTGAGAATGCTTCTGTCTAGATTTGATATGAAGATATTCCCGTTCCCAACGAAATCTTCAAATCTATCCAAATGTCCACTTGCAGATTCAACAAAAAGTGTTTTTCAGAACTGCTCTATCAAAAGAAAGATCCACCTCGGTTAGCTGAGTTCACACATCACAAAGAAGTTTATGAGAATGCTCTGTCTAGTTTTTATTTGAAGATATTTCCTTTCTCACCATAGAGCTGAAAGCTGTCCTAATGTTCACTTCCAGATACTACAGGAAGAGTGTTTCAAAACTGCTGTACGAAAGGGAATGTTCAACTCTGTGACTTGAATGCACACATCACAAAGAAGTTTCTGAGGATGCTGGCTGTCTACTTTTTATACGTAATCCTGTTTCCAACGAAATCCTCCAAGCTATCCAAATATCCACTTGCAGATTCCACAGAAAGACTGTTTCAAAACTGCTCTGTCAATAGAAAGGTTCAACTCTGTTAGCTGCGTGCATATATCCCAAAGACGATTCTGAGATTGCTTCTGTCTAGTTTT
This sequence comes from Homo sapiens, assembly GCF_000001405.40. Lineage (NCBI taxonomy): Eukaryota > Metazoa > Chordata > Mammalia > Primates > Hominidae > Homo > Homo sapiens. The sequence continues at coordinate 16,930,448 of NC_000014.9, read as the reverse complement.
TATGGGAAGATATTTCCCTTTACACCGTAGGCGTCAAGGCGCTCCAAATGTCCACTTCCAGATACTACAAAAAGAGTGTTTCAAACCTACTCGGTGAAAGGGAATATTCAACTCCTGTGACTTGAATGCAGATATCACACAGAAGTTTGCTGAGAATGCTTCTGTCGAGATTTTATATGAAGATATTCCCGTTTCCAACGAAATCCTGAAATGTATCCAAATATCCCCTCGCAGATTCTACAAAAAGAGTGTTTCAAAACTGCTCTGTAAAAAGAAAGGTTCAACTCTGTTAGTTGAGTACACACATCACAAACAAGTTTCACAGAATTGTTCTTTCTAGCTTGTAGGGGAAGATATTCCCTTTATCACCGTGGTCCTCAAACCGTCCGAAACGTCCACTTCCATATACTACAAAAAGAGCATTTCAAACCTGCTCTATGAAAGGCAATGTTCAACTCTGTGACTTGAATGCAGACATCACAGAGCAGTTTCTGAGAATGCTTCTGTCTAGATTTTATAGGAAGATATTCCCGTTTCCAACGAAATCTTCACAGCTATCCAAATATCCACTTGCAGATTCTACCAAAAGAGTGTATGAAAACTGCTCTGTCAAAAGAAAGGTTCTTCTCTGTTAGGTGAGTGCATACGTCATAAAGGAGTTTCTGAGAATGTTTCTGTCTAGTGGTTATGGGAAGATATTTGCTTTTTCACCGTAGGCCTCAGAGCGCTCCAAATATCCCCTTGCACATACTACAAAAAGAGTGCTTCAAAGCTGCTCTCTGAAAGGGAATGTTCAACTCTGTGAGTTGAATGCAAACATCACAAAGACTTTTCTGAGAATGCTTCTGTCTAGATTTGATATGAAGATATTCCCGTTTGCAACGAAATCTTCAAATCTATCCAAATGTCCACTTGCAGATTCAACAAAAAGTGTTTTTCAGAACTGCTCTATCAAAAGAAAGATCCACCTCTGTTAGCTGAGTTCACACATCACAAACAAGTTTATGAGAATGCTTCTGTCTAGTTTTTATTTTAAGATATTTCCTTTCTCACCATAGACCTGAAAGCTGTCCTAATGTTCACTTCCAGATACTACAGAAAGAGTGTTTCAAAACTGCTGTACGAAAGGGAATGTTCAACTCTGTGACTTGAATGCACACCGCACAAAGAAGTTTCTGAGGATGCTGCTGTCTAATTTTTATACGTAATCCCGTTTCCAACGAAATCCTCCAAGCTATCCAAATATGCACTTGCAGATTCCACAGAAAGACTGTTTCAAAACTGCTCTGTCAATAGAAAGGTTCAACTCTGTTAGCTGCGTGCATATATCCCAAAGAAGATTCTGAGATTGCTTCTGTCTAGTTTTTATGGGAAGATATTTCCCTTTTCACCGTAGGCGTCAAGGCGCTACAAATGTCCACTTCCAGATACTACAAAAAGAGTGTTTCAAACCTACTCTGTGAAAGGGAATATTCAACTCTGTGACTTGAATGCACATATCACAAAGAAGTTTCTGAGAATGCTTCTGTCGAGATTTTATATGAAGATATTCCCGTTTCCAACGAAATCCTGAAATCTATCCAAATATCCCCTCGCAGATTCTACAAAAAGAGTGTTTCAAAACTGCTCTGTAAAAAGAAAGGTTCAACTCTGTTAGTTGAGTACAAACATCACAAGCAAGTTTCACAGAATGCTTCTTTCTAGCTTGTAGGGGAAGATATTCCCTTTATCACCATGGGCCTCAAACCGTCCGAAAAGTCCACTTCCATATACTACAAAACGAGCGTTTCAAACCTGCTCTATGAAAGGCAATGTTCAACTCTGTGACTTGAATGCAGACATCACAGAGCAGTTTCTGAGAATGCTTCTGTCTAGATTTTATAGGAAGATATTCCCGTTTCCAACGAAACCTTCACAGCTATCCAAATATCCACTTGCAGATTCTACAAAAAGAGTGTATCAAAACTGCTCTGTCAAAAGGAAGGTTATTCTCTGTTAGGTGAGTGCATACGTCATAAAGGAGTTTCTGAGAATGTTTCTGTCTAGTGGTTATGGGAAGATATTTGCTTTTTCACCTTAGGCCTCAGAGCGCTCCAAATATCCCCTTGCACATACTACAAAAAGAGTGCTTCAAAGCTGCTCTCTGAAACGGAATGTTCAACTCTATGAGTTGAATGCAAACATCACAAAGACGTTTCTGAGAATGCTTCTGTCAAAATTTGATATGAAGATATTCCCGTTTCCAACGAAATCTTCAAATCTATCCAAATGTCCACTTGCAGATTCAACAAAAAGTGTTTTTCAGAACTGCTCTATCAAAAGAAAGATCCACCTCTGTTAGCTGAGTTCACACATCACAAACAAGTTTATGAGAATGCTTCTGTCTAGTTTTTATTTGAAGATATTTCCTTTCTCACCATAGACCTGAAAGCTGTCTTAATGTTCACTTCCAGATACTACAGAAAGAGTGTTTCAAAACTGCTGTACAAAAGGGAATGTTCAACTCTGTGACTTGAATGCACACATCACAAAGAAGTTTCTGAGGATGCTGCTGTCTACTTTTTATACGTAATCCCGTTTCCAACGAAATCCTCCAAGCTATCCAAATATCCACTTGCAGATTCCACAGAAAGACTGTTTCAAAACTGCTCTGCCAATAGAAAGGTTCAACTCTGTTAGCTGCGTGCATATATCCCAAAGAAGATTCTGAGATTGCTTCTGTCTAGTTTTTATCGGAAGATATTTCCCTTTTCACCGTAGGTGTCAAGGCGCTCCAAATGTCCACTTCCAGATACTACAAAAAGAGTGTTTCAAACCTACTCTGTGAAAGGGAATATTCAACTCTGTGACTTGAGTGCAGATATCACAAAGAACTTTCTGAGAATGCTTCTGTCTAGATTTGATATGAAGATATTCCCGTTTCCAACGAAATGCTGAAATGTATCAAAATATCCCCTCGCAGATTCTACAAAAAGAGTGTTTCAAAACTGCTCTGTAAAAAGAAAGGTTCAACTCTGTTAGTTGAGTACACACATCACAAACAAGTTTCAAAGAATGCTTCTTTCTAGCTTGTAGGGGAAGAATATTCCCTTTATCACCATGGGCCTCAAACCGTCCGAAACGTCCACTTCCATATACTACAAAAAGAGCGTTTCAAACCTGCTCTAGGAAAGGCAATGTTCAACTCTGTGACTTGAATGCAGACATCACAGAGCAGTTTCTGAGAATGCTTCTGTCTAGATTTTATAGGAAGATATTCCCGTTTCCAACGAAATCTTCACAGCTATCCAAATATCCACTTGCAGATTCTACAAAAAGAGTGTATCAAAACTGCTCTATCAAAAGGAAGGTTCTTTTCTGTTAGGTGAGTGCATACGTCATAAAGGAGTTTCTGAGAATGTTTCTGTCTAGTGGTTATGGGAAGATATTTGCTTTTTCACCGTAGGCCTCAGAGCGCTCCAAATATCCACTTGCACATACTACAAAAAGTGTGCCTCAAAACTGCTCTCTGAAACGGAATGTTCAACTCTATGAGTTGAATGCAAACATCACAAAGACGTTTCTGAAAATGCTTCTGTCTAGATTTGATATGAAGATGTTCCCGTTTCCAACGAAATCTTCAAATCTATCGAAATGTCCACTTGCAGATTCAACAAAAAGTGTTTTTCAGAACTGCTCTATCAAAAGAAAGATCCACCTCTGTTAGCTGAGTTCACACATCACAAACAAGTTTATGAGAATGCTTCTGTCTAGTTTTTATTTGAAGATATTTCCTTTCTCACCATAGACCTGAAAGCTGTCCTCATGTTCACTTCCAGATACTACAGAAAGAGTGTTTCAAAACTGCTGTACGAAAGGGAATGTTCAACTCTGTGACTTGAATGCACACATCACAAAGAAGTTTCTGAGGATGCTGCTGTCTACTTTTTATACGTAATCCCTTTTCCAAAGAAATCCCCCAAGCTATCCAAATATCCACTTGCAGATTCCACAGAAAGACTGTTTCAAAACTGCTCTGTCAATAGAAAGGTTCAACTCTATTAGCTGCGTGCATATATACCAAAGAAGATTCTGAGATTGCTTCTGTCTAGTTTTTATGGGAAGATATTTCCCTTTTCACCGTAGGCGTCAAGGCGCTCCAAATGTCCACTTCCAGATACTACAAAAAGAGTGTTTCAAACCTACTCTGTGAAAGGGAATATTCAACTCTGTGACTTGAATGCACATATCACCAAGAAGTTTCTGATAATGCTTCTGTCGAGATTTTATATGAAGATATTCCCGTTTCCAACGAAATCCTGAAATCTATCCAAATATCCCCTCGCAGATTCTACAAAAAGAGTGTTTCAAAACTGCTCTGTAAAAAGAAAGGTTCAACTCTGTTAGTTGAGTACATACATCACAAACAAGTTTCACAGAATGCTTCTTTCTAGCTTGTAGGGGAAGATATTCCCTTTATCACCATGGGCCTCAAACCGTCCGAAACATCCACTTCCCTATACTACAAAAAGAGCGTTTCAAACCTGCTCTATGAAAGGCAATGTTCAACTCTGTGACTTGAATGCAGACATCACAGAGCAGTTTCTGAGAATGCTTCTGTCTAGATTTTATAGGAAGATATTCCCGTTTCCAACGAAATCTTCACAGCTATCCAAATATCTACTTGCAGATTCTACAAAAAGAGTGTATCAAAACTGCTCTGTCAAAAGGAAGGTTCTTCTCTGTTAGGTGAGTGCATACGTCATAAAGCAGTTTCTGAGAATGTTTCTGTCTAGTGGTTATGGGAAGATATTTGCTTTTTCCCCGTAGGCCTCAGGGCGCTCCAAATGTCCACTTGCACATGCTACAAAAAGAGTGCTTCAAAGCTGCTCTCTGAAAGGGAATGTTCAACTCTATGAGTTGAATGCAAACATCGCAAAGACGTTTCTGAGAATGCTTCTGTCTAGATTTGATATGAAGATATTCCCGTTTCCAACGAAATCTTCAAATCTATCCAAATGTCCACTTGCAGATTCAACAAAAAGTGTTTTTCAGAACTGCTCTATCAAAAGAAAGATCCACCTCTGTTAGCTGAGTTCACACATCACAAACAAGATTATGAGAATGCTTCTGTCTAGTTTTTATTTGAAGATATATCCTTTCTCACTATAGACCTGAAAGCTCTCCTAAAGTTCACTTCCAGATACTACAGAAAGAGTGTTTCAAAACTGCTGTACGAAAGGGAATGTTCAACTCTGTGACTTGAATGCACACATCACAAGGATGTTTCTGAGGATGCTGCCGTCTACTTTTTATACGTAATCCCGTTTCCAACGAAATCCTCCAAGCTATCCAAATATCCACTTGCAGATTCTACAAAAAGAGTGTTTCAAAACTGCTCTGTAAAAAGAAAGGTTCAACTCTGTTAGCTATGTGCATACATCCCAAAGAAAATTCTGAGATTGCTTCTGTCTAGTTTTTATGGGAAGATATTTCCCTATTCACCGTAGGCGTCAAGGCGCTCCAAATGTCCACTTCCAGATACTACAAAAAGAGTGTTTCAAACCTACTCTGTGAAAGGGAATATTCAACTCTGTGACTTGAATGCAGATATCACAAAGAAGTTTCTGAGAATGCTTCTGTCGAGATTTTATATGAAGACATTCCCGTTTCCAACGAAATCCTGAAATCTATCCAAATATCCCCTCGCAGATTCTACAAAAAGAGTGTTTCAAAACTGCTCTGTAAAAAGAAAGGTTCAACTCTGTTAGTTGAGTACACATCACAAACAAGTTTCACAGAATGCTTCTTTCTAGCTTGTAGGGGAAGATATTCCCTTTATCACCATGGGCCTCAAACCGTCCGAAACGTCCACTTCCATATACTACAAAAAGAGCGTTTCAAACCTGCTCTATGAAAGGCAATGTTCAACCCTGTGACTTGAATACAGACATCGCAGAGCAGTTCCTGAGAATGCTTCTGTCTAGATTTTATAGGAAGATATTCCCGTTTCCAACGAAATCTTCACAGCTATCCAAATATCCACTTGCAGATTCTACAAAAAGAGTGTATCAAAACTGCTCTGTCAAAAGGAAGGTTCTTCTCTGTTAGGTGAGTGCATACATCATAAAGGAGTTCCTGAGAATGTTTCTGTCTAGTGGTTATGGGAAGATATTTGCTTTTTCACCTTAGGCCTCAGAGCGATCCAAATATCCACTTGCACATACTACAAAAAGAGTGCTTCAAAGCTGCTCTCTGAAAGGGAATGTTCAACTCTATGAGTTGAATGCAAACATCACAAAGACGTTTCTGAGAATGCTTCTGTCTAGATTTGAAATGAAGTTATTCCCGTTTCCAACGAAATCTTCAAATCTATCCAAATGTCCACCTGCAGATTCAACAAAAAGTGTTTTTCAGAACTGCTCTATCAAAAGAAAGATCCACCTCGGTTAGCTGAGTTCACACATCACAAAGAAGTTTATGAGAATGCTTCTGTCTAGTTTTTATTTGAAGATATTTCCTTTCTCACCATAGAGCTGAAAGCTGTCCTAATGTTCACTTCCAGATACTACAGAAAGAGTGTTTCAAAACTGCTGTACGAAAGGGAATGTTCAACTGCTGTGACTTGAATGCACACATCACAAAGAAGTTTCCTGAGGATGCTGCTGTCTACTTTTTATACGTAATCCCGTTTCCAACGAAATCCTCCAAGCTATCGAAATATCCACTTGCATATTCCACAGAAAGACTGTTTCAAAACTGCTATGTCAATAGAAAAGTTCAACTCTGTTAGCTGTGTGCATATATCCCAAAGAAAATTCTGAGATTGCTTGTGTCTAGTTTTTATGGGAAGATATTTCCCTTTTCACCGTAGGCGTCAAGGCGCTCCAAATGTCCACTTCCAGATACTACAAAAAGAGTGTTTCAAACCTACTCTGTGAAAGGGAATATTCAACTCTGTGACTTGAATGCACATATCACAAGGAAGTTTCTGAGAATGCTTCTGTCGAGATTTTATATGAAGATATTCCCGTTTCCAACGAAATCCTGAAATCTATCCAAATATCCCCTCGCAGATTCTACAAAAAGAGTGTTTCAAAACTGCTCTGCAAAAAGAAAGGTTCAACTCTGTTAGTTGAGTACACACATCACAAACAAGTTTCACAGAATGCTTCTTTCTAGCTTGTAGGGGAAGATATTCCCTTTATCACCATGGGCCTCAAACCGTCCGAAACGTCCACTTCCATATACTACAAAAACAGCATTTCAAACCTGCTCTATGAAAGGCAATGTTCAACTCTGTGACTTGAATGCAGACATCACAGAGCAGTTTCTGAGAATGCTTCTGTCTAGATTTTATAGGAAGATATTCCCGTTTCCAACGAAATCTTCACAGCTATCCAAATATGCACTTGCAGATTCTACAAAAAGAGTGTATCAAAACTGCTCTGTCAAAAGGAAGGTTCTTCTCTGTTAGTTGAGTACATACGTCATAAAGGAGTTTCTGAGAATGTTTCTGTCTAGTGGTTATGGGAAGATATTTGCTTTTTCACCGTAGGCGTCAGAGCTCTCCAAATATCCACTTGCACATACTACAAAAAGAGTGCTTCAAAGCTGCTCTCTGAAACGGAATGTTCAAATCTATGAGTTGAATGCAAACATCACAAAGACGTTTCTGAGAATGCTTCTGTCTAGATTTGATATGAAGATATTCCCGTTTCCAACGAAATCTTCAAATCTATCCAAATGTCCACTTGCAGATTCAACAAAGTGTTTTTCAAAACTGCTGTATGAAAAGAAAGATCCACCACTGTTAGCTGAGTTCACACTTCACAAACAAGTTTATCAGAATGCTTCTGTCTAGTTTTTATTTGAAGATATTTCCTTTCTCACCATAGACCTGAAAGCTGTCCTAATGTTCACTTCCAGTTACTACAGAAAGAGTGTTTCAAAACTGCTGTACGAAAGGGAATGTTGAACTCTGTGACTTGAATGCACACATCACAAAGAAGGTTCTGAGGATGCTGCTGTCTACATTTTATACGTAATCCCGTTTCCAACGAAATCCTCCAAGCTATCCAAATATCCACTTGCAGATTCCACAGAAAGACTGTTTCAAAACTGCTCTGTCAATAGAAAGGTTCAACTCTGTTAGCTGCGTCCATATATCCCAAAGAAGATTCTGAGATTGCTTCTGTCTAGTTTTTATGGGAAGATATTTCCCTTTTCACCGTAGGTGTCAAGGCGCTCCAAATGTCCACTTCCAGATTCTACAAAAAGAGTGTTTCAAACCTACTCTGTGAAAGGGAATATTCAACTCTGTGACTTGAATGCACATATCACAAGGAAGTTTCTGAGAATGCTTCTGTCGAGATTTCATATGAAGATATTCCCGTTTCCAACGAAATCCTGAAATCTATCCAAATATCCCCTCACAGATTCTACAAAAAGAGTGTTTCAAAACTGCTCTGTAAAAAGAAAGGTTCAACTCTGTTAGTTCAGTACACACATCACAAACAAGTTTCACAGAATGCTTCTTTCTAGCTTGTAGGGGAAGATATTCCCTTTATCACCATGGGCCTAAAACCGTCCGAAACATCCACTTCCATATACTACAAAAAGAGCGTTTCAAACCTGCTCTAGGAAAGGCAATGTTCAACTCTGTGACTTGAAAGCAGACATCACAGAGCAGTTTCTGAGAATGCTTCTGTCTAGATTTCATAGGAAGATATTCCCGTTTCCAACGAAATCTTCACAGCTATCCCAATATCCACTTGCAGATTCTACAAAAAGAGTGTATCAAAACTGCTCTGTCAAAAGGAAGGTTCTTCTCTGTTAGGTGAGTGCATACGTCATAAAGGAGTTTCTGAGAATGTTTCTGTCTAGTGGTTATGGGAAGATATTTGCTTTTTCCCCATAGGCCTCAGGGCGCTCCAAATGTCCACTTGCACATGCTACAAAAAGAGTGCTTCAAAGCTGCTCTCTGAAAGGGAATGTTCAACTCTATGAGTTGAATGCAAACATCACAAAGACGTTTCTGAGAATGCTTCTGTCTAGATTTGATATGAAGATATTCCCGTTTCCAACGAAATCTTCAAATCTATCCAAATGTCCACTTGCAGATTCAACAAAGTGTTTTTCAAAACTGCTGTATCAAAAGAAAGATCCACCACTGTTAGCTGAGTTCACACTTCACAAACAAGTTTATTAGAATGCTTCTGTCTAGTTTTTATTTGAAGATATTTCCTTTCTCACCATAGACCTGAAAGCTGTCCTAATGTTCACTTCCAGATACTACAGAAAGAGTGTTTCAAAACTGCTGTACGAAAGGGAATGTTCAACTGCTGTGACTTGAATGCACACATCACAAAGAAGTTTCTGAGGATGCTGCTGTCTACTTTTTATACGTAATCCTGTTTCCAACGAAATCCTCCAAGCTATCCAAATATCCACTGGCAGATTCCACAGAAAGACTGTTTCAAAACTGCTGTCAATAGAAAGGTTCAACTCTGTTAGCTGCGTGCATATATCCCAAAGAAGATTCTGAGATTGCTTCTGTCTAGTTTTTATGGGAAGATATTTCCCTTTTCACCGTAGGCGTCAAGGCGCTCCAAATGTCCACTTCCAGATACTACAAAAAGAGTGTTTCAAACCTACTCTGTGAAAGGGAATATTCAACTCTGTGACTTGAATGCACATATCACAAAGAAGTTTACTGAGAATGCTTCTGTCGAGATTTTATATGAAGATATTCCCGTTTCCAACGAAATCCTGAAATCTCTCCAAATATCCCCTCGCAGATTCTACAAAAAGAGTGTTTCAAAACTGCTCTGTAAAAAGAAAGGTTCAACTCTGTTAGTTGAGTACACACATCACAAACAAGTTTCACAGAATGCTTCTTTCTAGCTTGTAGGGGAAGATATTCCCTTTATCACCATGGGCCTCAAACCGTCCAAAACGTCCACTTCCATATACTACAAAAAGAGCGTTTCAAACCTGCTCTAGGAAAGGCAATGTTCAACTCTGTGACTTGAATGCAGACATCACAGAGCAGTTTCTGAGAATGCTTCTGTCTAGATTTTATAGGAAGATATTCCCGTTTCCAACGAAATCTTCACAGCTATCCAAATATCCACTTGCAGATTCTACAAAAAGAGTGTATCAAAACTCCTCTGTCAAAAGGAAGGTTCTTCTCTGTTAGTTGAGTACATACGTCATAAAGGAGTTTCTGAGAATGTTTCTGTCTAGTGGTTATGGGAAGATATTTGCTTTTTCACCGTAGGCCTCAGAGCACTCCAAATATCCACTTGCACATACTACAAAAAGAGTGTCTCAAAGCTGCTCTCTGAAACGGAATGTTCAACTCTATGAGTTGAATGCAAACATCGCAAAGACGTTTCTGAGAATGCTTCTGTCTAGATTTGATATGAAGATATTCCCGTTTCCAACGAAATCTTCAAATCTATCCAAATGTCCACTTGCAGATTCAACAAAAAGTGTTTTTCAGAACTGCTCAATCAAAAGAAAGATCCACCTCTGTTAGCTGAGTTCACACTTCACAAACAAGTTTATCAGAATGCTTCTGTCTAGTTTTTATTTGAAGATATTTCCTTTCTCACCATAGACCTGAAAGCTCTCCTAATGTTCACTTCCAGATACTACAGAAAGAGTGTTTCAAAACTGCTGTACGAAAGGGAATGTTCAACTCTGTGACTTGAATGCACACATCACAAAGAAGTTTCTGAGGATGCTGCTGTCTACTTTTTATACGTAATCCCGTTTCCAACGAAATCCTCCAAGCTATCCAAATATCCACTTGCAGATTCCACAGAAAGACTGTTTCAAAACTGCTCTGTCAATAGAAAGGTTGAACTCTGTTAGCTGCGTGCATATATCCCAAAGAAGATTCTGAGATTGCTTCTGTCTAGTTTTTATGGGAAGATATTTCCCTTGTCACCGTAGGCGTCAAGGCACTCCAAATGTCCACTTCCAGATACTACAAAAAGAGTGTTTCAAACCTACTCTGTGAAAGGGAATATTCAACTCTGTGACTTGAAGGCAGATATCACAAAGAAGTTTCTGAGAATGCTTCTGTCGAGATTTTATATGAAGATATTCCCGTTTCCAACGAAATCCTGAAATCTATCCAAATATCCCGTCGCAGATTCTACAGAAAGAGTGTTTCAAAACTGCTCTGTAAAAAGAAAGGTTCAACTCTGTTACTTGAGTACACACATCACAAACAAGTTTCACAGAATGCTTCTTTCTAGCTTATAGGGGAAGATATTCCCTTTATCACCATGGGCCTCAGACCGTCCGAAACGTCCACTTCCATATACTACAAAAAGAGCGTTTCAAACCTGCTCTATGAAAGGCAATGTTCAACTCTGTGACTTGAATGCAGACATCACAGAGCAGTTTCTGAGAAGTGCTTCTGTCTAGATTTTATAGGAAGATATTCCCGTTTCCAACGAAATCTTCACAGCTATCCCAATATCCACTTGCAGATTCTACAAAAAGAGTGTATCAAAACTGCTCTGTCAAAAGGAAGGTTCTTCTCTGTTAGATGAGTACACACGTCATAAAGGAGTTTCTGAGAATGTTTCTGTCTAGTGGTTATGGGAAGATATTTGCTTTTTCACCGTAGGCCTCAGAGCGCTCCAAATATCCACTTGCACATACTACAAAAATGAGTGCCTCAAAGCTGCTCTCTGAAACGGAATGTTCAACTCTATGAGTTGAATGCAAACATCACAAAGACGTCTCTGAGAATGCTTCTGTCTAGATTTGATATGAAGATATTCCCGTTTCCAACGAAATCTTCAAATCTATCCAAATGTCCACTTGCAGATTCAACAAAAAGTGTTTTTCAGAACTGCTCTATCAAAAGAAAGATCCATCTCTGTTAGCTGAGTTCACACATCACAAACAAGTTTATGAGAATGCTTCTGTCTAGTTTTTATTTGAAGATATTTCCTTTCTCACCATAGACCTGAAAGCTGTCCTAATGTTCACTTCCAGATACTACAGAAAGGGTGTTTCAAAACTGCTGTACGAAAGGGAATGTTCAACTCTGTGACTTGAATGCACACATCACAAAAAAGTTTCTGAGGATGCTGCTGTCTACTTTTTATACGTAATCCCGTTTCCAACGAAATCCTCTAATCTATCCAAATATCCACTTGCAGATTCCACAGCAAGACTGTTTCAAAATTGCTCTGTCAATAAAAAGGTTCAACTCTGTTAGCTGCGTGCATATATCCCAAAGAAGATTCTGAGATTGCTTCTGTCTAGTTTTTATGGGAAGATATTTCCCTTTTCACTGTAGGCGTCAAGGCGCTAAAAATGTCCACTTCCAGATACTACAAAAAGAGTGTTTCAAACCTACTCTGTGAAAGGGAATATTCAACTCTGTGACTTGAATGCACATACCACAAAGAAGTTTCTGAGAATGCTTCTGTCCAGATTTTATATGAAGATATTCCCCTTTCCAACGAAATCCTGAAATCTATCCAAATATCCCCTCGCAGATTCTACAAAAAGAGTGTTTCAAAACTGCTCTGTAAAAAGAAAGGTTCAACTCTGTTAGTTGAGTACACACATCACAAACAAGTTTCACAGAATGCTTCTTTCTAGCTAGTAGGGGAAGATATTCCCTTTATCACCATGGGCCTCAAACCGTCCGAAACGTCCACTTCCATGTACTACAAAAAGAGCGTTTCAAACCTGCTCTATGAAAGGCAATGTTCAACTCTGTGACTTGAATGCAGACATCACAGAGCAGTTTCTGAGAATGCTTCTGTCTAGATTTTATAGGAAGATACTCCCGTTTCCAACGAAATCTTCACAGCTATCCAAATATCCACTTGCAGATTCTACAAAATGAGTTTATCAAAACTGCTCTGTCAAAAGGAAGGTTCTTCTCTGTTAGGTGAGTGCATACGTCATAAAGGAGTTTCTGAGAATGTTTCTGTGTAGTGGTTATGGGAAGATATTTGCTTTTTCACCTTAGGCCTCAGAGCGCTCCATATATCCCCATGCACATACTACAAAAAGAATGCTTCAAAGCTGCTCTCTGAAACGGAATGTTCAACTCTATGAGTTGAATGCAAACATCACAAAGACGTTTCCAAGAATGCTTCTGTCTAGATTTGATATGAAGATATTACCGTTTCCAACGAAATCTTCATATCTATCCAAATGTCCACTTGCAGATTCAACAAAAAGTGTTTTTCAAAACTGCTGTATCAAAAGAAAGATCCACGTCTGTTAGCTGAGTTCACACATCACAAACAAGTTTATGAGAATGCTTCTGTCTAGTTTTTATTTGAAGATATTCCCTTTCTCACCATCGACCTGAAAGCTGTCCTAATGTTCACTTCCAGATACTACAGAAAGAGTGTTTCAAAACTGCTGTACGAAAGGGAATGTTCAACTCTGTGACTTGAATGCACACATCACAAAGAAGTTTCTGAGGATGCTGCTGTCTACTTTTTATACGTAATCCCATTTCCAAAGAAATCCTCCAAGCTATCCAAATATCCACTTGCAGATTCCACAGAAAGACTGTTTCAAAACTGCTCTGTCAATAGAAAGGTTCAACTCTGTTAGTTGCGTGCATATATCCCAAAGAAGATTCTGAGATTGCTTTCTGTCTACTTTTTATGAGAAGATATTTCCCTTTTCACCGTAGGCCTCAAGGCGCTCCAAATGTCCACTTCCAGATACTACAAAAAGAGTGTTTCAAACCTACTCTGTGAAAGGGAATATTCAACTCTGTGACTTGAATGCACATATCACAAAGAAGTTTCTGAGAATGCTTCTGTCGAGATTTTATATGAAGATATTCCCGTTTCCAACGAAATCCTGAAATCTATCCAAATATCCCCTCGCAGATTCTACAAAAAGAGTGTTTCAAAACTGCTCTGTAAAAAGAAAGGTTCAACTCTGTTAGTTTAGTACACACATCACAAACAAGTTTCACAGAATGCTTCTTTCTAGCTTGTAGGGGAAGATATTCCCTTTATCACCATGGGCCTCCAACCGTCCGAAACATCCACTTCCATATACTACAAAAAGAGCGTTTCAAACCTGCTCTAGGAAAGGCAATGTTCAACTCTGTGACTTGAATGCAGACATCACAGAGCAGTTTCTGAGAATGCTTCTGTCTAGATTTTATAGGAAGATATTCCCGTTTCCAACGAAATCTTCACAGCTATCCAAATATCCACTTGCAGATCCTACAAAAAGAGTGTATCAAAACTGCTCTGTCAAAAGGAAGGTTATTCTCTGTTAGGTGAGTGCATACGTCATAAAGGAGTTTCTGAGAATGTTTCTGTCTAGTCGTTATGGGAAGATATTTGCTTTTTCACCGTAGGCCTCAGAGCGCTCCAAATATCCACTTGCACATACTACAAAAAGAGTGCCTCAAAGCTGGTCTCTGAAACGGAATGTTCAACTCTATGAGTTGAATGCAAACATCACAAAGACGTTTCTGAGAATGCTTCTGTCTAGATTTGATATGAAGATATTCCCTTTTCCAACGAAATCTTCAAATCTATCCAAATGTCCACTTGCAGATTCAACAAAACGTGTTTTTCAGAACTGCTCTATCAAAAGAAAGATCCACCTCTGTTAGCTGAGTTCACACATCACAAACAAGTTTATGAGAATGCTTCTGTCTAGTTTTTATTTGAAGATATTTCCTTTCTCACCATAGACCTGAAAGCTGTCCTAATGTTCACTTCCAGATACTACAGAAAGAGTGTTTCAAAACTGCTGTACGAAAGAGAATGTTCAACTCTGTGACTTGAATGCACACATCACAAAGAAGTTTCTGAGGATGCTGCTGTCTACTTTTTATACGTAATCCCGTTTCCAACGAAATCCTCCAAGCTATCCAAATATCCACTTGCAGATTCCACAGAAAGACTGTTTCAAAACTGCTCTGTCAATAGAAAGGTTCAACTCTGTTAGCTGCGTGCATATATCCCAAAGAAGATTCTGAGATTGCTTTCTGTCTAGTTTTTATGGGAAGATATTTCCCTTTTCACCGTAGGCGTCAAGGCGCTCCAAATGTCCACTTCCAGATACTACAAAAAGAGTGTTTCAAACCTACTCTGTGAAAGGGAATGTTCAACTCTGTGACTTGAGTGCACATATCACAAAGAAGCTTCTGAGAATGCTTCTGTCGAGATTTTATATGAAGATATTCCCGTTTCCAACGAAATCCTAAAATCTATCCAAATATTCCCTCGCAGATTCTACAAAAAGAGTGTTTCAAAACTGCTCTGTAAAAAGAAAGGTTCAACTCTGTTAGTTGAGTACACACATCACAAACAAGTTTCACAGAATGCTTCTTTCTAGCTTGTAGGGGAAGATATTCCCTTTAACACCATGGGCCTCAAACCGTCTGAAACGTCCACTTCCATATACTACAAAAAGAGCGTTTCAAACCTGCTCTATGAAAGGCAATGTTCAACTCTGTGACTTGAATGCAGACATCACAGAGCAGTTTCTGAGAATGCTTCTGTGTAGATTTTATAGGAAGATATTCCCGTTTCCAACGAAATCTTCACAGCTATCCAAATATCCACTTGCAGATTCTACAAAAAGAGTGTATCAAAACTGCTCTGTCAAAAGGAAGGTTCTTTTCTGTTAGGTGAGTGCATACGTCATAAAGGAGTTTCTGAGAATGTTTCTGTCTAGTGGTTATGGGAAGATATTTGCTTTTTCACCGTAGGCCTCAGAGCACTCCAAATATCCCCTTGCACATACTACAAAAAGAGTGCTTCAAAGCTGCTCTCTGAAAGGGAATGTTCAACTCTGTGAGTTGAATGCAAACATCACAAAGACGTTTCTGAGAATGCTTCTGTCTAGATTTGATATGAAGATATTCCCGTTTCCAACGAAATCTTCAAATCTATCCAAATGTCCACTTGCAGATTCAACAAAAAGTGTTTTTCAGAACTGCTCTATCAAAAGAAAAATCCACCTCTGTTAGCTGAGTTCACACATCACAAACAAGTTTATGAGAATGCTTCTGTCTAGTTTTTATTTGAAGATATTTCCTTTCTCACCATAGACCTGAAAGCTGTCCTAATGTTCACTTCCAGATGCTACAGAAAGAGTGTTTCAATACTGCTGTACGAAAGGGAATGTTCAACTCTGTGACTTGAATGCACACATCACAAAGAAGTTTCTGAGGATGCTGCTGTCTACTTTTTATGCGTAATCCCGTTTCCAACGAAATCCTCCAAGCTATCCCAATATCCACTTGCAGATTCCACAGAAAGACTGTTTCAAAACTGCTCTGTCAATAGAAAGGTTCAACTCTGTTAGCTGCGTGCATATATCCCAAAGAAGATTCTGAGATTGCTTTCTGTCTACTTTTTATGAGAAGATATTTCCCTTTTCACCGTAGGCGTCAAGGCGCTCCAAATGTCCACTTCCAGATACTACAAAAAGAGTGTTTCAAACCTACTCTGTGAAAGGGAATATTCAACTCTGTGACTTGAATGCAGATATCACAAAGAAGTTTCTGAGAATGCTTCTGTCGAGATTTTATATGAAGATATTCCCTTTTCCAACGAAATCCTGAAATCTATCCAAATATCCCCTCGCAGATTCTACAAAAAGAGTGTTTCAAAACTGCTCTGTAAAAAGAAAGGTTCAACTCTGTTAGCTGAGTACACACATCACAAACAAGTTTCACAGAATGTTTCTTTCTAGCTTGTAGGGGAAGATATTCCCTTTATCACCATGGGCCTCAAACCGTCTGAAACTTCCACTTCCATATACTACAAAAAGAGCATTTCAAACCTGCTCTATGAAAGGCAATGTTCAACTCTGTGACTTGAATGCAGACATCACAGAGCAGTTTCTGAGAATGCTTCTGTCTAGATTTTATAGGAAGATATTCCCGTTTCCAACGAAATCTTCACAGCTATCCAAATATAAACTTGCAGATTCTACAAAAAGAGTGTATCAAAACTGCTCTGTCAAAAGGAAGGTTCTTCTCTGTTAGGTGAGTGCATACATCATAAAGGAGTTCCTGAGAATGTTTCTGTCTAGTGGTTATGGGAAGATATTTGCTTTTTCCCCGTAGGCCTCAGAGCGCTCCAAATATCCACTTGCACATACTGCAAAAAGAGTGCTTCAAAGCTGCTCTCTGAAAGGGAATGTTCAACTCTATGAGTTGAATGCAAACATCACAAAGACGTTTCTGAGAATGCTTCTGTCTAGATTTGATATGAAGATATTCCCGTTTCCAACGAAATCTTCAAATCTATCCAAATGTCCACTTGCAGATTCAACAAAAAGTGTTTTTCAGAACTGCTCTATCAAAAGAAAGATTCACCTCTGTTAGCTGAGTTCACACTTCACAAACAAGTTTATGAGAATGCTTTTGTCTAGTTTTTATTTGAAGATATTTTCTTTCTCACCATAGACCTGAAAGCTGTCCTAATGTTCACTTCCAGATACTACAGAAAGAGTGTTTCAAAACTGCTGTACGAAAGGGAATGTTCAACTCTGTGACTTGAATGCACACATCACAAAGAAGTTTCTGAGGATGCTGCTGTCTACTTTTTATACGTAATACCGTTTCCAACGAAATCCTCCAAGCTATCCAAATATCCACTTGCAGATTCCACAGAAAGACTGTTTCAAAACTGCTCTGTCAATAGAAAGGTTCAACTCTGTTAGCTGCGTGCATATATCCCAAAGAAGATTCTGAGATTGCTTCTGTCTACTTTTTATGAGAAGATATTTCCCTTTTCACCGTAGGCATCAAGGCGCTCCAAATGTCCACTTCCAGATACTAGAAAAAGAGTGTTTCAAACCTACTCTGTGAAAGGGAATATTCAACTCTGTGACTTGAATGCACATATCACAAAGAAGCTTCCGAGAATGCTTCTGTCGAGATTTTATATAAAGATATTCCGGTTTCCAACAAAATCCTGAAATCTATCCAAATATCCCCTCGCAGATTCTACAAAAAGAGTGTTTCAAAACTGCTCTGTAAAAAGAAAGGTTCAACTCTGTTAGTTGAGTACACACATAACAAACAAGTTTCACAGAATGCTTCTTTCTAGCTTGTAGGGGAAGATATTCCCTTTATCACCATGGGCCTCCAACCGTCCGAAACGTCCACTTCCATATACTACAAAAAGAGCCTTTCAAACCTGCTCTATGAAAGGCAATGTTCAACTCTGTGACTTGAATGCAGACATCACAGAGCAGTTTCTGAGAATGCTTCTGTCTAGATTTTATAGGAAGATATTCCCGTTTCCAACGAAATATTCACAGGTATCAAAATATCCACTTGCAGATTCTACAAAAAGAGTGTATCAAAACTGCTCTGTCAAAAGGAAGGTTCTTCTCTGTTAGGTGAGTGCATACGTCATAAAGGAGTTTCTGAGAATGTTTTCTGTCTAGTCGTTATGGGAAGATATTTGCTTTTTCACCGTAGGCCTCAGAGCGCTCCAAATATCCACTTGCACATACTACAAAAAGAGTGCTTCAAAGCTGGTCTCTGAAACGGAATGTTCAACTCTATGAGTTGAATGCAAACATCACAAAGACGTTTACTGAGAATGCTTCTGTCTAGATTTGATATGAAGATATTCCCGTTTCCAAGGAAATCTTCAAATCTATCCAAATGTCCACTTTCAGATTCAACAAAAAGTGTTTTTCAAAACTGCTGTATCAAAAGAAAGATCCACGTCTGTTAGCTGAGTTCACACATCACAAACAAGTTTATGAGAATGCTTCTGTCTAGTTTTTATTTGAAGATATTACCTTTCTCACCATAGAGCTGAAAGCTGTCCTAATGTTCACTTCCAGATACTCCAGAAAGAGTGTTTCAAAACTGCTGTACGAAAGGGAATGTTCAACTCTGTGACTTGAATGCACACATCACAAAGAAGTTTCTGAGGATGCTGCTGTCTACTTTTTATACCTAATCCCGTTTCCAACGAAATCCTCCAAGCTATCCAAATATCCACTTGCAGATTCCACAGAAAGACTGTTTCAAAACTGCTCTGTCAATAGAAAGGTTCAACTCTGTTAGCTGCGTGCATATATCCCAAAGATGATTCTGAGATTTCTTCTGTCTAGTTTTTATGAGAAGATATTTCCCTTTTCACCGTAGGCGTCAAGGCGCTCCAAATGTCCACTTCCAGATACTACAAAAAGAGTGTTTCAAACCTACTCTGTAAAAGGGAATATTCAACTCTGTGACTTGAATGCACATATCACAAAGAAGTTTCTGAGAATGCTCTGTCGAGATTTTATATGAAGATATTCCCGTTTCCAACGAAATCCTGAAATCTATCCAAATATCCCCTCGCAGATTCTACAAAAAGAGTGTTTCAAAACTGCTCTGTAAAAAGAAAGGTTCAACTCTGTTAGTTGAGTACACACATCACAAACAAGTTCACAGAATGCTCTCTTTCTAGCTTGCAGGGGAAGATATTCCCTTTATCACCATGGGCCTCCAACCGTCCGAAACATCCACTTCCATATACTACAAAAAGAGCGTTTCAAACCTGCTCTATGAAAGGCAATGTTCAACTCTGTGACTTGAATGCAGACATCACAGAGCAGTTTCTGAGAATGCTTCTGTCTAGATTTTATAGGAAGATATTCCCGTTTCCAACGAAATCTTCACAGCTATCCAAATATCCACTTGCAGATTCTACAAAAAGAGTGTATCAGAACTGCTCTGTCAAAAGGAAGGTTCTTTTCTGTTAGGTGAGTGCATACGTCATAAAGGAGTTTCTGAGAATGTTTCTGTCTAGTGGTTATGGGAAGATATTTGCTTTTTCACCGTAGGCCTCAGAGCGCTCCAAATATCCACTTGCACATACTACAAAAAGAGTGCTTCAAACCTGCTCTCTGAAACAGAATGTTCAACTCTATGAGTTGAATGCAAACATCACAAAGACGTTTCTGAGAATGCTTCTGTCTAGATTTGATATGAAGATATTCCCGTTTCCAACGAAATCTTCAAATCTATCCAAATATCCACTTGCATAATCAACAAAAAGTGTTTTTCACAACTGCTCTATCAAAAGAAAGATCCACCTCTGTTAGCTGAGTTCACACATCACAAACAAGTTTATGAGAATGCTTCTGTCTAGTTTTTATTTGAAGATATTTCCTTTCTCACCATAGACCTGAAAGCTGTCCTAATGTTCACTTCCAGATACTACAGAAAGAGTGTTTCAAAACTGCTGTATGAAAGGGAATGTTCAACTCTGTGACTTGAATGCACACATCACAAAGAAGTTTCTGAGGATGCTGCTGTCTACTTTTCATACTTAATCCCGTTTCCAACGAAATCCTCCAAGCTATCCAAATATCCACTTGCAGATTCCACAGAAAGACTGTTTCAAAACCGCTCTGTCAATAGAAAGGTTCAACTCTGTTAGCTGCGTGCATATATCCCAAAGAAGATTCTGAGATTGCTTCTGTCTAGTTTTTATGGGTAGATATTTCCCTTTTCACAGTAGGTGTCAAGGCGCTCCAAATGTCCACTTCCAGATACTACAAAAAGAGTGTTTCAAACCTACTCTGTGAAAGGGAATATTCAACTCTGTGACTTCAATGCACATATCACAAGGAAGTTTCTGAGAATGCTTCTGTCGAGATTTTAAATGAAGATATTCCCGTTTCCAACGAAATCCTGAAATCTATCCAAATATCCCCTCGCAGATTCTACAAAAAGAGTGTTTCTAAACTGCTCTGTAAAATGAAAGGTTCAACTCTGTTAGTTGAGTACACACATCACAAACAAGTTTCACAGAATGCTTCTTTCTAGCTTGTAGGGGAAGATATTCCCTTTATCACCATGGGCCTCCAACCGTCCGAAACATCCACTTCCATATACTACAAAAAGAGCGTTTCAAACCTGCTCTATGAAAGGCAATGTTCAACTCTGTGACTTGAATGCAGACATCACAGAGCAGTTTCTGAGAATGCTTATCTGTCTAGATTTTATAGGAAGATATTCCCGTTTCCAACGAAATCTTCACAGCTATCCAAATATCCACTTGCAGATTCTACAAAAAGAGTGTATCAAAACTGCTCTGTCAAAAGGAAGGTTCTTTTCTGTTAGGTGAGTGCATACGTCATAAAGGAGTTTCTGAGAATGTTCTGTCTAGTGGTTATGGGAAGATATTTGCTTTTTCACCGTAGGCCTCAGAGCGCTCCAAATATCCACTTGCACATACTACAAAAAGAGTGCTTCAAAGCTGTTCTTTGAAAGGGAATGTTCAACTCTATGAGTTGAATGCAAACATCACAAAGACGTTTCTGAGAATGCTTCTTTCTAGATTTGATATGAAGATATTCCCGTTTCCAACGAAATCTTCAAATCTATCCAAATGTCCACTTGCAGATTCAACAAAACGTGTTTTTCAGAACTGCTCTATCAAAAGAAAGATCCACCTCTGTTAGCTGAGTTCACACATCACAAACAAGTTTATGAGAATGCTTCTGTCTAGTTTTTATTTAAAGATATTTCCTTTCTCACCATAGACCTGAAAGCTGTCCTAATGTTCACTTCCAGATACTACAGAAAGAGTGTTTCAAAACTGCTGTACGAAAGGGAATGTTCAACTCTGTGACTTGAATGCACACATCACAAAGAAATTTCTGAGGATGCTGCTGTCTACTTTTTATACGTAATCCCATTTCCAACGAAATCCTCCAAGCTATCCAAATATCCACTTGCAGATTCCACAGAAAGACTGTTTCAAAACTGCTATGTCAATAGAAAAGTTCAACTCAGTTAGCTGTGTGCATATATCCCAAAGAAAATTCTGAGATTGCTTCTGTCTAGTTTTTATGGGAAGATATTTCCCTTTTCACCGTAGGCGTCAAGGCGCTCCAAATGTCCACTTCCAGATACTACAAAAAGAGTGTTTCAAACCTACTCTGTGAAAGGGAATATTCAACTCTGTGACTTGAATGCACATAACACAAGGAAGTTTCTGAGAATGCTTCTGTCGAGATTTTATATGAAGATATTCCCGTTTCCAACGAAATCCTGAAATGTATCCAAATATCCCCTCGCAGATTATACAAAAAGAGTGTTTCAAAACTGCTCTGTAAAAAGAAAGGTTCAACTCTGTTAGTTGAGTACACACATCACAAACAAGTTTCACAGAATGCTTCTTTCTAGCTTGTAGGGGAAGATATTCCCTTTATCAACATGGGCCTCAAACCGTCCGAAACGTCCACTTCCATATACTACAAAAAGAGCGTTTCAAACCTGCTCTATGAAAGGCAATGTTCAACTCTGTGACTTGAATGCAGACATCACAGAGCAGTTTCTGAGAATGCTTCTGTCTAGATTTTATAGGAAGATATTCCCGTTTCCAACGAAATCTTCACAGCTATCCAAATATCCAGTTGCAGATTCTACAAAAAGAGTGTATCAAAACTGCTCTGTCAAAAGGAAGCTTCTTCTCTGTTAGGTGAGTGCATACGTCATAAAGGAGTTTCTGAGAATGTTTCAGTCTAGTGGTTATGGGAAGATATTTGCTTTTTCACCGCAGAGCTCACAGCGCTCCAAATATCCACTTGCACATACTACAAAAAGAGTGCTTCAAAGCTGCCCTCTGAAACGGAATGTTCAACTCTATGAGTTGAATGCAAACATCACAAAGACGTTTCTGAGAATGCTTCTGTCTAGATTTGATATGAAGATATTCCCGTTTCCAACGAAATCTTCAAATCTATCCAAATGTCCACTTGCAGATTCAACAAAAAGTGTTTTCCCGAACTGCTCTATCAAAAGAAAGATCCGCCTCTGTTAGCTGAGTCCACACATCACAAACAAGTTTACGAGAATGCTTCCGTCTAGTTTTTAATTGAAGATATTTCCTTTCTCACCATAGACCTGAAAGCTGTCCTAATGTTCACTTCCAGTTACTACAGAAAGAGTGTTTCAAAACTGCTGTACGAAAGGGAATGTTCAACTCTGTGACTTGAATGCACACATCACAAAGAAGTTTCTGAGGATGCTGCTGTCTACTTTTTATACGTAATCCCGTTTCCAACGAAATCCTCCAAGCTATCCAAATATCCACTTGCAGATTCTACAGAAAGACTGTTTCAAAACTGCTCTGTCAATAGAAAGGTTCAACTCTGTTAGCTGTGTGCATATATCCCAAAGAAGATTCTGAGATTGCTTCTGTCTACTTTTTATGAGAAGATATTTTCCCTTTTCACCGTAGGTGTCAAGGCGCTCCAAATGTCCACTTCCAGATACTACAAAAAGAGTGTTTCAAACCTACTCTGTGAAAGGGAATATTCAACTCTGTGACTTGAATGCACATATCACAAAGAAGTTTCTGAGAATGCTTCTGTCGAGATTTTATATGAAGATATTCCCGTTTCCAACGAAACCCTGAAATCTATCCAAATATCCCCTCGCAGATTCTACAAAAAGAGTGTTTCAAAACTGCTCTGTAAAAAGAAAGGTTCAACTCTGTTAGTTGAGTACACACATTACAAACCAGTTTCACAGAATGCTTCTTTCTAGCTTGTAGGGGAAGATATTCCCTTTAACACCATGGGCCTCAAACCGTCCGAAACGTCCACTTCCATATACTACAAAAAGAGCGTTTCAAACCTACTCTATGAAAGGCAATGTTCAACTCTGTGACTTGAATGCAGACATCACAGAGCAGTTTCTGAGAATGCTTCTGTCTAGATTTTATAGGAAGATATTCCCGTTTCCAACGAAATCTTCACAGCTATCCAAATATCCACTTGCAGATACTACAAAAAGAGTGTATCAAAACTGCTCTGTCAAAAGGAAGGTTCTTCTCTGTTAGGTGAGTGCATACGTCATAAAGGAGTTTCTGAGAATGTTTCTGTCTAGTGGTTATGGGAAGATATTTGCTTTTTCCCGTAGGCCTCAGGGCGCTCCAAATGTCCACTTGCACATGCTACAAAAAGAGTGCTTCAAAGCTGCTCTCTGAAAGGGAATGTTCAACTCTATGAGTTGAATGCAAACATCACAAAGACGTTTCTGAGAATGCTTCTGTCTAGATTTGATATGAAGATATTCCCGTTTCCAACGAAATCTTCAAATCTATCCAAATGTCCACTTGCAGATTCAACAAAAAGTGTTTTTCAAAACTGCTCTATCTAAAGAAAGATCCACGTCTGTTAGCTGAGTTCACACATCACAAACAAGTTTATGAGAATGCTTTCTGTCTAGTTTTTATTTGAAGATATTTCCTTTCTCACCATAGACCTGAAAGCTGTCCTAATGTTCACTTCCAGATACTACAGAAAGAGTGTTTCAAAACTGCTGTACGAAAGGGAATGTTCAACTCTGGGACTTGAATGCATACATCACAAAGAAGTTTCTGAGGATGCTGCTGTCTACTTTTTATACGTAATCCCGTTTCCAAAGAAATCCTCCAAGCTATCCAAATATCCACTTGCAGATTCCACAAAAAGACTGTTTCAAAACTGCTCTGTCAATAGAAAGGTTCAACTCTGTTAGCTGCGTGCATATATCCCAAAGAAGATTCTGAGATTGCTTCTGTCTACTTTTTATGAGAAGATATTTCCCTTTTCACTGTAGGTGTCAAGGCGCTCCAAATGTCCACTTCCAGATACTACAAAAAGAGTGTTTCAAACCTACTCTGTGAAAGGGAATATTCAACTCTGTGACTTGAATGCACATATCACAAAGAAGTTTCTGAGAATGCTTCTGTCGAGATTTTATATGAAGATATTCCCGTTTCCAACGAAATCCTGAAACCTATCCAAATATCCCCTCGCAGATTCTACAAAAAGAGTGTTTCAAAACTGCTCTGTAAAAAGAAAGGTTCAACTCTTTTAGTTGAGTACACACATCACAAACAAGTTTCACAGAATGCTTCTTTCTAGCTTGTAGGGGAAGATATTCCCTAAAACACCATGGGCCTCAAACCGTCCGAAACGTCCACTTCCATATACTACAAAAAGAGTGTTTCAAACCTGCTCTATGAAAGGCAATGTTCAACTCTGTGACTTGAATGCAGACAACACAGAGCAGTTTCTGAGAATGCTTCTGTCCAGACTTTATAGGAAGATATTCCCGTTTCCAATGAAATCTTCACAGCTATCCAAGTATCCACTTGCAGATACTACAAAAGAGTGTATCAAAACTGCTCTGTCAAAAGGAAGGTTCTTCTCTGTTAGTTGAGTACATACGTCATAAAGGAGTTTCTGAGAATGTTTCTGTCTAGTGGTTATGGGAAGATATTTGCTTTTTCACCGTAGGCCTCAGAGGGCTCAAAATATCCACTTGCACATACTACAAAAAGAGTGCCTCAAAGCTGCTCTCTGAAACGGAATGTGCAACTCTATGAGTTGAATGCAAACATCGCAAAGACGTTTCTGAGAATGCTTCTGTCTAGATTTGATATGAAGATATTCCCGTTTCCAACGAAATCTTCAAATCTATCCAAATGTCCACTTGCAGATTCAACAAAGTGTTTTTCAAAACTGCTGTATCAAAAGAAAGATCCACCTCTGTTAGCTGAGTTCACACTTCACAAACAAGTTTATCAGAAAGCTTCTGTCTAGTATTTATTTGAAGATATTTCCCTTCTCACCATAGACCTGAAAGCTGTCCTAATGTTCACTTCCAGATACTACAGAAAGAGTGTTTCAAAACTGCTGTACGAAAGGGAATGTTCAACTCTGTGACTTGAATGCACACATCACAAAGAAGTTTCTGAGGATGCTGCTGTCTACTTTTTATACGTAATCCCGTTTCCAACGAAATCCTCCAAGCTATCCAAATATCCACTTGCAGATTCCACAGAAAGACTGTTTCAAAACTGCTCTGTCAATAGAAAGGTTCAACTCTGTTAGCTGCGTGCATATATCCCAAAGAAGATTCTGAGATTGCTCTGTCTAGTTTTTATGGGAAGATATTTCCCTTTTCACCGTAGGCGTCAAGGCGCTCCAAATGTCCACTTCCAGATACTACAAAAAGAGTGTTTCAAACCTACTCTGTGAAAGGGAATATTCAACTCGGTGACTTGAATGGAGATATCACAAAGAACTTTCTGAGAATGCTTCTGTCGAGATTTTATATGAAGATATTCCCGTTTCCAACGAAATCCTGAAATCTATCCAAATATCCCCTCGCAGATTCTATAAAAAGAGTGTTTCAAAACTGCTCTGTAAAAAGAAAGGTTCAACTCTGTTAGTTGAGTACACACATCACAAAGAAGTTTCACAGAATGCTTCTTTCTAGCTTGTAGGGGAAGATATTCCCTTTATCACCATGGGCCTCAAACCGTCCGAACCGTCCACTTCCATATACTACAAAAAGAGCGTTTCAAACCTGCTCTAGGAAAGGCAATGTTCAACTCTGTGACTTGAATGCAGACATCACAGAGCAGTTTCTGAGAATGCTTCTGTCTAGATTTTATAGGAAGATATTCCCGTTTCCAACGAAATCTTCACAGCTATCCATATATCCACTTGCAGATTCTACAAAAAGAGTGTATCAAAACTGCTCTGTCAAAAGGAGGGTTCTTCTCTGTTAGTTGAGTACATACGTCATAAAGGATTTTCTGAGAATGTTTCTGTCTAGTGGTTATGGGAAGATATTTGCTTTTTCACTGTAGGCCTCACAGCGCTCCAAATATCCACTTGCACATACTACAAAAAGAGTGCTTCAAAGCTGCTCTCTGAAACGGAATGTTCAACTCTATGAGTTGAATGCAAACATCACAAAGACGTTTCTGAGAATGCTTCTGTTTAGATTTGATATGAAGATATTCCCGTTTCCAACGAAATCTTCAAATCTATCCAAATATCCACTTGCAGATTCAACAAAAAGTGTTTTTCAGAACTGCTCTATCAAAAGAAAGATCCACCTCTGTTAGCTGAGTTCACACATCACAAACAAGTTTATGAGAATGCTTCTGTCTAGTTTTTATTTGAAGATATTTCCTTTCTCACCATAGACCTGAAAGCTGTCCTAATGTTCACTTCCAGATGCTACAGAAAGTGTGTTTCAAAACTGCTGTACGAAAGGGATTGTTCAACTCTGTGACTTGAATGCACACATCACAAAGAAGTTTCTGAGGATGCTGCTGTCTACTTTTTATACTTAATCCCGTTTCCAACGAAATCCTCCAAGCTATCCAAATATCCACTTGCAGATTCCACAGAAAGACTGTTTCAAAACTGGTCTGTCAATAGAAAGGTTCAACTCTGTTAGCTGCGTGCATATATCCCAAAGAAGATTCTGAGATTGCTTCTGTCCAGTTTTTATGGGAAGATATTTCCCTTTCCACCGTAGGCGTCAAGGCGCTCCAAATGTCCACTTCCAGATACTACAAAAAGAGTGTTTCAAACCTACTCTGTGAAAGGGAATATTCAACTCTGTGACTTGAATGCACATATCACAAAGAAGTTTCTGAGAATGCTTCTGTCGAGATTTTATATGAAGATATTACCGTTTCCAACGAAATCCTGAAATCTATCCAAATATCCCCTCACAGATTCTACAAAAAGAGTGTTTCAAAACTGCTCTGTAAAAAGAAAGGTTCAACTCTGTTAGTTGAGTACACACATCACAAACAAGTTTCACAGAATGCTTCTTTCTAGCTTGTAGGGGAAGATATTCCCTTTATCACCATGGGCCTCAAACGGTCCGAATCGTCTACTTCCATATAGTACAAAAAGAGCGTTTCAAACCTGCTCTATGAAAGGCAATGTTCAACTCTGTGACTTGAATGCAGACATCACAGAGCAGTTTCTGAGAATGCTTCTGTCTAGATTTCATAGGAAGATATTCCCGTTTCCAACGAAATCTTCACAGCTATCCAAATATCCACTTGCAGATTCTACAAAAAGAGTGTATCAAAACTGCTCTGTCAAAAGGAAGGTTCTTTTCTGTTAGGTGAGTGCATACGTCATAAAGGAGTTTCTGAGAATGTTTCTGTCTACTGGTTATGGGAAGATATTTGCTTTTTCACCGTAGGCCTCAGAGCGCTCCAAATATCCCCTTGCACATACTACAAAAAGAGTGCTTCAAAGCTGCTCTCTGAAAGGGAATGTTCAACTCTGTGAGTTGAATGCAAACATCACAAAGACGTTTCTGAGAATGCTTCTGTCTAGATTTGATATGAAGATATTCCCGTTTCCAACGAAATCTTCAAATCTATCCAAATGTCCACTTCCAGATTCAACAAAAAGTGTTTTTCAGAACTGCTCTATCAAAAGAAAGATCCACCTCTGTTAGCTGATTTCACACATCACAAACATGTTTATGACAATGCTTTTGTCTAGTTTTTATTTGAAGATATTTCCTTTCTCACCATAGACCTGAAAGCTGTCCTAATGTTCACTTCCAGTTACTACAGAAAGAGTGTTTCAAAACTGCTGTACGAAAGGGAATGTTCAACTCTGTGACTTGAATGCACACATCACAAAGAAGTTTCTGAGGATGCTGCTGTCTACTTTTTATACTTAATCCCGTTTCCAACGAAATCCTCCAAGCTATCCAAATATCCACTTGCAGATTCCACAGAAAGACTGTTTCAAAACCGCTCTGTCAATAGAAAGGTTCAACTCTGTTAGCTGCGTGCATATATCCCAAAGAAGATTCTGAGATTGCTTCTGTCTAGTTTTTATGGGAAGATATTTCCCTTTTCACCGTAGGTGTCAAGGCGCTCAAAATGTCCACTTCCAGATACTACAAAAAGAGTGTTTCAAACCTACTCTGTGAAAGGGAATATTCAACTCTGTGACTTGAATGCAGATATCACAAAGAAGTTTACTGAGAATGCTTCTGTCGAGATTTTATATGAAGATATTCCCGTTTCCAACGAAATCCTGAAATCTATCCAAATATCCCCTCACAGATTCTACAAAAAGAGTGTTTCAAAACTGCTCTGTAAAAAGAAAGGTTCAACTCTGTTAGTGGAGTACACACATCACAAACAAGTTTCACAGAATGCTTCTTTCTAGCTTGTAGGGGAAGATATTCCCTTTATCACCATGGGCCTCAAACCGTCCGAAACGTCCACTTCCACATACTACAAAAAGAGCGTTTCAAACCTGCTCTATGAAAGGCAATGTTCAACTCTGTGACTTGAATGCAGACATCACAGAGCAGTTTCTGAGAATGCTTCTGTCTAGATTTTATAGGAAGATATTCCCGTTTCCAACGAAATCTTCACAGCTATCCAAATATCCACTTGCAGATTCTACAAAAAGAGTGTATCAAAACTGCTCTGTCAAAAGGAAGGTTCTTCTCAGTTAGGTGAGTGCATACGTCATAAAGGAGTTTCTGAGAATGTTTCTGTCTAATGGTTATGGGAAGATATTTCCTTTTTCACCGTAGGCCTCAGAGCGCTCCAAATATCCACTTGCACATACTACAAAAAGAGTGCTTCAAAGCTGCTCTCTGAAACGGAATGTTCAACTCTATGAGTTGAATGCAAACATCACAAAGACGTTTCTGAGAATGCTTCTGTCTAGATTTGATATGAAGATATTCCCGTTTCTAACGAAATCTTCAAATCTATCCAAATGTCCACTTGCAGATTCAACAAAAAGTGTTTTTCAGAACTGCTCTATCAAAAGAAAGATCCACCTCTGTTAGCTGAGTTCAGACATCACAAACAAGTTTATGAGAATGCTTCTGTCTAGTTTTTATTTGAAGATATTTCCTTTCTCACCATAGACCTGAAAGCTGTCCTAATGTTCACTTCCAGATACTACAGAAAGAGTGTTTCAAAACTGCTGTACGAAAGGGAATGTTCAACTCTGTGACTTGAATGCACACATCACAAAGAAGCTTCTGAGGATGCTGCTGTCTACTTTTTATACGTAATCCCGTTTCCAACGAAATCCTCCAAGCTATCCAAATATCCACTTGCAGATTCCACAGAAAGACTGTTTCAAAACTGCTCTGTCAATAGAAAAGTTCAACTCTGTTAGCTGTGTCCATATATCCCAAAGAAGATTCTGAGATTGCTTCTGTCTACTTTTTATGAGAAGATATTTCCCTTTTCAACGTAGGCGTCAAGGCGCTCCAAATGTCCACTTCCAGATACTACAAAAAGAGTGTTTCAAACCTACCCTGTGAAAGGGAATATTCAACTCTGTGACTTGAATGCACATATCACAAAGAAGCTTCTGAGAATGCTTCTGTCGAGATTTTATATGAAGATATTCCCGTTTCCAACGAAATCCTGAAATCTATCCAAATATCCCCTCGCAGATTCTACAAAAAGAGTGTTTCAAAACTGCTCTGTAAAAAGAAAGGTTCAACTCCGTTAGTTGAGTACACACATCACAAACAAGTTTCACAGAATGCTTCTTTCTAGCTTGTAGGGGAAGATATTCCCTTTATCACCCTGGGCCTCCAACCGTCCGAAACGTCCACTTCCATATACTACAAAAAGAGCGTTTCAAACCTGCTCTAGGAAAGGCAATGTTCAATTCTGTGACTTCAATGCAGACATCACAGAGCAGTTTCTGAGAATGCTTCTGTCTAGATTTTATAGGAAGGTATTCCCGTTTCCAACGAAATATTCACAGCTATCCAAATATCCACTTGCAGATTCTACAAAAAGAGTGCATCAAAACTGCTCTGTCAAAAGGAAGGTTCTTCTCTGTTAGGTGAGTGCATACGTCATAAAGGAGTTTCTGAGAATGTTTCTGTCTAGTGGTTATGGGAAGATATTTGCTTTTACACCGTAGGCCTCAGAGCGCTCCAAATATCCACTTGCACATACTACAAAAAGAGTGCTTCAAAGCTGGTCTCTGAAACGGAATGTTCAACTCTATGAGTTGAATGCAAACATCACAAAGACGTTTCTGAGAATGCTTCTGTCTAGATTTGATATGAAGATATTCCCGTTTCCAACGAAATCTTCAAATCTATCCAAATGTCCACTTGCAGATTCAACAAAACGTGTTTTTCAGAACTGCTCTATCAAAAGAAAGATCCACGTCTGTTAGCTGAGTTCACACATCACAAACAAGTTTTATGAGAATGCTTCTGTCTAGTTTTTATTTGAAGATATTGCCTTTCTCACCATAGACCTGAAAGCTGTCCTAATGTTCACTTCCAGATACTACAGAAAGAGTGTTTCAAAACTGCTGTACGAAAAGGAATGTTCAACTCTGTGACTTGAATGAACACATCACAAAGAAGTTTCTGAGGATGCTGCTGTCTACTTTTTATAGGTAATCCCGTTTCCAACGAAATCCTCCAAGCTATCCAAATATCCACTTGCAGATTCCACAGAAAGACTGTTTCAAAACTGCTCTGTCAATAGAAAGGTTCAACTCTGTTAGCTGCGTGCATATATCCCAAAGAAGATTCTGAGATTGCTTCTGTCTAGTTTTTATGGGAAGATATTTCCCTTTTCACCATAGGTGTCAAGGCGCTCCAAATGTCCACTTCCAGATACTACAAAAAGAGTGTTTCAAACCTACTCTGTGAAAGGGAATATTCAACTCTGTGACTTGAATGCAGATATCACAAAGAAGTTTCTGAGAATGCTTCTGTCGAGATTTTATATGAAGATATTCCCGTTTCCAATGAAATCCTGAAATCTATCCAAATATCCCCTCGCAGATTCTACAAAAAGAGTGTTTCAAAACTGCTCTGTAAAAAGAAAGGTTGAACTCTGTTAGTTGAGTACACACATCACAAACAAGTTTCACAGAATGCTTCTTTCTAGCTTGTAGGGGAAGATATTCCCTTCATCACCATGGGCCTCCAACCGTCCGAAACATCCACTTCCATATACTACAAAAAGAGCGTTTCAAACCTGCTCTATGAAAGGCAATGTTCAACTCTGTGACTTGAATGCAGACATCACAGAGCAGTTTCTGAGAATGCTTCTGTCTAGATTTTATAGGAAGATATTCCCGTTTCCAACGAAATCTTCACAGCTATCCAAATATCCAGTTGCAGATTCTGCAAAAAGAGTGTATCAAAACTGCTCTGTCAAAAGGAAGGTTCTTCTCTGTTAGGTGAGTGCATACGTCATAAAGGAGTTTCTGAGAATGTTTCTGTCTAGTGGTTATGGGAAGATATTTTCTTTTTCACCGTAGGCCTCAGAGCGCTCCAAATATCCACTTGCACATACTACAAAAAGAGTGTTCCAAAGCTGCTCTCTGAAAGGGAATGTTCAACTCTATGAGTTGAATGCAAACATGACAAAGACGTTTCTGAGAATGCTTCTGTCTAGATTTGATATGAAGATATTCCCGTTTCCAACGAAATCTTCAAATCTATCCAAATGTCCACTTGCAGATTCAACAAAAAGTGTTTTTCAGAACTGCTCTATCAAAAGAAAGATCCACCTCTGTTAGCTGAGATCACACTTCACAAACAAGTTTATCAGAATGCTTTCTGTCTAGTTTTTATTTGAAGATATTTCCTTTCTCACCATAGACCTGAAAGCTGTCCTAATGTTCACTTCCAGATACTACAGAAAGAGTGTTTCAAAACTGCTGTACGAAAGGGAATGTTGAACTCTGTGACTTGAATGCACACATCACAAAGAAGTTTCTGAGGATGCTGCTGTCTACTTTTTATACGTAATCCCGTTTCCAACGAAATCCTCCAAGCTATCCAAATATCCACTTGCAGATTACACAGAAAGACTGTTTCAAAACTGCTCTGTCAATAGAAAGGTTCAACTCTGTTAGCTGCGTGCATGTATCCCAAAGAAGATTCTGAGATTGCTTCTGTCTAGTTTTTATGGGAAATATTTCCCTTTTCACCGTAGGTGTCAAGGCGCTCCAAATGTCCACTTCCAGATACTACAAAAAGAGTGTTTCAAACCTACTCTGTGAAAGGGAATATTCAACTCTGTGACTTGAATGCACATATCACAAAGAAGTTTCTGAGAATGCTTCTGTCGAGATTTTATATGAAGATATTCCCGTTTCCAACGAAATGCTGAAATCTATCCAAATATCCCCTCGCAGATTCTACAAAAAGAGTGTTTCAATACTGCTCTGTGAAAAGAAAGGTTCAACTCTGTTAGTTGAGTACACACATCACAAACAAGTTTCACACAATGCTTCTTTCTAGCTTGTAGGGGAAGATATTCCCTTTATCACCATGGGCCTCAAACCGTCCGATAAGTCCACTTCCATATACTACAAAAAGAGCGTTTCAAACCTGCTCTATGAAAGGCAACCGTTCAACTCTGTGACTTGAATGCAGACATCACAGAGCAGTTTCTGAGAATGCTTCTGTCTAGATTTTATAGGAAGATATTCCCGTTTCCAACGAAATCTTCACAGCTATCCAAATATCCACTTGGAGATTCTACAAAAAGAGTGTATCAAAACTGTTCTGTCAAAAAGAAGGTTCTTCTCTGTTAGTTGAGTACATACGTCATAAAGGAGTTTCTGAGAATGTTTCAGTCTAGTGGTTATGGGAAGATATTTGCTTTTTCACCGTAGACCTCACAGCGCTCCAAATATCCACTTGCACATACTACAAAAAGAGTGCTTCAAAGCTGCCCTCTGAAACGGAATGTTCAACTCTATGAGTTGAATGCAAACATCACAAAGACGTTTCTGAGAATGCTTCTGTCTAGATTTGATATGAAGATATTCCCGTTTCCAACGAAATCTTAAAATCTATCCAAATGTCCACTTGCAGATTCAACAAAAAGTGTTTTTCAGAACTGCTCTATCAAAAGAAAGATCCACCTCTGTTAGCTGAGTTCACACATCACAAACAAGTTTATGAGAATGCTTCTGTCTAGTTTTTATTTGAAGATATTTCCTTTCTCACCATAGACCTGAAAGCTGTCCTAATGTTCACTTCCAGATAATACAGAAAGAGTGTTTCAAAACTGCGGTACGAAAGGGAATGTTCAACTCTGTGACTTGAATGCACACATCACAAAGAAGTTTCTGAGGATGCTGCTGTCTACTTTTTATACTTAATCCCGTTTCCAACGAAATCCTCCAAGCTATCCAAATATCCACTTCCAGATTCCACAGAAAGACTGTTTCAAAACTGCTCTGTCAATACAAAGGTTCAACTCTGTTAGCTGCGTGCATATATCCCAAAGAAGATTCTGAGATTGCTTCTGTCTACTTTTTATGAGAAGATATTTCCCTTTTCACCGTAGGCGTCAAGGTGCTCAAAATGTCCACTTCCAGATACTACAAAAAGAGTGTTTCAAACCTACTCTGTGAAAGGGAATATTCAACTCTGTGACTTGAATGCACATATCACAAAGAAGCTTCTCAGAATGCTTCTGTCGAGATTTTATATGAAGATATTCCCGTTTCCAACGAAATCCAGAAATCTATCCAAATATCCCCTCGCAGATTCTACAAAAAGAGTGTTTCAAAACTGCTCTGTGAAAAGAAAGGTTCAACTCTGTTAGTTGAGTACACACATCACAAACAAGTTTCACAGAATGCTTCTTTCTAGCTTGTAGGGGAAGATATTCCCTTTATCACCGTGGGCCTCAAACCGTCCGAAACGTCCACTTCCATATACTACAAAAAGAGCGTTTCAAACCTGCTCTATGAAAGGCAATGTTCAACTCTGTGACTTGAATGCAGACATCACAGAGCAGTTTCTGAGAATGCTTCTGTCTAGATTTTATAGGAAGATATTCCCGTTTCCAACGAAATCTTCACAGCTATCCAAATATCCACTTGCAGATTCTGCAAAAAGAGTGTATCAAAACTGCTCAGTCAAAAGGTAGGTTCTTCTCTGTTAGGTGAGTGCATACGTCATAACGGAGTTTCTGAGAATGTTTCTGTCTAGTGGTTATGGGAAGATATTTGCTTTTTCCCCGTAGGCCTCAAAGCGCTCCAAATGTCCACTTGCACATACTACAAAAAGAGTGCTTCAAAGCTGCTCTCTGAAAGGGAATGTTCAACTCTATGAGTTGAATGCATACATCACAAAGACGTTTCTGAGAATGCTTCTGTCTAGACTTGATATGAAGATATTCCCGTTTCCAACGAAACCTTCAAATCTATCCAAATGTCCACTTGCAGATTCAACAAAAAGTGTTTTTCAGAACTGCTCTATCAAAAGAAAGATCCACCTCTGTTAGCTGAGTTCACACATCACAAACAAGTTTATGAGAATGCTTCTGTCTAGTTTTTATTTGAAGATATTTCCTTTCTCACCATAGACCTGAAAGCTGTCCTAATGTTCACTTCCAGATACTACAGAAAGAGTGTTTCAAAACTGCTGTACGAAAGGGAATGTTCATCTCTGTGACTTGAATGCACACATCACAAAGAAGTTTCTGAGGATGCTGCTGTCTACTTTTTATACGTAATCCCGTTTCCAAAGAAATCCTCGAAGCTATCCAAATATCCACTTGCAGATTCCACAGAAAGACTGTTTCAAAACTGCTCTGTCAATAGAAAGGTTCAACTCTATTAGCTGCGTGCATATATCCCAAAGAAGATTCTGAGATTGCTTCTGTCTAGTTTTTATGGGAAGATATTTCCCTTTTCACCGTAGGTGTCAAGGCGCTCCAAATATCCACTTCCAGATACTACAAAAAGAGTGTTTCAAACCTACTCTGTGAAAGGGAATATTCAACTCTGTGACTTGAATGCAGATATCACAAAGAAGTTTCTGAGAATGCTTCTGTCGAGATTTTATATGAAGATATTCCCGTTTCCAACGAAATCCTGAAATCTATCCAAATATCCCCTCGCAGATTCTACAAAAAGAGTGTTTCAAAACTGCTCTGTAAAAGGAAAGGTTCAACTCTGTTAGTTGAGTACACACATCACAAACAAGTTTCACAGAATGCTTCTTTCTAGCTTGTAGGGAAAGATATTCCCTTTAACACCATGGGCCTCAAACCGTCCGAAACGTCCACTTCCATATACTACAAAAAGAGCGTTTCAAACCTGCTCTAGGAAAAGCAATGTTCAACTCTGTGACTTGAATGCAGACATCACAGAGCAGTTTCTGAGAATGCTTCTGTCTAGATTTTATAGGAAGATATTCCCGTTTCCATCGAAATCTTCACAGCTATCCAAATATCCACTTGCAGATTGTACAAAAAGAGTGTATCAAAACTGCTCTTTCAAAAGGAAGGTTCTTCTCTGTTAGTTGAGTACATACGTCATAAAGGAGTTTCTGAGAATGTTTCTGTCTAGTGGTTATGGGAAGATATTTGCTTTTTCACCTTAGGCCTCAGAGCGCTCCAAATATCCCCTTGCACATACTACAAAAAGAGTGCTTCAAAGCTGCTCTCTGAAAGGGAATCTTCAACTCTATGAGTTGAATGCAAACATCACAAAGACGTTTCTGAGAATGCTTCTGTCTAGATTTCATATAAAGATATTCCTGTTTCCAACGAAATCTTCAAATCTATTCAAATGTCCACTTGCAGATTCAACAAAAAGTGTTTTTCAAAACTGCTGTTTCGAAAGAAAGATCCACCTGTTAGCTGAGTTCACACTTCACAAACAAGTTTATCAGAATGCTTCTGTCTAGTTTTTATTTGAAGATATTTCCTTTCTCACCATAGACCTGAAAGCTGTCCTAATGTTCACTTCCAGATACTACAGAAAGAGTGTTTCAAAACTGCTGTACGAAATGGAATGTTCAACTCTGTGACTTGAATGCACACATCACAAAGAAGTTTCTGAGGATGCTGCTGTCTACTTTTTATACGTAATCCCGTTTCCAACGAAATCCTCCAAGCTATCCAAATATCCACTTGCAGATTCCACAGAAAGACTGTTTCAAATCTGCTCAGTCAATAGAAAGGTTCAACTCTGTTAGCTGCGTGCATATATCCCAAAGAAGATTCTGAGATTGCTTTCTGTCTAGTTTTTATGGGAAGATATTTACCTTTTCACCGTAGGCGCCAAGGCGTTCCAAATGTCCACTTCCAGATACTACAAAAAGAGTGTTTCAAACCTACTCTGTGAAAGGGAATATTCAACTCTGTGACTTGAAGGCAGATATCACAAAGAAGTTTCCTGAGAATGCTTCTGTCGAGATTTTATATGAAGATATTCTCGTTTCCAACGAAATCCTGAAACCTATCCAAATATCCCCTCACAGATTCTACAAAAAGAGTGTTTCAAAACTGCTCTGTAAAAAGAAAGGTCCAACTCTGTTAGTTGAGTACACACATCACAAACAAGTTTCACAGAATGCTTCTTTCTAGCTTGTAGGGGAAGATATTCCCTTTATCACCATGGGCCTCAAACCATCCGAAACGTCCACTTCCATATACTACAAAAAGAGCGTTTCAAACCTGCTCTATGAAAGGCAATGTTCAACTCTGTGACTTGAATGCAGACATCACAGAGCAGTTTCTGAGAATGCTTCTGTCTAGATTTTATAGGAAGATATTCCCGTTTCCAGCAAAATCTTCACAGCTATCCAAATATCCACTTGCAGATTCTACAAAAAGAGTGTATCAAAACTGCTCTGTCAAAAGGAAGGTTCTTCTCTGTTAGGTGAGTGCATACGTCATAAAGGAGTTTCTGAGAATGTTTCCGTCTAGTGGTTATGGGAAGATATTTGCTTTCTCACCGTAGGCCTCAGAGCGCTCCAAATATCCACTTGCACATACTACAAAAAGAGTGCTTCAAAGCTGCTCTCTGAAACGGAATGTTCAACTCTATGAGTTGAATGCAAACATCACAAAGACGTTTCTGAGAATGCTTCTGTCTAGATTTGTTATGAAGATATTCCCGTTTCCAACGAAATCTTCAAATCTATCCAAATGTCCACTTGCAGATTCAACAAAAAGTGTTTTTCAGAACTGCTCTATCAAAAGAAAGATCCACCTCTGTTAGCTGAGTTCACACATCACAAACAAGTTTATGAGAATGCTTCTGTCTAGTTTTTATTTGAAGATATTTCCTTTCTCACCATAGACCTGAAAGCTGTCCTAATGTTCACTTCCAGATACTACAGAAAGAGTGTTTCAAAACTGCTGTACGAAAGGGAATGTTCAACTCTGTGGCTTGAATGCACACATCACAAAGAAGTTTCTGAGGATGCTGCTGTCTACTTTTTGTACGTAATCCCGTTTCCAACGAAATCCTCCAAGCTATCCAAATATCCACTTGCAGATTCCACAGAAAGACTGTTTCAAAACTGCTCTGTCAATAGAAAGGTTCAACTCTGTTAGCTGCGTGCATATATCCCAAAGAAGATTCTGAGATTGCTTCTGTCTAGTTTTTATGGGAAGATATTTCCCTTTTCACCGTAGGCGTCAAGGCGCTCCAAATGTCCACTTCCAGATACTACAAAAAGAGTGTTTCAAACCTACTCTGTGAAAGGGAGTATTCAACCCTGTGACTTGAATACACATATCACAAAGAAGTTTCTGAGAATGCTTCTGTCGAGATTTTATATGAAGATATTCCCGTTTCCATCGAAATCCTGAAATCTATCCAAATATCCCCTCGCAGATTCTACAAAAAGAGAGTTTCAAAACTGCTCTGTAAAAAGAAAGGTTCAACTCTGTTAGTTGAGTACACACATCACAAACAAGTTTCACAGAATGCTTCTTTCTAGCTTGTAGGGGAAGATATTCCCTTTATCACCATGGGCCTCAAACCGTCCGAAACGTCCATTTCCATATACTACAAAAAGAGCGTTTCAAACCTGCTCCATGAAAGGCAATGTTCAACTCTGTGACTTGAACGGAGACATCACAGAGCAGTTTCTGAGAATGCTTCTGTCTAGATTTTATAGGAAGATATTCCCGTTTCCAACGAAATCTTCACAGCTATCCAAATATCCACTTGCAGATTCTACAAAAAGAGTGTATCAAAAATGCTCTGTCAAAAGGAAGGTTCTTCTCTGTTAGGTGAGTGCATACGTCATAGAGGAGTTTCTCAGAATGTTTCCTGTCTAGTGGTTATGGGAAGATATTTGCTTTTTCCCCGTAGGCCTCAGGGCGCTCCAAATGTCCACTTGCACATGCTACAAAAAGAGTGCTTCAAAGCTGCTCTCTGAAAGGGAATGTTCAACTCTATGAGTTGAATGCAAACATCACAAAGACGTTTCTGAGAATGCTTCTGTCTAGATTTGATATGAAGATATTCCCGTTTCCAACGAAATCTTCAAATCTATCCAAATGTCCACTTGCAGATTCAACAAAAAGTGTTTTTCAGAACTGCTCTATCAAAAGAAAGATCCACGTGTGTTAGTTGAGTTCACACATCACAAACAAGTTTATGAGAATGCTTCCGTCTAGTTTTTATTTGAAGATATTTCCTTTCTCACCATAGACCTGAAAGCTGTCCTAATGTTCACTTCCAGTTACTACAGAAAGAGTGTTTCAAAACTGCTGTACGAAAGGGAATGTTCAACTCTGTGACTTGAATGCACACATCACAAAGAAGTTTCTGAGGATGCTGCTGTCTAATTTTTATACGTAATCCCGTTTCCAACGAAATCCTCCAAGCTATCCAAATATCCACTT
Source organism: Homo sapiens (assembly GCF_000001405.40). Classification (NCBI taxonomy): domain Eukaryota; kingdom Metazoa; phylum Chordata; class Mammalia; order Primates; family Hominidae; genus Homo; species Homo sapiens. The sequence goes on along the minus strand of NC_000014.9, from coordinate 16,890,999 downwards.
GCAGATTCCACAGAAAGACTGTTTCAAAACTGCTATGTCAATAGAAAAGTTCAACTACTGTTAGCTGTGTGCATATATCCCAAAGAAAATTCTGAGATTGCTTCTGTCTAGTTTTTATGGGAAGATATTTCCCTTTTCACTGTAGGCGTCAAGGCGCTCCAAATGTCCACTTCCAGATACTACAAAAAGAGTGTTTCAAACCTACTCTGTGAAAGGGAATATTCAACTCTGTGACTTGAATGCACATATCACAAAGAAGTTTCTGAGAATGCTTCTGTCGAGATTTTATATGAAGATATTCCCGTTTCCAACGAAATGCTGAAATGTATCCAAATAACCCATCGCAGATTCTACAAAAAGAGTGTTTCAAAACTGCTCTGTAAAAAGAAAGGTTCAACTCTGTTAGTTGAGTACACACATCACAAACAAGTTTCACAGAATGCTTCTTTCTAGCTTGTAGGGGAAGATATTCCCTTTATCACCATGGGCCTCAAACCGTCCGAAACGTCCACTTCCATATACTACAAAAAGAGCATTTCAAACCTGCTCTAGGAAAGGCAATGTTCAACTCTGTGAATTGAATGCAGACATCACAGAGCAGTTTCTGAGAATGCTTCTGTCTAGATTTTATAGGAAGATATTCCCGTTTCCAACGAAATCTTCACAGCTATCTAAATATCCACTTGCAGATTCTACAAAAAGAGTGTATCAAAAGTGCTCTGTCAAAAGGAAGGTTCTTCTCTGTTAGGTGAGTGCATACGTCATAAAGGAGTTTCTGAGAATGTTTCTGTCTACTGGTTATGGGAAGATATTTGCTTTTTCACCGTAGGCCTCAGAGCGCTCCAAATATCCACTTGCACATACTACAAAAAGAGTGCTTCAAAGCTGCTCTCTGAAACGGAATGTTCAACTCTATGAGTTGAATGCAAACATCACAAAGACGTTTCTGAGAATGCTTCTGTCTAGATTTGATATGAAGATATTCCCGTTTCCAACGAAATCTTCAAATCTATCCAAATGTCCACTTGCAGTTTCAACAAAAAGTGTTTTTCAGAACTGCTCTATCAAAAGAAAGATCCACCTCTGTTAGCTGAGTTCACACATCACAAACAAGTTTATGAGAATGCTTTCTGTCTAGTTTTTATTTGAAGATATTTCCTTTCTCACCATAGACCTGAAAGCTGTCCTAATGTTCACTTCCAGATACTACAGAAAGAGCATTTCAAAACTGCTGTACGAAAGAGAATGTTCAACTCTGTGACTTGAATGCACACATCACAAAGAAGTTTCTGAGGATGCTGCTGTCTACTTTTTATACTTAATCCCGTTTCCAACGAAGTCCTCCAAGCTATCCAAATATCCACTTGCAGATTCCACAGAAAGACTGTTTCAAAACTGCTCTGTCAATAGAAAGGTTCAACTCTGTTAGCTGCGTGCATATATCCCAAAGAAGATTCTGAGATTGCTTCTGTCTAGTTTTTATTGGAAGATATTTCCCTTTTCACCGTGGGCGTCAAGGCGCTCCAAATGTCCACTTCCAGATACTACAAAAAGAGTGTTTCAAACCTACTCTGTGAAAGGGAATATTCAACTCTGTGACTTGAATGCACATATCACAAGGAAGTTTCTGAGAATGCTTCTGTCGAGATTTTATATGAAGATATTCCCGTTTCCAACGAAATCCTGAAATCTATCCAAATATCCCCTCGCAGATTCTACAAAAAGAGTGTTTCAAAACTGCTCTGCAAAAAGAAAGGTTCAACTCTGTTAGTTGAGTACACACATCACAAACAAGTTTCCTCAGAATGCTTCTTTCTAGCTGCTAGGGGAAGATATTCCCTTTATCACCATGGGCCTCAAACCGTCCGAAACGTCCACTTCCATATACTACAAAAAGAGCGTTTCAAACCTGCTCTAGGAAAGGCAATGTTCAACTCTGTGATTTGAATGCAGACATCACAGAGCAGTTTCTGAGAATGCTTCTGTCTAGATTTTATAGGAGGATATTCCCGTTTCCAACGAAATCTTCACAGCTATCCAAATATCCACTTGCAGATTCTACAAAAAGAGTGTATCAAAACTGCTCTGTCAAAAGGAAGGTTCTTCTCTGTTAGGTGAGTGCATACGTCATAAAGGAGTTTCTGAGAATGTTTCTGTCTAGTGGTTATGGGAAGATACTTGCTTTTTCACCGTAGGCCTCAGAGCGCTCCAAATATCCACTTGCACATACTACAAAAAGAGTGCTTCAAAGCTGCTCTCTGAAACGGAATGTTCAACTCTATGAGTTGAATGCAAACATCACAAAGACGTTTCTGAGAATGCTTCTGTCTAGATTTGATATGAAGATATTCCCGTTTCCAACGAAATCTTCAAATCTATCCAAATGTCCACTTGCAGATTCAACAAAAAGTGTTTTTCAAAACTGCTCTATCAAAAGAAAGATCCACCTCTGTTAGCTGAGTTCACACATCACAAACAAGTTTATGAGAATGCTTCTGTCTAGTTTTTATTTGAAGATATTTCCTTTCTCACCATAGACGTGAAAGCTGTCCTAATGTTCACTTCCAGATACTACAGAAAGAGAGTTTCAAAACTGCTGTACGAAAGGGAATGTTCAACTCTGTGACTTGAATGCACACATCACAAAGAAGTTTCTGAGGATGCTGCTGTCTACTTTTTATGCGTAATCCCGTTTCCAACGAAATCCTCCAAGCTATCCAAATATCCACTTGCAGATTCCACAGAAAGACTGTTTCAAAACTGCTCTGTCAATAGAAAGGTTCAACTCTGTTAGCTGCGTGCAAATATCCCAAAGAAGATTCTGAGATTGCTTCTGTCTACTTTTTATGAGAAGATATTTCCCTTTTCACCGTAGGCGTCAAGGTGCTCCAAATGTCCACTTCCAGATACTACAAAAAGAGTGTTTCAAACCTACTCTGTGAAAGGGAATATTGAACTCTGTGACTTGAATGCACATATCACAAAGAAGCTTCTGAGAATGCTTCTGTCGAGATTTTATATGAAGATATTCCCGTTTCCAACGAAATCCTGAAATCTATCCAAATATCCCCTCGCAGATTCTACAAAAAGAGTGTTTCAACACTGCTCTGTAAAAAGAAAGGTTCAACTCTGTTAGTTGAGTACACACATCACAAACAAGTTTCACAGAATGCTTCTTTCTAGCTTGTAGGGGAAGATATTCCCTTTATCACCATGGGCTTCAAACCGTCCGAAACGTCCACTTCCATATACTACAAAAAGAGCGTTTCAAACCTGCTCTATGAAAGGCAATGTTCAACTCTGTGACTTGAATGCAGACATCACAGAGCAGTTTCTGAGAATGCTTCTGTATAGATTTTATAGGAAGATATTCCCGTTTCCAACGAAATCTTCACAGCTATCCAAATATCCACTTGCAGATTCTACAAAAAGAGTGTATCAAAACTGCTCTGTCAAAAGGAAGGTTCTTCTCTGTTAGGTGAGTGCATACGTCATAAAAGGAGTTTCTGAGAATGTTTCTGTGTAGTGGTTATGGGAAGATATTTGCTTTTTCACCGTAGGCCTCAGAGCGCTCCAAATATCCACTTGCACATACTACAAAAAGAGTGCTTCAAAGCTGCTCTCTGAAACGGAATGTTCAACTCTATGAGTTGAATGCAAACATCACAAAGACGTTTCCGAGAATGCTTCTGTCTAGATTTGATATGAAGATATTCCCGTTTCCAACGAAATCTTCAAATCTATCCAAATGTCCACTTGCATATTCAACAAAAGTGTTTTTCAGAACTGCTCTATCAAAAGAAAGATCCACCTCTGTTAGCTGAGTTCACACATCACAAACAAGTTTATGAGAATGCTTCTGTCTAGTTTTTATTTGAAGATATTTCGTTTCTCACCATAGACCTGAAAGCTGTCCTAATGTTCACTTCCAGATACTACAGAAAGAGTGTTTCAAAACTGCTGTACGAAAGGGAATGTTCAACTCTGTGACTTGAATGCACACATCACAAAGAAGTTTCTGAGGATGCTGCTGTCTACTTTTTATACGTAATCCTGTTTCCAACGAAATCCTCCAAGCTATCCAAATATCCACTTGCAGATTCCACAGAAAGACTGTTTCAAAACTGCTATGTCAATAGAAAAGTTCAACTCTGTTAGCTGTGTGCATATATCCCAAAGAAAATTCTGAGATTGCTTCTGTCTAGTTTTTATGGGAAGATATTTCCCTTTTCACCGTAGGCGTCAAGGCGCTCCAAATGTCCACTTCCAGATACTACAAAAAGAGTGTTTCAAACCTACACTGTGAAAGGGAATATTCAACTCTGTGACTTGAATGCACATATCACAAAGAAGTTTCTGAGAATGCTTCTGTCGAGATTTTATATGAAGATATTCCCGTTTCCAACGAAATCCTGAAACCTATCCAAATATCCCCTCGCAGATTCTACAAAAAGAGTGTTTCAAAACTGCTCTGTAAAAAGAAAGGTTCAACTCTGTTAGTTGAGTACACACATCACAAACAAGTTTCACAGAATGCTTCTTTCTAGCTTGTAGGGGAAGATATTCCCTTTATCACCATGGGCCTCAAACCGTCCGAAACGTCTACTTCCATATACTACAAAAAGAGCGTTTCAAACCTGCTCTATGAAAAGCAATATTCAACTCTGTGACTTGAATGCAGACATCACAGAGCAGTTTCTGAGAATGCTTCTGTCTAGATTTTATAGGAAGATATTCCCGTTTCCAACGAAATCTTCACAGATATCCAAATATCCACTTGCAGATTCTACAAAAAGAGTGTATCAAAACTGCTCTGTCAAAAGGAAGGTTCTTCTCTGATAGGTGAGTGCATACGTCATAAAGGAGTTTCTGAGAATGTTTCTGTCTAGTGGTTATGGGAAGATATTTGCTTTTTCACCTTAGGCCTCAGAGCGCTCCAAATATCCCCTTGCACATACTATAAAAAGAGTGCTTCAAAGCTGCTCTCTGGAAGGGAATGTTCAACTCTATGAGTTGAATGCAAGCATCACAAAGACGTTTCTGAGAATGCTTCTGTCTAGATTTGATATGAAGATATTCCCGTTTCCAACGAAATCTTCAAATCTATCCAAATGTCCACTTGCAGATTCAACAAAATGTTTTTCAAAACTGCTGTATCAAAAGAAAGATCCACCTGTGTTAGCTGAGTTCACACTTCACAAACAAGTTTATCAGTATTCTTCTGTCTAGTTTTTATTTGAAGATATTTCCATTCTCACCATAGACCTGAAAGCTGTCCTAATGTTCACTTCCAGATGCTACAGAAAGAGTGTTTCAAAACTGCTGTACGAAAGGGAATATTCAACTCTGTGACTTGAATGCACACATCACAAAGAAGTTTCTGAGGATGCTGCTGTCTACTTTTTATACGTAATCCCGTTTCCAACGAAATCCTCCAAGCTATCCAAATATCCACTTGCATATTCCACAGAAAGACTGTTTCAAAACTGCTATGTCAATAGAAAAGTTCAACTCTGTTAGCTGTGTGCATATATCCCAAAGAAAATTCTGAGATTGCTTCTGTCTAGTTTTTATGGGAAGATATTTCCCTTTTCACCGTAGGTGTCAAGGCGCTCCAAATGTCCACTTCCAGATACTACAAAAAGAGTGTTTCAAACCTACTCTGTGAAAGGGAATATTCAACTCTGTGACTTCAATGCACATATCACAAAGAAGTTTCTGAGAATGCTTCTGTCGAGATTTTATATGAAGATATTCCCGTTTCCAACGAAATGCTGAAATGTATCCAAATATCCCCTCGCAGATTCTACAAAAAGAGTGTTTCAAAACTGCTCTGTGAAAAGAAAGGTTCAACTCTGTTAGTTGAGTACACACATCACAAACAAGTTTCACAGAATGCTTCTTTCTAGCTTGTAGGGGAAGATATTCCCTTTATCACCATGGGCCTCAAACCGTCCGAAACGTCCACTTCCATATACTACAAAGAGAGCGTTTCAAACCTGCTCTAGGAAAGGCAATGTTCAACTCTGTGACTTGAATGCAGACATCACAGAGCAGTTTCTGAGAATGCTTCTGTCTAGATTTTATAGGAAGATATTCCCGTTTCCAACGAGATCTTCACAGCTATCCAAATATCCGCTTGCAGATTCTACAAAAAGAGTGTATCAAATCTGCTCTGTCAAAAGGAAGGTTCTTCTCTGTTAGTTGAGTACATACGTCATAAAGGAGTTTCTGAGAATGTTTCCGTCTAGTGGTTATGGGAAGATATTTGCTTTTTCACCGAAGGCCTCAGAGCGCTCCAAATATCCACTTGCACATACTACAAAATGAGTGCCTCAAAGCTGCTCTCTGAAACGGAATGTTCAACTCTATGAGTTGAATGCAAACATCACAAAGACGTTTCCGAGAATGCTTCTTGCCTAGATTTGATATGAAGATATTCCCGTTTCCAACGAAATCTTCAAATCTATCCAAATGTCCACTTGCAGATTCAACAAAAAGTGTTTTTCAGAACTGCTCTATCAAAAGAAAGATCCATCCTCTGTTAGCTGAGTTCACACATCACAAACAAGTTTATGAGAATGCTTCCGTCTAGTTTTTATTTGAAGATATTTCCTTTCTCACCATAGACCTGAAAGCTGTCCTAATGTTCACTTCCAGATACTACAGAAAGAGTGTTTCAAAACTGCTGTACGAAAGGGAATGTTCAACTCTGTGACTTGAATGCACACATCACAAAGAAGTTTGCTGAGGATGCTGCAGTCTACTTTTTATACGTAATCCCGTTTCCAAAGAAAACCTCCAAGCTATCCAAATATCCACTTGCAGATTCCACAGAAAGACTGTTTCAAAACTGCTCTGTCAATAGAAAGGTTCAACTCTGTTAACTCCGTGCATATATCCCAAAGAAGATTCTGAGATTGCTGCTGTCTACTTTTTATGAGAAGATATTTCCCTTTTCACCGTAGGCGTCAAGGCGCTCCAAATGTCCACTTCCAGATACTACAAAAAGAGTGTTTCAAACCTACTCTGTGAAAGGGAATATTGAACTCTGTGACTTGAATGCACATATCACAAAGAAGCTTCTGAGAATGCTTCTGTCGAGATTTTATATGAAGATATTCCCGTTTCCAACGAAATCCTGAAATCTATCCAAATATCCCCTCGCAGATTCTACAAAAAGACTGTTTCAAAACTGCTCTGTAAAAAGAAAGGTTCAACTCTGTTAGTTGAGTACACACATCACAAACAAGTTTCACAGAATGCTTCTTTCTAGCTTGTAGGGGAAGATATTCCCTTTATCACCATGGGCCTCAAACCGTCCGAAACGTCCACTTCCATATACTACAAAAAGAGTGTTTCAAACCTGCTCTATGAAAGGCAATGTTCAACTCTGTGACTTGAATGCAGACATCAAAGAGCAGTTTCTGAGAATGCTTCTGTCTAGATATTATAGGAAGATATTCCCGATTCCCACGAAATCTTCACAGCTATCCAAATATCCACTTGCAGATTCTACAAAAAGAGTGTATCAAAACTGCTCTGTCAAAAGGAAGGTTCTTCTCTGTTAGGTGAGTGCATACGTCATAAAGGAGTTTCTGAGAATGTTTCTGTCTAGTGGTTATGGGAAGATATTTGCTTTTTCACCTTAGGCCTCAGAGCGCTCCAAATATCCACTTGCACATACTACAAAAAGAGTGCTTCAAAGCTGCTCTCTGAAACGGAATGTTCAACTCTATGAGTTGAATGCAAACATCACAAAGACGTTTCTGACAATGCTTCTGTCTAGATTTGATATGAAGATATTCCCGTTCCCAACGAAATCTTCAAATCTATCCAAATGTCCACTTGCAGATTCAACAAAAAGTGTTTTTCAGAACTGCTCTATCAAAAGAAAGATCCACCTCTGTTAGCTGAGTTCACACATCACAAACAAGTTTATGAAAATGCTTCTGTCTAGTTTTTATTTGAAGTATATATCCTTTCTCACTATAGACCTGAAAGCTCTCCTAAAGTTCACTTCCAGATACTACAGAAAGAGTGTTTCAAAACTGCTGTACGAAAGGGAATGTTCAACTCTGTGACTTGAATGCACACATCACAAGGATGTTTCTGAGGATGCTGCTGTCTACTTTTTATACGTAATCCCGTTTCCAACGAAATCCTCCAAGCTATCCAAATATCCACTTGCAGATTCCACAGAAAGACTGTTTCAAAACTACTATGTCAATAGAAAGGTTCAACTCTGTTAGCTGCGTGCATATATCCCAAAGACGATTCTGAGATTGCTTCTGTCTAGTTTTTATGGGAAGATATTTCCCTTTTCACCGTAGGCGTTAAGGCGCTCCAAATGTCCACTTCCAGATACTACAAAAAGAGTGTTTCAAACCTACTCTGTGAAAGGGAATATTCAACTCTGTGACTAGTATGCACATATCACAAAGAAGTTTCTGAGAATGCATCTGTCGAGATTTTATATGAAGATATTCCCGTTTCCAACGAAATCCTGAAATCTATCCAAATATCCCCTCGTAGATTCTACAAAAAGAGAGTTTCAAAACTGCTCTGTAAAAAGAAAGGTTCAACTCTGTTAGTTGAGTACACACATCACAAACAAGTTTCACAGAATGCTTCTTTCTAGCTTGTAGGGGAAGATATTCCCTTTATCACCATGGGCCTCAAACCGTCCGAAACGTCCATTTCCATATACTACAAAAAGAGCGTTTCAAACCTGCTCCATGAAAGGCAATGTTCAACTCTGTGACTTGAACGCAGACATCACAGAGCAGTTTCTGAGAATGCTTCTGTCTAGAATTTATAGGAAGATATTCCCGTTTCCAACGAAATCTTCACAGCTATCCAAATATCCACTTTCAGATTCTACAAAAAGAGTGTATCAAAAGTGCTCTGTCAAAAGGAAGGTTTCTTCTCTGTTAGGTGAGTGCATACGTCATAAAGGAGTTTCTGAGAATGTTTCTGTCTAGTGGTTATGGGAAGATATTTGCTTTTTCACCTTAGGCCTCAGAGCGCTCCAAATATACACTTGCACATACTACAAAAAGAGTGATTCAAAGCTGCTCTCTGAAACGGAATGTTCAACTCTATGAGTTGAATGCAAACATCACAAAGACGTTTCTGAGAATGCTTCTGTCTAGAATTGTTATGAAGATATTCCCGTTTCCAACGAAATCTTCAAATCTATCCAAATGTCCACTTGCAGATTCAACAAAAAGTGTTTTTCAGAACTGCTCTATCAAAAGAAAGATCCACCTCTGTTAGCTGAGTTCACACATCACAAACAAGTTTATGAGAATGCTTCTGTCTAGTTTTTATTTGAAGATATTTCCTTTCTCACCATAGACCTGAAAGCTGTCCTAATGTTCACTTCCAGATACTACAGAAAGAGTGTTTCAAAACTGCTGTAAGAAAGGGAATGTTCAACTCTGTGACTTGAATGCACACACCACAAGGAAGTTTCTGAGGATGCTGCTGTCTACTTTTTATACGTAATCCCGTTTCCAACGAAATCCTCCAAGCTATCCAAATATCCACTTGCAGATTCCACAGAAAGACTGTTTCAAAACTGCTCTCTCAATAGAAAGGTTCAACTCTGTTAGCTGCGTGCATATATCCCAAAGAAGATTCTGAGATTGCTTCTGTCTACTTTTTATGAGAAGATATTTCCCTTTTCACCGTAGGCGTCAAGGCGCTCAAAATGTCCACTTCCAGATACTACAAAAAGAGTGTTTCAAACCTACTCTGTGAAAGGGAATATTCAACTCTGTGACTTGAATGCACATATCACAAAGAAGTTTCTGAGAATGCTTCTGTCGAGATTTTATATGAAGATATTCCCGTTTCCAACGAAATCCTGAAATCTATCCAAATAACCCCTCGCAGATTCTACAAAAAGAGTGTTTCAAAACTGCTCTGTAAAAAGAAAGGTTCAACTCTGTAAGTTGAGTACACACATCACAAACAAGTTTCACAGAATGCTTCTTTCTAGCTTGTAGGGGAAGATATTTCCTTTATCACCATGGTCCTCAAACAGTCTGAAACGTCCACTTCCATATACTAAAAAAAGAGGGTTTGAAACCTGCTCTATGAAAGGCAACGTTCAACTCTGTGACTTGAATGCAGACATCACAGAGCAGTTTCAGAGAATGCTTCTGTCCAGACTTTATAGGAAGATATTCCCGTTTCCAACGAAATCTTCACAGCTATCCAAATATCCACCTGCAGATACTACAAAAAGAGTGTATCAAAACTGCTCTGTCAAAAGGAAGGTTCTTCTCTGTTAGGTGAGTGCATACGTCATAAAGAAGTTTCTGAGAATGTTTCTGTCTAGTGGTTATGGGAAGATATTTGCTTTTTCACCGTAGGCCTCAGAGCGCTCCAAATATCCACTTGCACATACTACAAAAAGAGTGCCTCAAAGCTGCTCTCTGAAACGGAATGTTCAACTCTATGAGTTGAATGCCAACATCACAAAGAACGTTTCTGAGAATGCTTCTGTCTAGATTTGATATGAAGATATTTCCGTTTCCAACGAAATCTTCAAATCTATCCAAATGTCCACTTGCAGATTCAACAAAAAGTGTTTTTCAGAACTGCTCTATCAAAAGAAAGATCCACCTCTGTTAGCTGAGTTCACACATCACAAACAAGTTTATGAGAATGCTTCTGTCTAGTTTTTATTTGAAGATATTTCCTTTCTCACCATAGACCTGAAAGCTGTCCTAATGTTCACTTCCAGATACTACAGATAGAGTGTTTCAAAACTGCTGTACGAAAGGGAATGTTCAACACTGTGACTTGAATGCACACATCACAAAGAAGTTTCTGAGGATGCTGCTGTCTACTTTTTATACGTAATCCCGTTTCCAACGAAATCCTCCAAGCTATCCAAATATCCACTTGCAGATTCCACAGAAAGACTGTTTCTAAACTGCTGTGTCAATAGAAAGGTTCAACTCTGTTAGCTGCGTGCATATATCCCAAAGAAGATTCTGAGATTGCTTCTGTCTAGTTTTTATGGGAAGATATTTCCCTTTTCACCGTAGGCGTCAAGGCGCTCCAAATGTCCAATTCCAGATACTATAAAAAGAGTGTTTCAAACCTACTCTGTGAAAGAGAATATTCAACTCTGTGACTGGAATGCAGATATCACAAAGAAGTTTCTGAGAATGCTTCTGTCGAGATTTTATATGAAGATATTCCCGTTTCCAACGAAAACCTGAAATCTATCCAAATATCCCCTCGCAGATTCTACAAAAAGAGTGTTTCAAAACTGCTCTGTAAAAAGAAAGGTTCAACTCTGTTAGTTGCGTACACACATCACAAACAAGTTTCACAGAATGCTTCTTTCTAGCTTGTAGGGGAAGATATTCCCTTTATCACCATGGGCCTCAAACCGTCCGAAACGTCCACTTCCATATACTACAAAAAGAGCGTTTCAAACCTGCTCTATGAAAGGCAATGTTCAACTCTGTGACTTGAATGCAGACATCACAGAGCAGTTTCTGAGAATGCTTTCTGTCTAGATATTATAGGAAGATATTCCCGTTTCCAACGAAATCTTCACAGCTATCCAAATATCCACTTGCAGATTCTACAAAAAGAGTGTATCAAAACTGCTCTGTCAAAAGGAAGGTTCTTCTCTGTTAGGTGAGTGCATACGTCATAAAGGAGTTTCTGAGAATGTTTCTGTCTAGTGGTTATGGGAAGATATTTGCTTTTTCACCGTAGGCCTCAGGGTGCTCCAAATGTCCACTTGCACATGCTACAAAAAGAGTGCTTCAAAGCTGCTCTCTGAAAGGGAATGTTCAACTCTATGAGTTGAATGCAAACATCACAAAGACGTCTCTGACAATGCTTCTGTCTAGATTTGATATGAAGATATTCCCGTTTCCAACGAAATCTTCAAATCTATCCAAATGTCCTCTTGCAGATTCAACAAAAAGTGTTTGTCAGAACTGCTCTATCAAAAGAAAGATCCACGTGTGTTAGCTGAGTTCACACATCACGAACAAGTTTATGAGAATGCTCTGTCTAGTTTTTATTTGAAGATATTTCCTTTCTCACCATAGACCTGAAAGCTGTCCTAATGTTCACTTCCAGATACTACAGAAAGAGTGTTTCAAAACTGCTGTACGAAAGGGAATGTTCAACTCTGTGACTTGAATGCACACATCACAAAGAAGTTCTGAGGATGCTGGCTGTCTACTTTTTATATGCAATCCCGTTTCCAACGAAATCCTCCAAGCTATCCAAATATCCACTTGCAGATTCCACAGAAAGACTGTTTCAAAACTGCTCTGTCAATAGAAAGGTTCAACTCTGTTAGCTGCGTGCATATATCCCAAAGAAGATTCTGAGATTGCTTCTGTCTACTTTTTATGAGAAGATATTTCCCTTTTCACCGTAGGTGTCAAGGCGCTCCAAATGTCCACTTCCAGATACTACAAAAAGAGTGTTTCAAACCTACTCTGTGAAAGGGAATATTCAACTCTGTGACTTGAATGCACATATCACAAAGAAGTTTCTGAGAATGCTTCTGTCGAGATTTTCTATGAAGATATTCCCGTTTCCAACGAAATCCTGAAATCTATCCAAATATCCCCTCGCAGATTCCACAAAAAGAGTGTTTCAAAACTGCTCTGTAAAAAGAAAGGTTCAACTCTGTTAGTTGAGTACACACATCACAAACAAGTTTCACAGAATGCTTCTTTCTAGCTTGTAGGGGAAGATATTCCCTTTATCACCATGGGCCTCAAACCGTCCGAAACGTCCACTTCCATATACTACAAAAAGAGGGTTTCAAACCTGCTCTATGAAAGGCAATGTTCAACTCTGTGACTTGAATACAGACATCGCAGAGCAGTTCCTGAGAATGCTTCTGTCTAGATTTTATAGGAAGATATTCCCGTTTCCAACGAAATCTTCACAGCTATCCAAATATCCACTTGCAGATTCTACAAAAAGAGTGTATTCAAACTGCTCTGTCAAAAGGAAGGTTCTTCTCTGTTAGTTGAGTACATACGTCATAAAGGAGTTTCTGAGAATGTTTCTGTCTAGTGGTTATGGGAAGATATTTGCTTTTTCCCCGTAGGACTCAGAGCGCTCCAAATATCCACTTGCACATACTACAAAAAGAGTGCTTCAAAGCTGCTCTCTGAAACGGAATGTTCAACTCTATGAGTTGAATGCAAACATCACAAAGACGTTTCTGAGAATGCTTCTGTCTAGATTTGATATGAAGATATTCCCGTTTCCAACGAAATCTTCATATCTATCCAAATGTCCACTTGCAGATTCAACAAAAAGTGTTTTTCAAAACTGCTGTATCAAAAGAAAGATCCACGTCTGTTAGCTGATGCTCTATCAAAAGAGAGATCCACCTCTGTTAGCTGAGTTCACACATCACAAACAAGTTTATGAAAATGCTTCTGTCTAGTTTATATTTGAAGATATTTCCTTTCTCACCATAGACCTGAAAGCTGTCCTAATGTTCACTTCCAGATACTACAGAAAGAGTGTTTCAAAACTGCTGTACGAAAGGGAATGTTCAACTCTGTGACTTGAATGCACACATCACAAAGAAGTTTCTGAGGATGCTGCAGTCTACTTTTTATACGTAATCCCGTTTCCAAAGAAAACCTCCAAGCTATCCAAATATCCACTTGCAGATTCCACAGAAAGACTGTTTCAAAACTGCTCTGTCAATAGAAAGGTTCAACTCTGTTAACTCCGTGCATATATCCCAAAGAAGATTCTGAGATTGCTTTCTGTCTAGTTTTTATGGGAAGATATTTCCCTTTTCACCGTAGGCGTCAAGGCGCTTCAAATGTCCACTTCCAGATACTACAAAAAGAGTGTTTCAAACCTACTCTGTGAAAGGGAATATTCAACTCTGTGACTTGAATGCACATATCACAAAGAAGTTTCTGAGAATGCTTCTGTCTAGATTTTATAGGAAGATATTCCCGTTTCCAATGAAACCTTCACAGCTATCCAAATATCCACTTGCAGATTCTACAAAAAGAGTGTTTCAAAACTGCTCTGTAAAAAGAAAGGTTCAACTGTGTTAGTTGAGTACACACATCACAAACAAGTTTCACAGAATGCTTCTTTCTAGCTTGTTGGGTAAGATATTCCCTTTATCACCATGGGCCTCCAACCGTCCGAAACATCCACTTCCATATACTACAAAAAGAGCGTTTCAAACCGGCTCTATGAAAGGCAATGTTCAACTCTGTGACTTGAATGCAGACATCACAGAGCAGTTTCTGAGAATGCTTCTGTCTGGATTTTATAGGAAGATATTCCCGTTTCCAACGAAATCTTCACAGCTATCCAAATATCCACTTGCAGATTCTACAAAAAGAGTGTATCAAAACTGCTCTGTCAAAAGGAAGGTTCTTCTCTGTTAGGTGAGTGCATACGTCATAAAGGAGTTTCTGAGAATGTTTCTGTCTAGTGGTTATGGGAAGATATTTGCTTTTTCACCTTAGGCCTCAGAGCGCTCCAAATATCCACTTGCACATACTACAAAAAGAGTGCTTCAAAGCTGCTCTCTGAAACGGAATGTTCAACTCTATGAGTTGAATGCAAACATCACAAAGACGTTTCTGGGAATGCTTCTGTCTAGATTTGATATGAAGATATTCCCGTTTCCAACGAAATCTTCAAATCTATCCAAATGTCCACTTGCAGATTCAACAATAAGTGTTTTTCAGAACTGCTCTATCAAAAGAAAGATCCACCTCTGTTAGCTGAGTTCACACATCACAAACAAGTTTATGAAAATGCTTCTGTCTAGTTTTTATTTGAAGATATTTCCTTTCTCACCATAGACCTGAAAGCTGTCCTAATGTTCACTTCCAGATACTACAGAAAGAGTGTTTCAAAACTACTGTACGAAAGGGAATGTTCAACACTGTGACTTGAAAGCACACATCACAAAGAAGTTTCTGAGGATGCTGCTGTCTACTTTTTATACGTAATCGCGTTTCCAAAGAAATCCTCGAAGCTATCCAAATATCCACTTGCAGATTCCACAGAAAGACTGTTTCAAAACTGCTCTGTCAATAGAAAGGTTCAACTCTATTAGCTGCGTGCATATATCCCAAAGAAGATTCTGAGATTGCTTCTGTCTAGTTTTTATGGGAAGATATTTCCCTTTTCACCGTAGGCATCAAGGCGCTCCGAATGTCCACTTCCAGATACTACAAAAAGAGTGTTTCAAACCTACTCTGTGAAAGGGAATATTCAACTCTGTGACTTGAATGCACATATCACAAGGAAGTTTCTGAGAATGCTTCTGTCGAGATTTTGTATGAAGATATTCCCGTTTCCAACGAAATTCTGAAATCTATCCAAATATCCCCTCGCAGATTCTACAAAAAGAGTGTTTCAAAACTGCTCTGTGAAAAGAAAGGTTCAACTCTCTTAGTTGAGTACACACATCACAAACAAGTTTCACAGAATGCTTCTTTCTAGCTTGTAGGGGAAGATATTCCCTTTATCACCATGGGCCTCAAACCATCCGAAACGTCCACTTCCATATACTACAAAAAGAGCGTTTCAAACCTGCTCTAGGAAAAGCAATGTTCAACTCTGTGACTTGAATGCAGACATCACAGAGCAGTTTCTGAGAATGCTTCTGTCTAGGTTTTATAGGAAGATATTCCCGTTTCCAACGAAATCTTCACAGCTATCCAAATATCCACTTGCAGATTCTACAAAAAGAGTGTATCAAAACTGCTCTGTCAAAAGGAAGGTTCTTCTCTGTTAGGTGAGTGCACACGTCATAAAGGAGTTTCTGAGAATGTTTCTGTCTAGTGGTTATGGGAAGATATTTGCTTTTTCACCGTAGGTCTCAGAGCGCTCCAAATATCCACTTGCACATACTACAAAAAGAGTGCTTCAAAGCTGCTCTCTGAAACGGAATGTTCAACTCTATGACTTGAATGCAAACATCACAAAGACGTTTCTGAGAATGCTTCTGTCTAGATTTGATATGAAGATATTCCCGTTTCCAAGGAAATCTTCAAAACTATCCAAATGTCCACTTGCAGATTCAACAAAAAGTGTTTTTCAGAACTGCTCTATCAAAAGAAAGATCCACCGCTGTTTGCTGAGTTCACACATCACAAACAAGTTTATGAGAATGCTTCTGTCTAGTTTTTATTTGAAGATATTTCCTTTCTCACCATAGACCTGAAAGCTGTCCTAATGTTCACTTCCAGTTACTACAGAGTGTTTCAAAACTGCTGTACGAAAGGGAATGTTCAACTCTGTGACTTGAATGCACACATCACAAAGAAGTTTCTGAGGATGCTGCTGTCTACTTTTTTATACGTAATCCCGTTTCCAACGAAATCCTCCAAGCTATCCAAATATCCACTTGCAGATTCCACAGAAAGACTGTTTCAAAACTGCTCTGTCAATAGAAAGGTTCAACTCTGTTAGCTGCGTGCATATATCCCAAAGAAGATTCTGAGATTGCTTCTGTCTACTTTTTATGAGAAGATATTTCCCTTTTCACCTTAGGCGTCAAGGCGCTCCAAATGTCCACTTCCAGATACTACAAAAAGAGTGTTTCAAACCTACTCTGTGAAAGGGAATATTGAACTCTGTGACTTGAATGCACATATCACAAAGAAGCTTCTGAGAATGCTTCTGTCAAGATTTTATGTGAAGATATTCCCGTTTCCAACTAAATCCTGAAATGTATCCAAATATCCCCTCGCAGATTCTACAAAAAGAGTGTTTCAAAACTGCTCTGTAAAAAGAAAGGTTCAACTCTGTTAGTTGAGTACACACATCACAAACAAGTTTCACAGAATGCTTCTTTCTAGCTTGTAGGGGAAGATATTCCCTTTATCACCATGGGCCTCAAACCGTCCGAAACGTCCACTTCCATATACTACAAAAAGAGCATTTCAAACCTGCTCTATGAAAGACAATGTTGAACTCTGTGACTTGAATGCAGACATCACAGAGCAGTTTCTGAGAATGCTTCTGTCTAGATTTTATAGGAAGATATTCCCGTTTCCAACGAAATCTTCACAGCTATCCAAATATCCACTTGCAGATTCTACAAAAAGAGTGTATCAAAAATGCTCTGTCAAAAGGAAGGTTCTTCTCTGTTAGGTGAGTGCATACGTCATAAAGGAGTTTCTGAGAATGTTTCTGTGTAGTGGTTATGGGAAGATATTTGCTTTTTCACCGAAGGCCTCAGAGCGCTCCAAATATCCACTTGCACATACTACAAAATGAGTGCCTCAAAGCTGCTCTCTGAAACGGAATGTTCAACTCTATGAGTTGAATGCAAACATCACAAAGACGTTTCCGAGAATGCTTCTGTCTAGATTTGATATGAAGATATTCCCGTTTCCAACGAAATCTTCATATCTATAAAATGTCCACTTGCAGATTCAACAAAAAGTGTTTTTCAAAACTGCTGTATCAAAAGAAAGATCCACGTCTCTTAGCTGAGTTCACACATCACAAACAAGTTTATGAGAATGCTTCTGTCTAGTTTTTATTTGAAGATATTTCCTTTCTCACCATAGAGCTGAAAGCTGTCCTAATGTTCACTTCCAGATACCACAGAAAGAGTGTTTCAAAACTGCTGTACGAAAGGGAATGTTCAACTCTGTGACTTGAATGCACACATCACAAAGAAGTTTCTGAGGATGCTGCTGTCTACTTTTTATACGTAATCCCGTTTCCAACGAAATCCTCCAAGCTATCAAAATATGCACTTGCAGATTCCACAGAAAGACTGTTTCAAAACTGCTCTGTCAATAGAAAGGTTCAACTCTGTTAGCTGCGTGCATATATCCCAAAGAAGATTCTGAGATTGCTTCTGTCTAGTTTTTATGGGAAGATATTTCCCTTTTCACCGTAGGTGTCAAGGCGCTCCAAATGTCCACTTCCAGATACTACAAAAAGAGTGTTTCAAACCTACTCTGTGAAAGGGAATATTCAACTCTGTGACTTGAATGCACGTATCACAAGGAAGTTTCTGAGAATGCTTCTGTCGAGATTTTATATGAAGATATTCCCGTTTCCAACGAAATGCTGAAATGTATCCAAATATCCCCTCGCAGATTCTACAAAAAGAGTGTTTCAAAACTACTCTGTAAAAAGAAAGGTTCAACTCTGTTAGTTGAGTACACACATCACAAACAAGTTTCACAGAATGCTTCTTTCTAGCTTGTAGGGGAAGATATTTCCTTTATCACCATGGGCCTCAAACCGTCCGAAACGTCCACTTCCATATACTAAAAAAAGAGTGCTTGAAACCTGCTCTATGAAAGGCAATGTTCAACTCTGTGACTTGAATGCAGACATCACAGAGCAGTTTCTGAGAATGCTTCTGTCCAGACTTTATAGGAAGATATTCCCGATTCCAACGAAATCTTCACAGCTATCCAAATATCCACTTGCAGATACTACAAAAAGAGTGTATCAAAAGTGCTCTGTCAAAAGGAAAGTTCTTCTCTGCTAGTTGAGTACATACGCCATAAAGTAGTTTCTGAGAATGTTTCTGTCTAGTGGTTATGGGAAGATATTTGCTTTTTCACCGTAGGCCTCAGAGCGCTCCAAATATCCACTTGCACATACTACAAAAAGAGTGCTTCAAAGCTGCTCTACTGAAACGGAATGTTCAACTCTATGAGTTGAATGCAAACATCACAAAGACGTTTCTGAGAATGCTTCTGTCTAGATTTGATATGAAGATGTTCCCGTTACCAACGAAATCTTCAAATCTATCCAAATGTCCACTTGCAGATTCAACAAAAAGTGTTTTTCAGAACTGCTCTTTCAAAAGAAAGATCCACCTCTGTTAGCTGAGTTCACACATCACAAACAAGTTTATGAGAATGCTTCTGTCTAGTTTTTATTTGAAGATATTTCCTTTCTCACCATAGACCTGAAAGCTGTCCTAATGTTCACTTCCAGATACTACATAAAGAGTGTTTCAACACTGCTGTATGAAAGGGAATGTTCAACTCTGTGACTTGAATGCACACATCACAAAGAAGTTTCTGAGGATGCTGCTGTCTACTTTTTATACGTAATCCCGTTTCCAACGAAATCCTCCAAGCTATCCAAATATCCACTTGCAGATTCCACAGAAAGACTGTTTCAAAACTGCTCTGTCAATAGAAAGGTTCAACTCTGTTAGCTTCGTGCATATATCCCAAAGAAGATTCTGAGATTGCTTCTGTCTAGTTTTTATGGGAAGATATTTCCCTCTTCACCGTAGGCGTCAAGGCGCTCCAAATGTCCACTTCCAGATAGTACAAAAAGAGTGTTTCAAACCTACTCTATGAAAGGGAATATTCAACTCTGTGACTAGAATGCACATATCACAAAGAAGTTTCTGAGAATGCATCTGTCGAGATTTTATATGAAGATATTCCCGTTTCCAACGAAATCCTGAAATCTATCCAAATATCCCCTCGCAGATTCTACAAAAAGAGTGTTTCAAAACTGCTCTGTGAAAAGAAAGGTTCAACTCTCTTACTTGAGTACACACATCACAAACAAGTTTCACAGAATGCTTCTTTCTAGCTTGTAGGGGAAGATATTCCCTTTATCACCATGGGCCTCAAACCGTCTGAAACGTCCACTTCCATATACTACAAAAAGATCATTTCAAACCTGCTCTATGAAAGGCAATGTTCAACTCTGTGACTTGAATGCAGACATCACAGAGCAGTTTCTGAGAATGCTTCTGTCTAGATTTTATAGGAAGATATTCCCGTTTCCAACGAAATCTTCACAGCTATCCAAATATACACTTGCAGATTCTACAAAAAGAGTGTATCAAAGCTGCTCTGTCAAAAGGAAGGTTCTTCTCTGTTAGGTGAGTGCATACGTCATAAAGCAGTTTCTGAGAATGTTTCTGTCTAGTGGTTATGGGAAGATATTTGCTTTTTCACCGTAGGCCTCAGAGCGCTCCAAATATCCACTTGCACATACTACAAAAAGAGGGCCTCAAAGCTGCTCTTTGAAACGGAATGTTCAACTCTATGAGTTGAATGCAAACATCACAAAGACGTTTCTGAGAATGCTTCTGTCTAGATTTGATATGAAGATATTCCCGTTTCCAACGAAATCTTCAAATCTATCCAAATGTCCACTTGCAGATTCAACAAAAATTGTTTTTCAGAACTGCTCTATCAAAAGAAAGATCCACGTGTGTTAGCTGAGTTCACACATCACAAACAAGTTTATGAGAATGCTTCTGTCTAGTTTTTATTTGAAGATATTTCCTTTCTCACCATAGACCTGAAAGCTGTCCTAATGTTCACTTCCAGATACTACAGAAAGAGTGTTTCAAAACTGCTGTACGAAAGGGAATGTTCAACTCTGTGACTTGAATGCACACATCACAAAGTAGTTTCTGAGGATGCTGCTGTCTACTTTTTATACGTAATCCCGTTTCCAACGAAATCCTCCAAGCTATCCAAATATCCACTTGCAGATTCCACAGAAAGACTGTTTCAAAACTGCTCTGTCAATAGAAAGGTTCAACTCTGTTAGCTGCGTGCATATATCCTAAAGAGGATTCTGAGCTTGCTTCTGTCTAGTTTTTATGGGAAGATATTTCCCTTTTCACCATAGGTGTCAAGGCGCTCCAAATGTCCACTTCCAGATACTACAAAAAGAGTGTTTCAAACCTACTCTGTGAAAGGGAATATTCAACTCTGTGACTTGAATGCAGACATCACAGAGCAGTTTCTGAGAATGCTTCTGTCGAGATTTTATATGAAGATATTCCCCTTTCCAACGAAATCCTGAAATCTATCCAAATATCCCCTCGCAGATTCTACAAAAAGAGTGTTTCAAAACTGCTCTGTAAAAATAAAAGGTTCAACTCTGTTAGTTGAGTACACACATCACAAACAAGTTTCACAGAATGCTTCTTTCTAGCTTGTAGGGGAAGATATTCCCTTTATCACCATGGGCCTCAAGCCGTCCGAAACGTCCACTTCCATATACTACAAAAAGAGCGTTTCAAACCTGCTCTAGGAAAGGCAATGTTCAACTCTGTGACTTGAATGCAGACATCACAGAGCAGTTTCTGAGAATGCTTCTGTCTAGATTTTATAGGAAGATATTCCCGTTTCCAACGAAATCTTCACAGCTATCCAAATATCCACTTGCAGATTCTGCAAAAAGAGTGTATCAAAACTGCTCAGTCAAAAGGAAGGTTCTTCTCTGTTAGGAGAGTGCATACGTCATAAAGGAGTTTCTGAGAATGTTTCTGTCTAGTGGTTATGGGAAGATATTTGCTTTTTCACCGTAGGCCTCAGGGCGCTCCAAATGTCCACTTGCACATACTACAAAAAGAGTGCTTCAAAGCTGCTCTCTGAAACGGAATGTTCAACTCTATGAGTTGAATGCAAACATCACAAAGACGTTTCTGAGAATGCTTCTGTCTAGATTTGATATGAAGATATTCCCGTTTCCAACGAAATCTTCAAATCTATCCAAATGTCCACTTGCAGATTCAACAAAAAGTGTTTTTCAGTACTGCTCTATCAAAAGAAAGATCCACCTCTGTTAGCTGAGTTCACACATCACAAACAAGTTTATGAGAATGCTTCTGTCTAGTTTTTATTTGAAGATATTTCCTTTCTCACCATAGAGCTGAAAGCTGTCCTAATGTTCACTTCCAGATACTACAGAAAGAGTGTTTCAAAACTGCTGTACGAAAGGGAATGTTCAAATCTGTGACTTGAATGCACACATCACAAAGAAGATTCTGAGGATGCTGCTGTCTTCTTTTTATACGTAATCCCGTTTCCAACGAAATCCTCCAAGCTCTCCAAGTATCCACTTGCAGATTCCACAGAAAGACTGTTTCAAAACTGCTCTGTCAATAGAAAGGTTCAACTCTGTTAGCTGCGTGCATATATCCCAAAGAAGATTCTGAGATTGCTTCTGTCTAGTTTTTATGGGAAGATATTTCCCTATTCACCGTAGGTGTCAAGGCGCTCCAAATGTCCACTTCCAGATACTACAAAAAGAGTGTTTCAAACCTACTCTGTGAAAGGGAATATTCAACTCTGTGACTTGAATGCACATATCACAAGGAAGTTTCTGAGAATGCTAATGTCGAGATTTTATATGAAGATATTCCCGTTTCCAACGAAATCCTGAAATCTATCCAAATATCCCCTCGCAGATTCTACAAAAAGAGTGTTTCAAAACTGCTCTGTGAAAAGAAAGGTTCAACTCTGTTAGTTGAGTACACACATAACAAACAAGTTTCACAGAATGCTTCTTTCTAGCTTGTAGGGGAAGATATTCCCTTTATCACCATGGGCCTCCAACCGTCCGAAACATCCACTTCCATATACTACAAAAAGAGCGTTTCAAACCTGCTCTATGAAAGGCAATGTTCAACTCTGTGACTTGAATGCAGAAATCACAGAGCAGTTTCTGAGAATGCTTCTGTCTAGATTTTATAGGAAGATATTCCCGTTTCCAACGAAATCTTCACAGGTATCCAAATATCCACTTGCAGATTCTACAAAAAGAGTGTATCAAAACTGCTCTGTCAAAAGGAAGGTTCTTCTCTGTTAGGTGAGTGCATACGTCATAAAGGAATTTCTGAGAATGTTTCTTTCTAGTGGTTATGGGAAGATATTTGCTTTTTCACCGTAGGCCTCACAGCGCTCCAAATATCCACTTGCACATACTACAAAAAGAGTGCTTCAAAGCTGCTCTCTGAAACGGAATGTTCAACTCTATGAGTTGAATGCAAACATCACAAAGACGTTTCCGAGAATGCTTCTGTCTAGATTTGATATGAAGATATTCCCGTTTCCAACGAAATCTTCAAATCTATCCAAATGTCCACTTGCAGATTCAACAAAGTGTTTTTCAGAACTGCTCTATCAAAAGAAAGATCCACCTCTGTTAGCTGAGTTCACACATCACAAACAAGTTTATGAGAATGCTTCTGTCTAGTTTTTATTTGAAGATATTTCCTTTCTCACCATAGACCTGAAAGCTGTCCTAATGTTCACTTCCAGATACTACAGAAAGAGTGTTTCAAAACTGCTGTACAAAAGGGAATGTTCAACTCTGTGACTTGAATGCACACATCACAAAGAAGTTTCTGAGGATGCTGCTGTCTACTTTTTATACGTAATCCTGTTTCCAACGAAATCCTCCAAGCTATCCAAATATCCACTTGCAGATTCCACAGAAAGACTGTTTCAAACCTGCTCTGTCAATAGAAAGGTTCAACTCTGTTAGCTACGTGCATATATCCCAAAGAAGATTCTGAGATTGCTTCTGTCTACTTTTTATGAGAAGATATTTCCCTTTTCACCGTAGGCGTCAAGGCGCTCCAAATGTCCACTTCCAGATACTACAAAAAGAGTGTTTCAAACCTACTCTGTAAAAGGGAATATTCAACTCTGTGACTTGAATGCACATATCACAAAGAAGTTTCTGAGAATGCTTCTGTCGAGATTTTATATGAAGATATTCCCGTTTCCAACGAAATCCTGAAATCTATCGAAATATCCCCTCGCAGATTCTACAAAAAGAGTGTTTCAAAACTGCTCTGTAAAAAGAAAGGTTCAACTCTGTTAGTTGAGTACACACATCACAAACTAGTTTCACAGAATGCTTCTTTCTAGCTTGTAGGGGAAGATATTCCCTTTATCACCATGGGCCTCAAACCGTCCGAAACGTCCACTTCCATATGCTACAAAAAGAGCATTTCAAACCTGCTCTAGGAAAGGCAATGTTCAACTCTGTGACTTGAATGCAGACATCACAGAGCTGTTTCTGAGAATGCTTCTGTCTAGATTTCATAGGAAGATATTTCCGTTTCCAACGAAACCTTCACAGCTATCCAAATATCCACTTGCAGATTCTACAAAAAGAGTGTATCAAAACTGCTCTGTCAAAAGGAAGGTTCTTCTCTGTTAGGTGAGTGCATACGTCATAAAGGAGTTTCTGAGAATGTTTCTGTCTACTGGTTATGGGAAGATATTTGCTTTTTCACCGTAGGCCTCAGAGCGCTCCAAATATCCACTTGCACATGCTACAAAAAGAGTGCTTCAAAGCTGCTCTCTGAAACGGAATGTTCAACTCTATGAGTTGAATGCAAACATCACAAAGACGTTTCTGAGAATGCTTCTGTCTAGATTTGATATGAAGATATTCCCGTTTCCAACGAAATCTTCAAATCTATCCAAATGTCCACTTGCAGATTCAACAAAAAGTGTTTTTCAGAACTGCTCTATCAAAAGAAAGATCCACCTCTGTTAGCTGAGTTCGCACATCACAAACAAGTTTATGAGAATGCTTCTGTCTAGTTTTTATTTGAAGATATTTCCTTTCTCACCATAGACCTGAAAGCTGTCTTAATGTTCACTTCCAGTTACTACAGAAAGAGTGTTTCAAAACTGCTGTACGAAAGGGAATGTTCAACTCTGTGACTTGAATGCACACATCACAAAGAAGTTTCTGAGGATGTTGCTGTCTACTTTTTATACGTAATCCCGTTTCCAACGAAATCCTCCAAGCTATCCAAATATCCACTTGCAGATTACACAGAAAGACTGTTTCAAAACTGCTCTGTCAATAGAAAGGTTCAACTCTGTTAGCTGCGTGCATATATCCCAAAGAAGATTCTGAGATTGCTTCTGTCTAGTTTTTATGGGAAGATATTTCCCTTTTCACCGTAGGCGTCAAGGCGCTCCAAATGTCCACTTCCAGATACTACAAAAAGAGTGTTTCATACCTACTCTATGAAAGGGAATATTCAACTCTGTGACTTGAATGCACATATCACAAGGAAGTTTCTGAGAATGCTTCTGTCGAGATTTTATATGAAGATATTCCCGTTTCCAACGAAATCCTGAAATGTATCCAAATATCCCCTCGCAGATTCTACAAAAAGAGTGTTTCAAAACTGCTCTGTAAAAAGAAAGGTTCAACTCTGTTAGTTGAGTGCACACATCACAAACAAGTTTCACAGAATGCTTCTTTCTAGCTTGTAGAGGAAGATATTCCCTTTATCACCATGGGCCTCCAACCGTCCGAAACATCCACTTCCATATACTACAAAAAGAGCGTTTCAAACCTGCTCTATGAAAGGCAATGTTCAACTCTGTGACTTGAATGCAGACATCACAGAGCAGTTTCTGAGAATGCTTCTGTCTAGATTTTATAGGAAGATATTCCCGTTTCCAACGAAATCTTCACAGCTATCCAAATATCCACTTGCAGTTTCTACAAAAAGAGTGTATCAAAACTGCTCTGTCAAAAGGAAGGTTCTTCTCTGTTAGTTGAGTACATACGTCATAAAGGAGTTTCTGAGAATGTATCTGTCTAGTGGTTATGGGAAGATATTTGCTTTTTCACCATAGGCCTCAGAGCGCTCCAAATATCCACTTGCACATACTACAAAAAGAGTGCCTCACAGCTGCTCTCTGAAACGGAATGTTCAACTCTATGAGTTGAATGCAAACATCGCAAAGACGTTTCTGAGAATGCTTGTCTGTCTAGATTTGATATGAAGATATTCCCGTTTCCAACGAAATCTTCAAATCTATCCAAATGTCCACTTGCAGATTCAACAAAAAGTGTTTTTCAGAACTGCTCTATCAAAAGAAAGATCCACCTCTGTTAGCTGAGTTCACACATCAGAAACAAGTTTATGAGAATGCTTCTGTCTAGTTTTTATTTGAAGATATTTCCTTTCTCACAATAGACCTGAAAGCTGTCCTAATGTTCACTTCCAGATACTACAGAAAGAGTGTTTCAAAACTGCTGTACGAAAGGGAATGTTCAACACTGTGACTTGAATGCACACATCACAAAGAAGTTTCTGAGGATGCTGCTGTCTACTTTTTATGCGTAATCCCGTTTCCAACGAAATCCTCCAAGCTATCCAAATATCCACTTGCAGATTCCACAGAAAGACTGTTTCAAAACTGCTCTGTCAATAGAAAGGTTCAACTCTGTTAGCTGCGTGCATATATCCCAAAGTAGATTCTGAGATTGCTTCTGTCTAGTTTTTGTGGGAAGATATTTCCCTTTTCACCGTAGGGGTCAAGGCGCTCCAAATGTCCACTTCCAGATACTACAAAAAGAGTGTTTCAAACCTACTCTGTGAAAGGGAATATTCAACTCTGTGACTTGAATGCACATATCACAAAGAAGTTTCTGAGAATGCTTCTGTCGAGATTTTATATGAAGATATTCCCGTTTCCAACGAAATCCTGAAATGTACCCAAATATCCCCTCGCAGATTCTACAAAAAGAGTGTTTCAAAACTGCTCTGTAAAAAGAAAGGTTCAACTCTGTTAGTTGAGTACACACATCACAAATAAGTTTCACACAATGCTTCTTTCTAGCTTGTAGGGGAAGATATTCCCTTTATCACCATGGGCCTCAAACCGTCCGAAACGTCCACTTCCATATACTACAAAAAGGGCGTTTCAAACCTGCTCTATGAAAGGCAATGTTCAACTCTGTGACTTGAATGCAGACATCACAGAGCAGTTTCTGAGAATGCTTCTGTCTAGATTTTATAGGAAGATATTTCCGTTTCCAACGAAATCTTCACAGCTATCCAAATATCCACTTGCAGATTCTACAAAAAGAGTGTATCAAAACTGCTCTGTCAAAAGGAAGGTTCTTCTCTGTTAGTTGAGTACATACGTCATAAAGGAGTTTCTGAGAATGTTTCTGTCTAGTGGTTATGGGAAGATATTTGCTTTTTCACCTTAGGCCTCAGATCGCTCCAAATATCCACTTGCACATACTACAAAAAGAGTGCTTCAAAGCGGCTCTCTGAACCGCAATGTTCAATTCTATGAGTTGAATGCAAACATCACAAAGACGTTTCTGAGAATGCTTCTGTCTAGATTTGATATGAAGATATTCCCGTTTCCAACGAAATCTTCAAATCTATCCAAATGTCCACTTGCAGATTCAACAAAAAGTGTTTTTCAGAACTGCTCTATCAAAAGGAAGATCCACCTCTGTTAGCTGAGTTCAGACATCACAAACAAGTTTATGAGAATGCTTCTGTCTAGTTTTTATTTGAAGATATTTCCTTTCTCACCATAGACCTGAAAGCTGTCCTAATGTTCACTTCCAGATACTACAGAAAGAGTGTTTCAAAACTGCTGTACGAAAGGGAATGTTCAACTCTGTGACTTGAATGCACACATCACAAAGAAGATTCTGAGGATGCTGCTGTCTACTTTTTATACGTAATCCCGTTTCCAACGAAATCCTCCAAGCTATCCAAATATCCACTTGCAGATTCCACAGAAAGACTGTTTCAAAACTGCTCTGTCAATAGAAAGGTACAACTCTGTTAGCTGCGTGCATATATCCCAAAGAAGATTCTGAGATTGCTTCTGTCTAGTTTTGATGGGAAGATATTTCCCTTTTCACCGTAGGCGTCAAGGCGCTCCAAATGTCCACTTCCAGATACTACAAAAAGAGTGTTTCAAACCTACTCTGTGAAAGGGAATATTCAACTCTGTGACTTGAATGCACATATCGCAAGGAAGTTTCTGAGAATGCTTCTGTCGAGATTTTATATGAAGATACTCCCGTTTCCAGCGAAATCCTGAAATCTATCCAAATATCCCCTCGCAGATTCTACAAAAAGAGTGTTTCAAAACTGCTCTGTAAAAAGGAAGGTTCAACTCTGTTAGTTGAGTACACACATCAAAAACAAGTTTCACAGAATGCTTCTTTCTAGCTTGTAGGGGAAGATATTCCCTTTATCACCATCGGCCTCAAACCGTCTGAAACATCCACTTACATATACTACAAAAAGAGCGTTTCAAACCTGCTCTATGAAAGGCAATGTTCAACTCTGTGACTTGAATACAGACATCACAGAGCAGTTTCTGAGAATGCTTCTGTCTAGATTTTATAGGAAGATATTCCCGTTTCCAACGAAATCTTCACAGCTATCCAAATATCCACTTGCAGATTCTACAAAAAGAGTGTATCAAAACTGCTCTGTCAAAAGGAAGGTTCTTCTCTGTTAGTTGAGTGCATACGTCATAAAGGAGTTTCTGAGAATGTTTCTGTCTAGTGGTTATGGGAAGATATTTGCTTTTTCACCGCAGGCCTCACAGCGCTCCAAATATCCACTTGCACATACTACAAAAAGAGTGCTTCAAAGCTGCTCCCTGAAACGGAATGTTCAACTCTATGGGTTGAATGCAAACATCACAAAGACGTTTCTGAGAATGCTTCTGTCTAGATTTGATATGAAGATATTCCCGTTTCCAACGAAATCTTCAATTCTATCCAAATGTCCACTTGCAGATTCAACAAAAAGTGTTTTTCAGAACTGCTCTATCAAAAGAAAGATCCACCTCTGTTAGCTGAGTTCAGACATCACAAACAAGTTTATGAGAATGCTTCTGTCTAGTTTTTATTTGAAGATATTTCCTTTCTCACCATAGACCTGAAAGCTGTCCTAATGTTCACTTCCGGTTACTACAGAAAGAGTGTTTCAAAACTGCTGTACGAAAGGGAATGTTCAACTCTGTGACTTGAATGCACACATCACAAAGAAGTTTCTGAGGATGCTGCTGACTACTTTTTATACGTAATCCCGTTTCCAACGAAATCCTCCAAGCTATCCAAATATCCACTTGCAGATTCCACAGAAAGACTGTTTCAAAACTGCTCTGTCAATAGAAAGGTTCAACTCTGTTAGCTGCGTGCATATATCCCAAAGAAGATTCTGAGATTGCTTCTGTCTAGTTTTTATGGGAAGATATTTCCCCTTTCACCGTAGGCGTCAAGGCGCTCCAAATGTCCACTTCCAGATACTACAAAAAGAGTGTTTCAAACCTACTCTGTGAAAGGGAATATTCAACTCTGTGACTTGAATGCACATATCACAAGGAAGTTTCTGAGAATGCTTCTGTCGAGATTTTATATGAAGATATTCCCGTTTCCAACGAAATCCTGAAATGTATCCAAATATCCCCTCGCAGATTCTACAAAAAGAGTGTTTCAAAACTGCTCTGTGAAAAGAAAGGTTCAACTTTGTTAGTTGAGTACACACATCACAAACAAGTTTCACAGAATGCTTCTTTCCAGCTTGTAGGGGAAGATATTCCCTTTATCACCATGGGCTTCCAACCGTCCGAAACATCCACTTCCATATACTACAAAAAGAGCGTTTCAAACCTGCTCTATGAAAGGCAATGTTCAACTCTGTGACTTGAATGCAGACATCACAGAGCAGTTTCTGAGAATGCTTCTGTCTAGATTTTATAGGAAGCTATTCCCGTTTCCAACGAAATCTTCACAGCTATCCAAATATCCACTTGCAGATTCTACAAAAAGAGTGTATCAAAACTGCTCTGTCAAAAGGAAGGTTCTTTTCTGTTAGGTGAGTGCATACGTCATAAAGGAGTTTCTGAGAATGTTTCTGTCTAGTGGTTATGGGAAGATATTTGCTTTTTCACAGAAGGCCTCAGAGCGCTCCAAATATCCACTTGCACATACTACAAAAAGAGTGCCTCAAAGCTGCTCTCTGAAACGGAATGTTCAACTTTATGAGTTGAATGCAAACATCACAAAGACGTTTCCGAGAATGCTTCTGTCTAGATTTGATATGAAGATATTCCCGTTTCCAACGAAATCTTCAAATCTATCCAAATGTCCACTTGCAGATTCAACAAAAAGTGTTTTTCAGATCTGCTCTATCAAAAGAAAGATCCATCTCTGTTAGCTGAGTTCACACATCACAAACAAGTTTATGAGAATGCTCTGTCTAGTTTTTATTTGAAGATATTTCCTTTCTCACCATAGACCTGAAAGCTGTCCTAATGTTCACTTCCAGATACTACAGAAAGAGTGTTTCAAAACTGCTTTACGAAAGGGAATGTTCAACTACTGTGACTTGAATGCACACATCACAAAGAAGTTTCTGAGGATGCTGGCTGTCTACTTTTTATACGTAATCCCGTTTCCAACGAAATCCTCCAAGCTATCTAAATATCCACTTGCAGATTCCACAGAAAGACTGTTTCTAAACTGCTCTTTCAATAGAAAGGTTCAACTCTGTTAGCTGCGTGCATATATCCCAAAGAAGATTCTGAGATTGCTTCTGTCTCGTTTTTATGGTAAGATATTTACCTTTTCACCGTAGGTGTCAAGGCGCTCCAAATGTCCACTTCCAGATACTACAAAAAGAGTGTTTCAAACCTACTCTGTGAAAGGGAATATTCAACTCTGTGACTTGAATGCAGATATCACAAAGAAGTTTCTGAGAATGCTTCTGTCGAGATTTTATATGAAGATATTCCCGTTTCCAACGAAATCCTGAAATCTATCCAAATATCCCCTCGCAGATTCTACAAAAAGAGTGTTTCAAAACTGCTCTGTAAAAAGAAAGGTTCAACTCTGTTAGTTGAGTACACACATCACAAACAAGTTTCACAGAATTGTTCTTTCTAGCTTGTAGGGGAAGATATTCCCTTTATCACCATGGGCCTGAAACCGTCCGAAACGTCCACTTCCATATACTACAAAAAGAGTGTTTCAAACCTGCTCTATGAAAGGCAATGTTCAACTCTGTGACTTGAATGCAGACATCACAGAGCAGTTTCTGAGAATGCTTCTGTCTAGATTTTATAGGAAGATATTACCGTTTCCAACGAAATCTTCACAGCTATCCCAATATCCACTTGCAGATTCTACAAAAAGAGTGTATCAAAACTGCTCTGTCAAAAGGAAGGTTCTTCTCTGTTAGGTGAGTGCATACGTCATAAAGGAGTTTCTGAGAATGTTTCTGTCTAGTGGTTATGGGAAGATATTTGCTTTTTCACCGAAGGCCTCAGAGCGCTCCCAATATCCACTTGCACATACTACAAAATGAGTGCCTCAAAGCTGCTCTCTGAAACGGAATGTTCAAATCTATGAGTTGAATGCAAACATCACAAAGACGTTTCCGAGAATGCTTCTGTCTAGATTTGATATGAAGATATTCCCGTTTCCAACGAAATCTTCAAATCTATCCAAATGTCCTCTTGCAGATTCAACAAAAAGTGTTTTTCAGAACTGCTCTATCAAAAGAAAGATCCACGTGTGTTAGCTGAGTTCACACATCACGAACAAGTTTATGAGAATTCTTCTGTCTAGTTTTTATTTGAAGATATTGCCTTTCTCACCATAGACCTGAAAGCTGTCCTAATGTTCACTTCCAGATACTACAGAAAGAGTGTTTCAAAACTGCTGTACGAAAGGGAATGTTCAACTCTGTGACTTGAATGCACACATCACAAAGAAGTTCCTGAGGATGCTGCTGTCTACTTTTTATACGTAATCCCGTTTCCAACGAAATCCTCCAAGCTATCCAAATATCCACTTGCAGATTCCACAGAAAGAGTGTTTCAAAACAGCTCTGTCAATAGAAAGGTTCAACTCTGTTAGCTGCGTGCATATATCCCAAAGAAGATTCTGAGATTGCTTCTGTCTACTTTTTATGAGAAGATATTTCCCTTTTCACCGTAGGCGTCAAGGCGCTCCAAATGTCCACTTCAGATACTACAAAAAGAGTGTTTCAAACCTACTCTGTGAAAGGGAATATTGAACTCTGTGACTTGAATGCACATATCACAAAGAAGTTTCAGAGAATGCTTCTGTCGAGATTTTATATGAAGATATTCCCGTTTCCAACGAAATGCTGAAATCTATCCAAATATCCCCTCGCAGATTCTACAAAAAGAGTGTTTCAAAACTGCTCTGTGAAAAGAAAGGTTCAACTCTGTTAGTTGAGTACACACATCACAAACTAGTTTCACAGAATGCTTCTTTCTAGCTTGCAGGGGAAGATATTCCCTTTATCACCATGGGCCTCAAACCGTCTGAAACGTCCACTTCCATATACTACAAAAAGAGCATTTCAAACCTGCTCTATGAAAGCCAATGTTCAACTCTGTGACTTGAATGCACACATCACAGAGCAGTTTCTGAGAATGCTTCTGTCTAGGTTTTATAGGAAGATATTCCCGTTTCCAACGAAATCTTCACAGCTATCCAAATATCCACTTGCAGATTCTACAAAAAGAGTGTATCAAAACTGCTCTGTCAAAAGGAAGGTTCTTCTCTGTTAGGTGAGTGCATACGTCATAAAGGAGTTTCTGAGAATGTTTCTGTCTAGTGGTTATGGGAAGATATTTGCTTTTTCACCGTAGGCCTCAGAGCGCTCCAAATATCCACTTGCACATACTACAAAAAGAGTGCCTCAAAGCTGCTCTCTGAAACGGAATGTTCAACTCTATGAGTTGAATGCAAACATCGCAAAGACGTTTCTGAGAATGCTTATCTGTCTAGATTTGATATGACGATATTCCCGTTTCCAACGAAATCTTCAAATCTATCCAAATGTCCACTTGCAGATTCAACAAAACGTGTTTTTCAGAACTGCTCTATCAAAAGAAAGATCCACGTCTGTTAGCTGAGTTCAGACATCACAAACAAGTTTATGAGAATGCTTCTGTCTAGTTTTTATTTGAAGATATTTCCTTTCTCACCATAGACCTGAAAGCTGTCCTAATGTTCACTTCCAGATACTACAGAAAGAGTGTTTCAAAACTGCTGTACGAAAGGGAATGTTCAACTGTGTGACTTGAATGCACACATCACAAAGAAGTTTCTGAGGAGGCTGCTGTCTACTTTTTATACGTAATCCCGTTTCCAACGAAATCCTCCAAGCTATCCAAATATCCACTTGCAGATTCCACAGAAAGACTGTTTCAAAACTGCTCTGTCAATAGAAAGGTTCAACTCTGTTACCTGCGTGCATATATCCCGAAGAAGATTCTGAGATTGCTTCTGTCTACTTTTTATGAGAAGATATTTCCCTTTTCACCGTAGGCGTCAAGGCGCTCAAAATGTCCACTTCCAGATACTACAAAAAGAGTGTTTCAAACCTACTCTGTGAAAGGGAATATTCAACTCTGTGACTTGAATGCAGATATCACAAAGAAGTTTACTGAGAATGCTTTCTGTCGAGATTTTATATGAAGATATTCCCGTTTCCAACGGAATCCTGAAATCTATCCAAATATCCCCTCGCAGATTCTACAAAAAGAGTGTTTCAAAACTGCTATGTAAAAAGAAAGGTTCAACTCTGTTAGTTGAGTACACACATCACAAACAAGTTTCACAGAATGCTTCTTTCTAGCTTGTAGGGGAAGATATTCCCTTTATCACCATGGGCCTCCAACCGTCCGAAACATCCACTTCCATACACTACAAAAAGAGCGTTTCAAACCTGCTCTATGAAAGGCAATGTTCAACTCTGTGACTTGAATGCAGACATCACAGAGCAGTTTCTGAGAATGCTTCTGTCTAGATTTTATAGGAAGATATTCCCGTTTCCAACGAAATCTTCACAGCTATCCAAATATCCACTTGCAGATTCTGCAAAAAGAGTGTATAAAAACTGCTCAGTCAAAAGGAAGGTTCTTCTCTGTTAGGTGAGTGCATACGTCATAAAGGAGTTTCTGAGAATGTTTCCGTCTAGTGGTTATGGGAAGATATTTGCTTTTTCACCGTAGGCCTCAGAGCGCTCCAAATATCCACTTGCACATACTACAAAAAGAGTGCCTCAAAGCTGCTCTCTGAAACGGAATGTTCAACTCTATGAGTTGAATGCAAACATCGCAAAGACGTTTCTGAGAATGCTTCTGTCTAGATTTGACATGAAGATATTCCCGTTTCCAACGAAATCTTCAAATCTATCCAAATGTCCACTTGCAGATTCAACAAAAAGTGTTTTTCAGAACTGCTCTATCAAAAGAAAGATCCACCTCTGTTAGCTGAGTTCACACATCACAAACAAGTTTATGAGAATGCTTTTGTCTAGTTTTTATTTGAAGATATTTCCTTTCTCACCGTAGACCTGAAAGCTGTCCTAATGTTCACTTCCAGTTACTACAGAAAGAGTGTTTGAAAACTGCTGTACGAAAGGGAATGTTCAACTCTGTGACTTGAATGCACACATCACAAAGAAGTTTCTGAGGATGCTGCTGTCTACTTTTCATACGTAATCCCGTTTCCAACGAAATCCTCCAAGCTATCCAAATATCTACTTGCAGATTCCACAGAAAGACTGTTTCAAAACTGCTCTGTCAATAGAAAGGTTCAACTCTGTTAGCTGCGTGCATATATCCCAAAGAAGATTCTGAGATTGCTTCTGTCTAGTTTTTATGGGAAGATATTTCCCTTTTCACCGTAGGTCTCAAGGGGCTCCAAATGTCCACTTCCAGATACTACAAAAAGAGTGTTTCAAACCTACTCTGTGAAAGGGAATATTCAACTCTGTGACTTAAAGGCAGATATCACAAAGAAGTTTCTGAGAATGCTTCTGTCGATATTTTATATGAAGATATTCCCGTTTCCAACGAAATCCTGAAATCTATCCAAATATCCCCTCTCAGATTCTACAAAAAGAGTGTATCAAAACTGCTCTGTAAAAAGAAAGGTTCAACTCTGTTAGTTGAGTACACACATCACAAGCAAGTTTCACAGAATGCTTCTTTCTAGCTTGTAGGGGAAGATATTCCCTTTATCACCATGGGCCTCAAACTGTCCGAAACGTCCACTTCCATATACTACAAAAAGAGTGTTTCAAACCTGCTCTATGAAAGGCAATGTTCAACTCTGTGACTTGAATGCAGACATCACAGAGCAGTTTCTGAGAATGCTTCTGTCTAGATTTTATAGGAAGATATTCCCGTTTCCAATGAAATCTTCACAGCTATCCAAATATCCACTTGCAGATTCTACAAAAAGAGTGTATCAAAACTGCTCTGTCAAAAGGAAGGTTCTTCTCTGTTAGGTGAGTGCATACGTCATAAAGGAGTTTCTGAGAATGTTTCTGTCTAGTGGTTATGGGAAGATATTTGCTTTTTCACCGTAGGCCTCACAGCGCTCCAAATATCCACTTGCACAGACTACAAAAAGAGTGCTTCAAAGCTGCTCTCTGAAAGGGAATGTTCAACTCTATGAGTTGAATGCAAACATCACAAAGACGTTTCTGAGAATGCTTCTGTCTAGATTTGATATGAAGATATTCCCGTTTCCAACGAAATCTTCAAATCTATCGAAATGTCCACTTGCAGATTCAACAAAAAGTGTTTTTCCGAACTGCTCTATCAAAAGAAAGATCCGCCTCTGTTAGCTGAGTTCACACATCACAAACAAGTTTATGAGAATGCTTCTGTCTAGTTTTTATTTGAAGATATTTCCTTTCTCACTATAGACCTGAAAGCTCTCCTAAAGTTCACTTCCAGATACTACAGAAAGAGTGTTTCAAAACTGCTGTACGAAAGGGAATGTTCAACTCTGTGACTTGAATGCACACATCACAAGGAAGTTTCTGAGGATGCTGCTGTCTAATTTTTATACGTAATCCCGTTTCCAACGAAATCCTCCAATCTATCCAAATATCCACTTGCAGATTCCACAGAAAGACTGTTTCAAAACTGCTCTGTCAATAGAAAGGTTCAACTCTGTTAGCTGCGTGCATATATCCCAAAGAAGATTCTGAGATTGCTTCTGTCTAGTTTTTATGGGAAGATATTTCCCTTTTCACCGTAGGCGTCAAGGCGCTCCAAATGTCCACTTCCAGATACTACAAAAAGAGTGTTTCAAACCTACTCTGTGAAAGGGAATATTCAACTCTGTGACTTGAATGCACATATCACAAAGGAAGTTTCTGAGAATGCTTCTGTCGAGATTTTATGTGAAGATATTCCCGTTTGCAACGAAATCCTGAAATCTATCCAAATATCCCCTCGCAGATTCTACAAAAAGAGTGTTTCAAAACTGCTCTGTAAAAAGAAAGGTTCAACTCTTTTAGTTGAGTACACACATCACAAACAAGTTTCACAGAATGCTTCTTTCTACCTTGTAGGGGAAGATATTCCCTTTATCACCATGGGCCTCAAACCGTCCGAAATGTCCACTTCCATATACTACAAAAAGAGTGTTTCAAACCTGCTCTATGAAAGGCAATGTTCAACTCTGTGACTTGAATGCAGACATCACAGAGCAGTTTCTGAGAATGCTTCTGTCTAGATTTTATAGGAAGATATTCCCGTTTCCAACGAAATCTTCACAGCTATCCAAATATCCACTTGCAGATTCTACAAAAAGAGTGTACCAAAACTGCTCTGTCAAAAGGAAGGTTCTTTTCTGTTAGGTGAGTGCATACGTCATAAAGGAGTTTCTGAGAATGTTTCTGTCTAGTGGTTATGGGAAGATATTTGCTTTTTCACCGTAGGCCTCAGAGCGCTCCAAATATCCACTTGCACATACTACAAAAAGAGTGCTTCAAATCTGCTCTCTGAAAGGGAATGTTCAACACTATGAGTTGAATGCAAACATCACAAAGACGTTTCTGAGAATGCTTCTGTCTATATTTGATATGAAGATATTCCCGTTTCCAACGAAATCTTCAAATCTATCCAAATGTCCACTTGCAGATTCAACAAAAAGTGTTTTTCAGAACTGCTCTATCAAAAGAAAGATCCACCTCTGTTAGATGAGTTCACACATCACAAACAAGTTTATGAGAATGCTTCTGTCTAGTTTTTATTTGAAGATATTTCCTTTCTCACCATAGACCTGAAAGCTGTCCTAATGTTCACTTACAGATACTACAGAAAGAGTGTTTCAAAACTGCTGTACGAAAGGGAATGTTCAACTCTGTGACTTGAATGCACACATCACAAAGAAGTTTCTGAGGATGCTGCTGTCTTCTTTTTATACGTAATCCCGTTTCCAACGAAATCCTCCAAGCTATCCAAATATCCACTTGCAGATTCCACAGAAAGACTGTTTCAAAACTGCTCTGTCAATAGAAAGGTTCAACTCTGTTAGCTGCGTGCATATATTCCAAAGAAGATTCTGAGATTGCTTCTGTCTAGTTTTTATGGGAAGATATTTCCCTTTTCACCATAGGCGTCAAGGCGCTCCAAATGTCCACTTCCAGGTATACAAAAAGAGTGTTTCAAACCTACTCTGTGAAAGGGAATATTCAACTCTGTGACTTGAATGCAGATATCACAAAGAAGTTTCTGAGAATGCTTCTGTCGAGATTTTGTATGAAGATATTCCCGATTCCAACGAAATCCTGAAATCTATCCAAATTTCCCCTCGCAGATTCTACAAAAAGAGTGTTTCAAAACTGCTCTGTGAAAAGAAAGGTTCAACTCTGTTAGTTGAGTACACACATCACAAACAAGTTTCACAGAATGCTTCTTTCTAGCTTGTAGGGGAAGATATTTCCTTTATCACCATGGTCCTCAAACCGTCCGAAACGTCCACTTCCATATACTAAAAAAAGAGTGTTTCAAACCTGCTCTATGAAAGGCAATGTTCAACTCTGTGACTTGAATGCAGACATCACAGAGCAGTTTCTGGGAATGCTTCTGTCTAGATTTTATAGGAAGATATTCTCGTTTCCAACGAAATCTTCACAGCTATCCAAATATCCACTTGCAGATTCTACAAAAAGAGTGTATCAAAACTGCTCTGTGAAAAGGAAGGTTCTTCTCTGTTAGGTGAGTGCATACTTCATAAAGGAGTTTCTGAGAATGTTTCTGTCTAGTGGTTATGGGAAGATATTTGCTTTTTCACCGTAGGCCTCAGAGCGCTCCAAATATCCACTTGCACATACTACAAAAAGAGTGCCTCACAGCTGCTCTCTGAAACGGAATGTTCAACTCTATGGGTTGAATGCAAACATCGCAAAGACGTTTCTGAGAATGCTTCTGTCTAGATTTGATATGAAGATATTCCCGTTTCCAACGAAATCTTCAAATCTATGCAAATGTCCACTTGCAGATTCAACAAAAAGTGTTTTTCAGAACTGCTCTATCAAAAGAAAGATCCACCTCTGTTAGCTGAGTTCACACCTCACAAACAACTTTATGAGAATGCTTCTGTCTAGTTTTTATTTGAAGATATTTCCTTTCTCACCATAGAGCTGAAAGCTGTCCTAATGTTCACTTCCAGATACTACAGAAAGAGTGTTTCAAAACTGCTGTACGAAAGGGAATGTTGAACTCTGTGACTTGAATGCACACATCACAAAGAAGTTTCTGAGGATGCTGCTGTCTACTTTTTATATGTAATCCCGTTTCCAACGAAATCCTCCAAGCTATCCAAATATCCACTTCCAGATTCCACAGAAAGACTGTTTCAAAACTCCTCTGTCAATAGAAAGGTTCAACTCTGTTAGCTGCGTGCATATATCCCAAAGAAGATTCTGAGATTGCTTCTGTCTAGTTTTTATGGGAAGATATTTCCCTTTTCACCGTAGGCGTCAAGGCGCTCCAAATGTCCACTTCCAGATACTACAAAAAGAGTGTTTCAAACCTACCCTGTGAAAGGGAATATTCAACTCTGTGACTTGAATGCACATATCACAAAGAAGTTTCTGAGAATGCTTCTGTCGAGATTTTGTATGAAGATATTCCCGTTTCCAACGAAATCCTGAAATCTATCCAAATTTCCCCCCGCAGATTCTACAAAAAGAGTGTTTCAAAACTGCTCTGTAAAAAGAAAGGTTCAACTCTGTTAGTTGAGTACACACATCACAAACAAGTTTCACAGAATGCTTCTTTCTAGCTTGTAGGGGAAGATATTCCCTTTATCACCATGGGCCTCAAACCGTCCGATAAGTCCACTTCCATATACTACAAAAAGAGCGTTTCAAACCTGCTCTATGAAAGGCAACGTTCAACTCTGTAACTTGAATGCAGACATCACAGAGCAGTTTCTGAGAATGCTTCTGTCTAGATTTTATAGGAAGATATTCCCGTTTCCAACGAAATCTTCACAGCTATCCAAATATCCACTTGCAGATTCTACAAAAAGAGTTTATCAAAACTGCTCTGTCAAAAGGAAGGTTCTTCTCTGTTAGTTGAGTACATACGTCATAAAGGAGTTTCTGAGAATGTTTCTGTCTAGTGGTTATCGGAAGATATTTGCTTTTTCACCGTAGGCCTCAGAGCGCTCCAAATATCCACTTGCACATACTACAAAAAGAGTGCTTCAAAGCTGGTCTCTGAAACGGAATGTTCAACTCTATGAGTTGAATGCAAACATCACAAAGACGTTTCTGAGAATGCTTCTGTCTAGATTTATGACGATATTCCCGTTTCCAACGAAATCTTCAAATCTATCCAAATGTCTACTTGCAGATTCAACAAAGTGTTTTTCAGAACTGCTCTATCAAAAGAAAGATCCACCTCTGTTAGCTGAGATCACACTTCACAAACAAGTTTATCAGAATGCTTCTGTCTAGTTTTTATTTGAAGATATTTCCTTTCTCACCATAGAGCTGAAAGCTGTCCTAATGTTCACTTCCAGATACTACAGAAAGAGTTTTTCAAAACTGCTGTACGAAAGGGAATGTTCAACTCTGTGACTTGAATGCACACATCACAAAGAAGTTTCTGAGGATGCTGCTGTCTACTTTTTATACTTAATCCCGTTTCCAACGAAATCCTCCAAGCTATCCAAATATCCACTTGCAGATTCCACAGAAAGACTGTTTCAAAACTGCTCTGTCAATGGAAAGGTTCAACTCTGTTAGCTGCGTGCATATATCCCAAAGAAGATTCTGAGATTGCTTCTGTCTAGTTTTTATGGGAAGATATTTCCCTTCTCACCATAGGCGTCAAGGCGCTCCAAAAGTCCACTTCTAGATACTACAAAAAGAGTGTTTCAAACCTACTCTGTGAAAGGGAATATTCAACTCTGTGACTTCAATGCAGATATCACCAAGAAGTTTCTGAGAATGCTTCTGTCGAGATTTTATATGAAGATATTCCCGTTGCCAACGAAATCCTGAAATCTATCCAAATATCCCCTCGCAGATTCTACAAAAAGAGTGTTTCAAAACTGCTCTGTAAAAAGAAAGGTTCAACTCTGTTAGTTGAGTACACACATCACAAACAAGTTTCACAGAATGCTTCTTTCTAGCTTGTAGGGGAAGATATTCCCTTTATCACCATTGGGCCTCAAACCGTCCGAAACGTCTACTTCCATATACTACAAAAAGAGCGTTTCAAACCTGCTCTATGAAAGGCAATGTTCAACTCTGTGACTTGAATGCAGACATCACAGAGCAGTTTCTGAGAATGCTTCTGTCTAGATTTTATAGGAAGATATTCCCGTTTCCAGCGAAATCTTCACAGCTATCCAAATATCCACTTGCAGATTCTACAAAATGAGTTTATCAAAACTGCTCTGTCAAAAGGAAGGTTCTTCTCTGTTAGGTGAGTGCATACGTCATAAAGGAGTTTCTGAGAATGTTTCTGTCTAGTGGTTATGGGAAGATATTTGCTTTTTCACCGTAGGCCTCAGAGCGCTCCAAATGTCCACTTGCACATACTACAAAAAGAGTGCTTCAAACCTGCTCTCTGAAAGGGAATGTTCAACTCTATGAGTTGAATGCAAACATCACAAAGACGTTTCTGAGAATGCTTCTGTCTAGATTTGATATGAAGATATTCCCGTTTCCAACGAAATCTTCAAATCTATCCAAATGTCCACTTGCAGATTCAACAAAAAGTGTTTTTCAGAACTGCTATATCAAAAGAAAGATCCACCTCTGTTAGCTGAGTTCACACATCACAAACAAGTTTATGAGAATGCTTCTGTCTAGTTTTTATTTGAAGATATTTCCTTTCTCACCATAGAGCTGAAAGCTGTCCTAATGTTCACTTCCAGATACTACAGAAAGAGTGTTTCAAAACTGCTGTATGAAAGGGAATGTTCAACTATGTGACTTGAATGCACACATCACAAAGAAGTTTCTGAGGATGCTGCTGTCTACTTTTTATACGTAATCCCGTTTCCAACGAAATCCTCCAAGCTATCCAAATATCCACTTGCAGATTCCACAGATAGACTGTTTCAAAACTGCTCTGTCAATAGAAAGGTTCAACTCTGTTAGCTGCGTGCATATATCCCAAAGAAGATTCTGAGATTGCTTTTGTCTAGTTTTTATGGGAAGATATTTCCCTTTTCACCGTAGGCGTCAAGGCGCTCCAAATGTCCACTTCCAGATACTACAAAAAGAGTGTTTCAAACCTACTCTGTGAAAGGGAATATTCAACTCTGTGACTTGAAGGCAGATATCACAAAGAAGTTTCTGAGAATGCTTCTGTCGAGATTTTATATGAAGATATTCCCGTTTACAACGAAATCCTGAAATCTATCCAAATATCCCCTCGCAGATTCTACAAAAAGAGTGTTTCAAAACTGCTCTGTAAAAAGAAAGGTTCAACTCTGTTAGTTGAGTACACACATCACAAACAAGTTTCACAGAATGCTTCTTTCTAGCTTGTAGGGGAAGATATTCCCTTTATCACCATGGGCCTCAAACCGTCCGAAACGTCCACTTCCATATACTACAAAAAGAGCCTTTCAAACATGCTCTATGAAAGGCAATGTTCAACTCTGTGACTTGAATGCAGACATCACAGAGCAGTTTCTGAGAATCCTTCTGTCTAGATTTTATAGGAAGATATTCCCGTTTCCAACGAAATCTTCACAGCTATCCAAATATCCACTGTCAGATTCCACAAAAAGAGTGTATCAAAAGTGCTCTGTCAAAAGGAAGGTTCTTCTCTGTTAGGTGAGTGCATACGTCATAAAGGAGTTTCTGAGAATGTTTCTG
This sequence comes from Homo sapiens, assembly GCF_000001405.40. Lineage (NCBI taxonomy): Eukaryota > Metazoa > Chordata > Mammalia > Primates > Hominidae > Homo > Homo sapiens. The sequence goes on along the minus strand of NC_000014.9, from coordinate 16,849,247 downwards.
TCTAGTGGTTATGGGAAGATATTTGCTTTTTCACCGTAGGCCTCAGAGCGCTCCAAATATCCACTTGCACATACTACAAAAAGAGTGCTTCAAAGCTGCTCTCTGAAACGGAATGTTCAACTCTATGAGTTGAATGCAAACATCACAAAGACGTTTCTGAGTATGCTTCTGTCTAGATTTGATATGAAGATATTCCCGTTTCCAACGAAATCTTCAAATCTATCCAAATGTCCACTTCCAGATTCAACAAAAAGTGTTTTTCAGAACTGCTCTATCAAAAGAAAGATCCACCTCTGTTAGCTGAGTTCACACATCACAAACATGTTTATGACAATGCTTCTGTCTAGTTTTTATTTGAAGATATTTCCTTTCTCACCATAGAGCTGAAAGCTGTCCTAATGTTCACTTCCAGATACTACAGAAAGAGTGTTTGAAAACTGCTGTACGAAAGGGAATGTTCAACTCTGTGACTTGAATGCACACATCACAAAGAAGGTTCTGAGGATGCTGCTGTCTACTTTTTATACGTAATCCCGTTTCCAACGAAATCCTCCAAGCTATCCAAATATCCACTTGCAGATTCCACAAAAAGACTGTTTCAAAACCGCTCTGTCAATAGAAAGGTTCAACTCTGTTAGCTGCGTGCATACATCCCAAAGAACATTCTGAGGTTGCTTCTGTCTAGTTTTTATGGGAAGATATTTCCCTTTTCACCGTAGGCATCAAGGCGCTCCAAATGTCCACTTCCAGATACTACAAAAAGAGTGTTTCAAACCTACTCTGTGAAAGGGAATATTCAACTCTGTGACTTGAATGCACATATCACAAGGAAGTTTCTGAGAATGCTTCTGTCGAGATTTTATATGAAGGTATTCCCGTTTCCAACGAAATCCTGAAATCTATCCAAATATCCCCTCGCAGATTCTACAAAAAGAGTGTTTCAAAACTGCTCTGTAAAAAGAAAGGTTCAACTCTGTTAGTTGAGTACACACATCACAAACAAGTTTCACAGAATGCTTCTTTCTAGCTTGTAGGGGAAGATATTCCCTTTATCACCATGGGCCTCAAACCGTCCGAAACGTCCACTTCCATATACTACAAAAAGAGCGTTTCAAACCTGCTCTATGAAAGGCAATGTTCAACTCCGTGAGTTGAATGCAGACATCACAGAGCAGTTTCTGAGAATGCTTCTGTCTAGTGGTTATGGGAAGATATTTGCTTTTTCACCGTAGGCCTCAGAGCGCTCAAAATATCCACTTGCACATACTACAAAAAGAGTGCTTCAAAGCTGCTCTCTGAAAGGGAATGTTCAACTCTATGAGTTGAATGCAAACATCACAAAGACGTTTCTGAGAATGCTTCTGTCTAGATTTGATATGAAGATATTCCCGTTTCCAACGAAATCTTCAAATCTATCCAAATGTCCACTTGCAGATTCAACAAAAATTGTTTTTCAGAACTGCTCTATCAAAAGAAAGATCCACGTGTGTTAGCTGAGTTCACACATAACAAACAAGTTTATGAGAATGCTTCTGTCTAGTTTTTATTTGAAGATATTTCCTTTCTCACCATAGACCTGAAAGCTGTCCTAATGTTCACTTCCAGATACTACAGAAAGAGTGTTTCAAAACTGCTGTATGAAAGGGAATGTTCAACTCTGTGACTTGAATGCACACATCAAAAAGAAGTTTCTGAGGATGCTGCTGTCTACTTTTTATACGTAATCCCGTTTCCAACGAAATCCTCCAAGGTATCCAAATATCCACTTGCAGATTCCACAGAAAGACAGTTTCAAAACTGCTCTGTCAATAGAAAGGTTCAACTCTGTTAGCTGCGTGCATATATCCCAAAGAAGATTCTGAGATTGCTTCTGTCTACTTTTCATGAGAAGATATTTCCCTTTTCACCGTAGGCGTCAAGGTGCTCCAAATGTCCACTTCCAGATACTACAAAAAGAGTGTTTCAAACCTACTCTGTGAAAGGGAATATTCAACTCTGTGACTTGAATGCACATATCACAAAGAAGCTTCTGAGAATGCTTCTGTCGAGATTTTATATGAAGATATTCCCGTTTCCAACGAAATCCTGAAATCTATCCAAATATCCCCTCGCAGATTCTACAAAAAGAGTGTTTCAAAACTGCTCTGTAAAAGAAAGGTTCAACTCTGTTAGTTGAGTACACACATCACAAACAAGTTTCACAGAATGCTTCTTTCTAGCTTGTAGAGGAAGAATATTCCCTTTATCACCATGGGCCTCCAACCGTCCGAAACATCCACTTCCATATACTACAAAAAGAGCGTTTCAAACCTGCTCTATGAAAGGCAATGTTCAACTCTGTGACTTGAATGCAGACATCACAGAGCAGTTTCTGAGAATGCTTCTGTCTAGATTTTATAGGAAGATATTCCCGTTTCCAATGAAATCTTCACAGGTATCCAAATATCCACTTGCAGATTCTACAAAAAGAGTGTATCAAAACTGCTCTGTCAAAAGGAAGGTTCTTCTCTGTTAGGTGAGTGCATACGTCATAAAGGAGTTTCTGAGAATGTTTTCTGTCTAGTGGTTATGGGAAGATATTTGCTTTTTCACCGTAGGCCTCAGAGCGCTCCAAATATCCACTTGCACATACTACAAAAAGAGTGCCTCAAAGCTGCTCTCTGAAACGGAATGTTCAACTCTATGAGTTGAATGCAAACATCACAAAGACGTTTCTGAGAATGCTTCTGTCTAGATTGGATATGAAGATATTCCCGTTTCCAACGAAATCTTCAAATCTATCCAAATGTCCACTTGCAGATTCAACAAAAAGTGTTTTTCAGAACTGCTCTATCAAAAGAAAGATCCACCTCTGTTAGCTGAGTTCACACATCACAAACAAGTTTATGAGAATGCTTCTGTCTAGTTTTTATTTGAAGATATTTCCTTTCTCACCATAGAGCTGAAAGCTGTCCTAATGTTCACTTCCAGATACTACAGAAAGAGTGTTTCAAAACTGCTGTACGAAAGGGAATGTTCAACTCTGTGACTTGAATGCACACATCAGAAAGAAGTTTCTGAGGATGCTGCTGTCTACTTTTTCTACGTAATCCCGTTTCCAACGAAATCCTCCAAGCTATCCAAATATCCACTTGCAGATTCCACAGAAAGACTGTTTCAAAACTGTTCTGTCAATAGAAAGGTTCAACTCTGTTAGCTGCGTGCATATATCCCAAAGAAGATTCTGAGATTGCTTCTGTCTAATTTTTATGGGAAGATATTTCCCTTTTCACCGTAGGCGTCAAGGCGCTCCAAATGTCCACTTCCAGATACTACAAAAAGAGTGTTTCAAACCTACTCTGTGAAAGGGAATATTCAACTCTGTGACTTGAATGCACATATCACAAGGAAGTTTCTGAGAATGCTTTCTGTCGAGATTTTATATGAAGATATTCCCATTTCCAACGAAATCCTGAAATCTATCCAAATATCCCCTCGCAGATTCTACAAAAAGAGTGTTTCAAAACTGCTCTGTAAAAAGAAAGGTTCAACTCTGTTAGTTGAGTACACACATCACAAACAAGTTTCACAGAATGCTTCTTTCTAGCTTGTAGGGGAAGATATTCCCTTTATCACCATGGGCCTCAAACCGTCCGAAAAGTCCACTTCAATATACTACAAAAAGAGCGTTTCAAACCTGCTCTATGAAAGGCAATGTTCAACTCTGTGACTTGAATGCAGACATCACAGAGCAGTTTCTGAGAATGCTTCTGTCTAGGTTTTATAGGAAGATATTCCCGTTTCCAACGAAATCTTCACAGCTATCCAAATATCCACTTGCAGACAGTACAAAAAGAGTGTATCAAAAATGCTCCGTCAAAAGGAAAGTTCTTCTCTGTCAGTTGAGTACATACGTCATAAAGGAGTTTCTGAGAATGTTTCTGTCTAGTGGTTATGGGAAGATATTTGCTTTTTCACCGTAGGCCTCAGAGCGCTCCAAATATCCACTTGCACATACTACAAAAAGAGTGCTTCAAACCTGCTCTCTGAAACGGAATGTTCAACTCTATGAGATGAATGCAAACATCACAAAGACGTTTCTGAGAATGCTTCTGTCTAGATTTGATATGAAGATACTCCCGTTTCCAACGAAATCTTCAAATCTATCCAAATGTCCTCTTGCAGATTCAACAAAAAGTGTTTTTCAGAACTGCTCTATCAAAAGAAAGATCCACGTGTGTTAGCTGAGTTCACACATCACGAACAAGTTTATGAGAATGCTTCTGTCTAGTTTTTATTTGAAGATATTTCCTTTCTCACCATAGAGCTGAAAGCTGTCCTAATGTTCACTTCCAGATACTACAGAAAGAGTGTTTCAAAACTGCTGTACGAAAGGGAATGTTCAACTCTGTGACTTCAATGCACACATCACAAAGAAGTTTCGGAGGATGCTGCTGTCTAATTTTTATACGTAATCCCGTTACCAACGAAATCCTCCAAGCTATCCAAATATCCACTTACAGATTCCACAGAAAGACTGTTTCAAAACTGCTCTGTCAATAGAAAGGTTCAACTCTGTTAGCTGCGTGCATATATCCCAAAGAAGATTCTGAGATTGCTTCTGTCTAGTTTTTATGGGAAGATATTTCCCTTTTCACCGTAGGTGTCAAGGCGCTCCAAATGTCCACTTCCAGATACTACAAAAACAGTGTTTCAAACCTACTCTGTGAAAGGGAATATTCAACTCTGTGACTTGAATGCACATATCACAAAGAAGTTTCTGAGAATGCTTCTGTCGAGATTTTATATGAAGATATTCCCGTTTCCAACGAAATCCTGAAATGTATCCAAATATCCCCTCGCAGATTCTACAAAAAGAGTGTTTCAAAACTGCTCTGTAAAAAGAAAGGTTCAACTCTGTTAGTTGAGTACAAACATCACAAACAAGTTTCACAGAATGCTTCTTTCTAGCTTGTAGGGGAAGATATTCCCTTTATCAACATGGGCCTCAAACCTTCCGAAACGTCCACTTCCATATACTACAAAAAGAGGGTTTCAAACCTGCTCTATGAAAGGCAATGTTCAACTCTGTGACTTGAATGCAGACATCACAGAGCAGTTTCTGAGAATGCTTCTGTCTAGATTTTATAGGAAGATATTCCCGTTTCCAACGAAATCTTCACAGCTATCCAAATATCCACTTGCAGATTCTACAAAAAGAGTGTATCAAAACTGCTCTGTCAAAAGGAAGGTTCTTCTCGGTTAGGTGAGTGCATACGTCATAAAGGAGTTTCTCAGAATGTTTCTGTCTAGTGGTTATGGGAAGATATTTGCTTTTTCCCCGTAGGCCTAAGAGCGCTCCAAATATCCACTTGCACATACTACAAAAAGAGTGCTTCAAAGCTGCTCTCTGAAACGGAATGTTCAACTCTATGAGTTGAATGCAAACATCACAAAGACGTTTCTGAGAATGCTTCTGTCTAGATTTGATATGAAGATATTCCCGTTTCCAACGAAATCTTCAAATCTATCCAAATGTCCACTTGCAGATTCAACAAAAAGTGTTTTTCAGAACTGCTCTATCAAAAGAAAGATCCACCCCTGTTAGATGAGTTCACACATCACAAACAAGTTTATGAGAATGCTTCTGTCTAGTTTTTATTTGAAGATATTTCCTTTCTCATCATAGACCTGAAAGCTGTCCTAATGTTCACTTCCAGATACTACAGAAAGAGTGTTTCAAAACTGCTGTACGAAAGGGAATGTTCAACTTTGTGACTTGAATGCACACATCACAAAGAAGTTTCTGAGGATGCTGCTGTCTACTTTTATACGTAATCCCGTTTCCAACGAAATCCTCCAAGCTATCCAAATATCCACTTGCAGATTCCACAGAAAGACTGTTTCAAAACTGCTCTGTCAATAGAAAGGTTCAACTCTGTTAGCTGCGTGCATATATCCCGAAGAAGATTCTGAGATTGCTTCTGTCTAGTTTTTATGGGAAGATATTTCCCTTTTCACCGTGGGCGTCAAGGCGCTCCAAATGTCCACTTCCAGATACTACAAAAAGAGTGTTTCAAACCTCCTCTGTGAAAGGGAATATTCAACTCTGTGACTTGAATGCACATATCACAAGGAAGTTTCTGAGAATGCTTCTGTCGAGATTTTATATGAAGATATTCCCGTTTCCAACGAAATCCTGAAATGTATCCAAATATCCCCTCGCAGATTCTACAAAAAGAGTGTTTCAAAACTGCTCTGTGAAAAGAAAGGTTCAACTCTGTTAGTTGAGTACACACAAACAAGTTTCACAGAATGCTTCTTTCTAGCTTGTAGGGGAAGATATTCCCTTTATCACCATGTGCCTCAAACCGTCCGAAACGTCCACTTCCATATACTACAAAAAGAGCGTTTCAAACCTGCTCTATGAAAGGCAATGTTCAACTCTGTGACTTGAATGCAGACATCACAGAGCAGTTTCTGAGAATGCTTCTGTCCAGACTTTATAGGAAGATATTCCCGTTTCCAACGAAATCTTCACAGATATCCAAATATCCACTTGCAGATAGTACAAAAAGAGTGTATCAAAAATGCTCTGTCAAAAGGAAAGTTCTTCTCTGCTAGTTGAGTACATACGTCATAAAGAAGTTTCTGAGAATGTTTCTGTCTAGTGGTTATGGGAAGATATTTGCTTTTTCCCCGTAGGCCTCAGGGCGCTCCAAATGTCCACTTGCACATGCTACAAAAAGAGTGCTTCAAATCTGCTCTCTCAAAGGGAATGTTCAACTCTATGAGTTGAATGCAAACATCGCAAAGACGTTTCTGAGAATGCTTCTGTCTAGATGTGATATGAAGATATTCCCGTTTCCAACGAAATCTTCAAATCTATCCAAATGTCCACTTGCAGATTCAACAAAAAGTGTTTTTCAGAACTGCTCTATCAAAAGAAAGATCCACCTCTGTTAGCTGAGTTCAGACATCACAAACAAGTTTATGAGAATGCTTCTGTCTAGTTTTTATTTGAAGATATTTCCTTTCTAACCATAGACCTGAAAGCTGTCCTAATGTTCACTCCCAGATACTACAGAAAGAGTGTTTCAAAACTGCTGTACGAAAGGGAATGTTCAACTCTGTGACTTGAATGCACACATCACAAAGAAGATTCTGAGGATGCTGCTGTCTACTTTTTATACTTAATCCCATTTCCAACGAAATCCTCCAAGCTATCCAAATATCCACTTGCAGATTCCACAGAAAGACTGTTTCAAAACTGCTCTGTCAATAGAAAGGTTCAACTCTGTTAGCTGCGTGCATATATCCCAAAGAAGATTCTGAGATTGCTTCTGTCTACTTTTTATGAGAAGATATTTCCCTTTTCACCGTAGGCGTCAAGGCGCTCCAAATGTCCACTTCCAGATACTACAAAAAGAGTGTTTCAAACCTACTCTGTGAAAGGGAATATTGAACTCTGTGACTTGAATGCACATATCACAAAGAAGCTTTCTGAGAATGCTTCTGTCGAGATTTTATATGAAGATATTCCCCTTTCCAACGAAATCCTGAAATCTATCCAAATATCCCCTCGCAGATTCTACAAAAAGAGTGTTTCAAAACTGCTCTATAAAAAGAAAGGTTCAACTCTGTTAGTTGAGTACACACATCACAAACAAGTTTCACAGAATGCTTCTTTCTAGCTTGTAGGGGAAGATATTCCCTTTATCACCATGGGCCTCAAACCGTCCGAAACGTCTACTTCCATATACTACAAAAAGAGCGTTTCAAACCTGCTCTATGAAAAGCAATGTTCAACTCTGTGACTTGAATGCAGACATCAGATAGCAGTTTCTGAGAATGCTTCTGTCTAGATTTTATAGGAAGATATTCCCGTTTCCAACGAAATCTTCACAGCTATCCAAATATCCACTTGCAGATTCTACAAAAAGAGTGTATCAAAACTACTCTGTCAAAAGGAAGGTTCTTCTCTGTTAGTTGAGTACATACGTCATAAAGGAGTTTCTGAGAATGTTTCTGTGTAGTGGTTATGGGAAGATATTTGCTTTTTCACCGTAGGCCTCAGAGCGCTCCAAATATCCACTTGCACATACTACAAAAAGAGTGCCTCACAGCTGCTCTCTGAAACGGAATGTTCAACTCTATGAGTTGAATGCAAACATCGCAAAGACGTTTCTGAGAATGCTTCTGTCTAGATTTGATATGAAGATATTCCCGTTTCCAACGAAATCTTCAAATCTATCCAAATGTCGACTTGCAGATTCAACAAAAAGTGTTTTTCAGAACTGCTCTATCAAAAGAAAGATCCACCTCTGTTAGCTGAGTTCACACATCACAAACAAGTTTATGAGAATGCTTCTGTCTAGTTTTTATTTGAAGATATTTCCTTTCTCACCATAGACCTGAAAGCTGTCCTAATGTTCACTTCCAGATACTACAGAAAGAGTGTTTCAAAACTGCTGTACGAAAGGGAATGTTCAACTCTGTGACTTGAATGCACACATCACAAAGATGTTTCTGAGGATGCTGCTGTCTACTTTTTATACATAATCCCGTTTCCAACGAAATCCTCCAAGCTATCCAAATATCCACTTGCATATTCCACAGAAAGACTGTTTCAAAACTGCTATGTCAATAGAAAAGTTCAACTCTGTTAGCTGTGTGCATATATCCCAAAGAAAATTCTGAGATTGCTTCTGTCTTGTTTTTATGGGAAGATATTTCCCTTTTCACCGTAGGTCTCAAGGGGCTCCAAATGTCCACTTCCAGATACTACAAAAAGAGTGTTTCAAACCTACTCTGTGAAAGGGAATATTCAACTCTGTGACTTAAAGGCAGATATCACAAAGAAGTTTCTGAGAATGCTTCTGTCGAGATTTTATATGAAGATATTCCCGTTCCAACGAAATCCTGAAATCTATCCAAATATCCCCTCGCAGATTCTACAAAAAGAGTGTCTCAAAACTGCTCTGTAAAAAGAAAGGTTCAACTCTGTTAGTTGAGTACACACATCACAAACAAGTTTCACAGAATGCTTCTTTCTAGCTTGTAGCGAAGATATTTCCTTTATCACCATGGGCCTCAAACCGTCCGAAACGTCCACTTCCATATACTACAAAAAGAGCATTTCAAAACTGCTCTATGAAAGGCAATGTTCAACTCTGTGACTTGAATGCAGACATCACAGAGCAGTTTCTGAGAATGCTTCTGTCTAGATTTTATAGGAAGATATTCCCGTTTCCAACGAAATCTTCACAGCTATCCAAATATCCACTTGCAGATTCTACAAAAAGAGTGTATCAAAACTGCTCTGTCAAAAGGAAGGTTCTTCTCTGTTAGTTGAGTACAAACGTCATAAAGGAGTTTCTGAGAATGTTTCTGTCTAGTGGTTATGGGAAGATATTTGCTTTTTCACCTTAGGCCTCAGAGCGCTCCATATATCCCCTTGCACATACTACAAAAAGAGTGCCTCAAAGCTGCTCTCTGAAACGGAATGTTCAACTCTATGAGTTGAATGCCAACATCACAAAGACGTTTCTGAGAATGCTTCTGTCTAGATTTGATATGAAGATATTCCCGTTTCCAACGAAATCTTCAAATCTATCCAAATGTCCACTGCAGATTCAACAAAAAGTGTTTTTCAGAACTGCTCTATCAAAAGAAAGATCCACCTCTGTTAGCTGAGTTCACACATCACAAACAAGTTTATGAGAATGCTTCTGTCTAGTTTTTATTTGAAGATATTTCCTTTCTCACCATAGACCTGAAAGCTGTCCTAATGTTCACTTCCAGATACTACAGAAAGAGCGTTTCAAAACTGCTGTACGAAAGGGAATGTTCAACTCTGTGACTTGAATGCACACATCACAAAGAAGTTTCTGAGGATGCTGCTGTCTACTTTTTATACGTAATCCCGTTTCCAAAGAAATCCTCCAATCTATCCAAATATCCACTTGCAGATTCCACAGAAAGACTGTTTCTAAACTGCTCTGTCAATAGAAAGGTTCAACTCTGTTAGCTGCGTGCATATATCCCAAAGAAGATTCTGAGATTGCTTCTGTCTAGTTTTTAGGGGAAGATATTTCCTTTTTCACAATAGGCGTCAAAGCGATCCAAATGTCCAATTCCAGATACTACAAAAAGAGTGTTTCAAACCTACTCTGTGAAAGGGAGTATTCAAGTCTGTGACTTCAATGCAGATATCACAATGAAGTTTCTGAGAATGCTTCGGTCTTCTGTCGAGATTTTATATGAAGATATTCCCGTTTCCAACGAAATCCTGAAATCTATCCAAATATCCCCTCGCATATTCTACAAAAAGAGTGTTTCAAAACTGCTCTGTAAAAAGAAAGGTTCAACTCTGTTAGTTGAGTACACACATCACAAACAAGTTTCACAGAATGCTTCTTTCTAGCTTGTAGGGGAAGATATTCCCTTTATCACCATGGGCCTCAAACCGTCCGAAACGTCCACTTCCATATACTACAAAAAGAGCGTTTCAAACCTGCTCTAGGAAAGGCAGAGTTCAACTCTGTGACTTGAATGCAGACATCACAGAGCAGTTTCTGAGAATGCTTCTGTCTAGATTTTATAGGAAGATATTCCCGTTTCCAACGAAATCTTCACAGCTATCCAAATATCCACTTGCAGATTCTACAAAAAGTGTGTATCAAAAATGCTCTGTCAAAAGGAAGGTTCTTCTCTGTTAGGTGAGTGCACACGTCATAAAGGAGTTTCTGAGAATGTTTCTGTCTAGTGGTTATGGGAAGATATTTGCTTTTTCACCTTAGGCCTCAGAGCGCTCCAAATACCCCCTTGCACATACTACAAAAAGAGTGCTTCAAAGCTGCTCTCTGAAAGGGAATGTTCAACTCTATGAGTTGAATGCAAACATCACAAAGACGTTTCTGAGAATGCTCTGTCTAGATTTGATATGAAGATATTCCCGTTTCCAACGAAATCTTCATATCTATCCAAATGTCCACTTGCAGATTCAACAAAACGTGTTTTTCAGAACTGCTCTATCAAAAGAAACATCCACCTCTGTTAGCTGAGTTCACACATCACAAACAAGTTCTTGAGAATGCTTTCTGTCTAGTTTTTATTTGAAGATATTTCCTTTCTCACCATAGAGCTGAAAGCTGTCCTAATGTTCACTTCCAGATATTACAGAAAGAGTGTTTCAAAACTGCTGTACGAAAGGGAATGTTCAACTCTGTGACTTGAATGCACACATCACAAAGAAGTTTCTGAGGATGCTGCTGTCTACTTTCTATACGTAATCCCGTTTCCTACGAAATCCTCCAAGCTATCCAAATATCCACTTGCAGATTCCACAGAAAGACTGTTTCAAAACTGCTCTGTCAATAGAAAGGTTCAACTCTATTAGCTGCGTGCATATATCCCAAAGAAGATTCTGAGATTGCTTCTGTCTAGTTTTTATGGGAAGATATTTCCCTTTTCACCGTAGGTGTCAAGGCGCTCCAAATGTCCACTTCCAGATACTACAAAAAGAGTGTTTCAAACCTACTCTGTGAAACGGAATATTCAACTCTGTGACTTGAATGCACATATCACAAAGAAGTTTCTGAGAATGCTTCTGTCGAGATTTTATATGAAGATATTCCCGTTTCCAACGAAATCCTGAAATCTATCCAAATATCCCCTCGCAGATTCTACAAAAAGAGTGTTTCAAAACTGCTCTGTAAAAAGAAAGGTTCAACTCTGTTAGTTGAGTACACGCATCACAAACATGTTTCACAGAATGCTTCTTTCTAGCTTGTAGGGGAAGATATTCCCTTTATCACCATGGTCCTCAAACCGTCCGAAACGTCCACTTCCATATACTACAAAAAGAGCGTTTCAAACCTGCTCTAGGAAAGGCAATGTTCAACTCTGTGACTTGAATGCAGACATCACAGAGCAGTTTCTGAGAATGCTTCTGTCTAGTATTTTATAGGAAGATATTCCCGTTTCCAGCAAAATCTTCACAGCTATCCAAATATCCACTTGCAGATTCTACAAAAAGAGTGTATCAAAACTGCTCTGTCAAATGGAAGGTTCTTCTCTGTTAGGTGAGTGCATACGTCATAAACGAGTTTCTGAGAATGTTTCCATCTAGTGGTTATGGGAAGATATTTGCTTTTTCACCGAAGGCCTCAGAGCGCTCCAAATATCCACTTGCACATACTACAAAAAGAGTGCCTCAAAGCTGCTCTCTGAATCGGAATGTTCAACTCTATGAGTTGAATGCAAACATCACAACGACGTTTCTGAGAATGCTTCTGACTAGATTTGATATGAAGATATTCCCGTTTCCAACGAAATCTTCAAATCTATTCAAATGTCCACTTGCAGATTCAACAAAAAGTGTTTTTCAGAACTGCTCTATCAAAAGAAAGATCCACCTCTGTTAGCTGAGTTCACACATCACAAACAAGTTTATGAGAATGCTTCTGTCTAGTTTTTATTTGAAGATATTTCCTTTCTCACCATAGACCTGAAAGCTGTCCTAATGTTCACTTCCAGTTACTACAGAAAGAGTGTTTCAAAACTGCTGTACGAAAGGGAATGTTCAACTCTGTGACTTGAATGCACAGATCACAAAGAAGTTTCTGAGGATGCTGCTGTCTACTTTTTATACGTAATCCCGTTTCCAACGAAATCCTCCAAGCTATCCAAATATCCACTTGCAGATTCCACAGAAAGACTGTTTCAAAACTGCTCTGTGAATAGAAAGGTTCAACTCTGTTAGCTGCGTGCATATATCCCAAAGAAGATTCTGAGATTGCTTCTGTCTAGTTTTTATGGGAAGATATTTCCCTTTTCACCGTAGGCATCAAGGCGCTCCAAATGTCCACTTCCAGACTACTACAAAAAGGGTTTTTCAAACCTAGTCTGTGAAAGGGAATATTCAACTCTGTGACTTGAATGCACATATCACAAAGAAGTTTCTGAGAATGCTTCTGTCGAGATTTTATATGAAGATATTCCCGTTTCCAACGAAATCCTGAAATCTATCCAAATATCCCCTCGCAGATTCTACAAAAAGAGGGTTTCAAAACTGCTCTGTAAAAAGAAAGGTTCAACTCTGTTAGTTGAGTACACACATCACAAACAAGTTTCACAGAATGCTTCTTTTCTAGCTTGTAGGGGAAGATATTCCCTTTATCACCATGGGCCTCAAACCGTCCGAAACGTCCACTTCCATATACTACAAAAAGAGTGTTTCAAACCTGCTCTATGAACGGCAATGTTCAACTCTGTGACTTGAATGCAGACATCACAGAGCAGTTTCTGAGAATGCTTCTGTCTAGATTTTATAGGAAGATATTCTCGTTTCCAACGAAATCTTCACAGCTATCCAAATATCCACTTGCAGATTCTACAAAAAGAGTGTATCAAAACCGCTCTGTCAAAAGGAAGGTTCTTCTCTGTTAGGTGAGTGCATACGTCATAAAGGAGTTTCTGAGAATGTTTCTGTCTAGTGGTTATGGGAAGATATTTGCTTTTCCACCGTAGGCCTCAGAGCGCTCCAAATATCCACTTGCACATACTACAAAAAGAGTGCTTCAAAGCTGCTCTCTGAAAGAGAATGTTCAACTCTATGAGTTGAATGCAAACATCACAAAGACGTTTCTGAGAATGCTTCTGTCTAGATTTGATATGAAGATATTCCCGTTTCCAACGAAATCTTCAAATCTATCCAAATGTCCACTTGCAGATTCAACAAAAAGTGTTTTTCAGAAGTGCTCTATCAAAAGAAAGATCCACCTCTGTTAGCTGAGTTCACACATCACAAACAAGTTTATGAGAATGCTTCTGTCTAGTTTTTATTTGAAGATATATCCTTTCTCACTATAGACCTGAAAGCTCTCCTAAATTTCACTTCCAGATACTACAGAAAGAGTGTTTCAAAACTGCTGTACGAAAGGGAATGTTCAACTCTGTGACTTGAATGCACACATCACAAGGATGTTTCTGAGGATGCTGCTGTCTACTTTTTATACTTAATCCCGTTTCCAACGAAATCCTCCAAGCTATCCAAATATTCACTTGCAGATTCCACAGAAAGACTGTTTCAAAACTGCTCTGTCAATAGAAAGGTTCAACTCTGTTAGCTGCGTGCATATATCCCAAAGAAGATTCTGAGATTGCTTCTGTCTAGTTTTTATGGGAAGATATTTCCCTTTTCACCGTAGGCATCAAGGCGCTCCAAATGTCCACTTCCAGATACTACAAAAAGAGTGTTTCAAACCTACTCTGTGAAAGCGAATATTCAACTCTGTGACTTGAATGCACATATCACAAAGAAGTTTCTGAGAATGCTTCTGTCGAGGATTTTATATGAAGATATTCCCGTTTCCAACGAAATCCTGAAATGTATCCAAATATCCCCTCGCAGATTCTACAAAAAGAGTGTTTCAAAACTGCTCTGTAAAAAGAAAGGTTCAACTCTGTTAGTTGAGTACACACATCACAAATAAGTTTCACACAATGCTTCTTTCTAGCTTGTAGGGGAAGATATTCCCTTTATCACCATGGGCCTCCAACCGTCGGAAACATCCGGTTCCATATACTACAAAAAGAGCGTTCCAAACCTGCTCTATGAAAGGCAATGTTCAACTCTGTGACTTGAATGCAGACATCACAGAGCAGTTTCTGAGAATGCTTCTGTCTAGATTTTATAGGAAGATATTCCCGTTTCCAACGAAATCTTCACAGCTATCCAAATATCCACTTGCAGATTCTACAAAAAGAGTGTATCAAAACTGCTCTGTGAAAAGGAAGGTTCTTTTCTGTTAGGTGAGTGCATACGTCATAAAGGAGTTTCTGAGAATGTTTCTGTCTAGTGGTTATGGGAGATATTTGCTTTTTCCCCGTAGGCCTCAAAGCGCTCCAATTGTCCACTTGCACATACCACAAAAAGAGTTCTTCAAAGCTGCACTCTGAAAGGGAATGTTCAACTCTATGAGTTGAATGCAAACATCACAAAGCCGTTTCTGAGAATGCTTCTGTCTAGATTTGATATGAAGATATTCCCGTTTCCAACGAAATCTTCAAATCTATCCAAATGTCCACTTGCAGATTCAACAAAAAGTGTTTTTCAGAACTGCTCTATCAAAACAAAGATCCACCTCTGTTAGCTGAGTTCACACATCACAAACAAGTTTATGAGAATGCTTCTGTCTAGTTTTTATTTGAAGATATTTCCTTTCTCACCATAGTCCTGAAAGCTGTCCTAATGTTCACTTCCAGATACTACAGAAAGAGTGTTTCAAAACTGCTGTACGAAAGGGAATGTTCAACTCTGTGACTTGAATGCACACATCACAAAGAAGTTTACTGAGGATGCTGCTGTCTACTTTTTATACGTAATCCCGTTTCCAACGAAATCCTCCAAGCTATCCAAATATCCACTTGCAGTTTCCACAGAAAGACTGTTTCAAAACTGCTCTGTCAATAGAAAGGTTCAACTCTGTTAGCTGCGTACATATATCCCAAAGAAGATTCTGAGATTGCTTCTGTCTACTTTTTATGAGAAGATATTTGCCCTTTTCACCGTAGGCGTCAAGGCGCTCCAAATGTCCACTTCCAGATACTACAAAAAGAGTGTTTCAAACCTACTCTGTGAAAGGGAACATTGAACTCTGTGACTTGAATGCACATATCACAAAGAAGTTTCTGAGAATGCTTCTGTCGAGATTTTATATGAAGATATTCCCGTTTCCAACGAAATCCTGAAATCTATCCAAATATCCCCTCGCAGATTCTACAAAAAGAGTGTTTCAAAACTGCTCTGTAAAAAGAAAGGTTCAAATCTATTAGTTGAGTACACACATCACAAACAAGTTTCACAGAATGCTTCTTTCTAGCTTGTAGGGGAAGATATTTCCTTTATCACCATGGTCCTCAAACCGTCCGAAACGTCCACTTCCATATAGTAAAAAAAGAGTGTTTGAAACCTGCTCTATGAAAGGCAATGTTCAACTCTGTGACTTGAATGCACACATCACAAAGAAGTTTCTGAGGATGCTTCTGTCCAGACTTTATAGGAAGATATTCCGGTTTCCAACGAAATCTTCACAGCTATCCAAATATCCACTTGCAGATACTACAAAAAGAATGTATCAAAAATGCTCTGTCAAAAGGAAAGTTCTTCTCTGCTAGTTGAGTACATACGTCATAAAGAAGTTTCTGAGAATGTTTCTGTCTATTGGTTATGGGAAGATATTTGCTTTTTCCCCGTAGGCCTCAGAGCGCTCCAAATGTCCACTTGCACATGCTACAAAAAGAGTGCTTCAAAGCTGCTCTCTGCAAGGGAATGTTCAACTCTATGAGTTGAATGTAAACATCACAAAGACGTTTCTGAGAATGCTTCTGTCTAGATTTGATATGAAGATATTCCCGTTTCCAACGAAATCTTCAAATCTATCCAAATGTCCACTTGCAGATTCAACAAAAAGTGTTTTTCAGAACCGCTCTATCAAAAGAAAGATCCATCTCTGTTAGCTGAGTTCACACATCACAAACAAGTTTATGAGAATGCTTCTGTCTAGTTTTTATTTGAAGATATTTCCTTTCTCACCATAGAGCTGAAATCTGTCCTAATGTTCACTTCCAGATACTACAGAAAGAGTGTTTCAAAACTGCTGTACGAAAGGGAATGTTCAACTCTGTGACTTGAATGCACACATCACAAAGTAGTTTCTGAGGATGCTGCTGTCTACTTTTTATACGTAATCCCGTTTCCAACGAAATCCTCCAAGCTATCCAAATATCCACTTGCAGATTCCACAGAAAGACTGTTTCAAAACGGCTCTGTCAATAGAAAGGTTCAACTCTGTTAGCTGCGTGCATATATCCCAAAGAAGATTCTGAGATTGCTTCTGTCTACTTTTTATGAGAAGATATTTCCCTTTTCACCGTAGGCGTCAAGGCGCTCAAAATGTCCACTTCCAGATACTACAAAAAGAGTGTTTCAAACCTACTCTGTGAAAGGGAATATTCAACTCTGTGACTTGAATGCAGATATCACAAAGAAGTTTCTGAGAATGCTTCTGTCGAGATTTTATATGAAGATACTCCCGTTTCCAACGAAATCCTGAAATCTATCCAAATATCCCCTCGCAGATTCTACAAAAAGAGTGTTTCAAAACTACTCTGTAAAAGGAAAGGTTCAACTCTGTTAGTTGAGTACACACATCACAAACAAGTTTCACAGAATGCTTCTTTCTAGCTTGTAGGGGAAGATATTCCCTTTATCACCATGGGCCTCAAACAGTCCGAAACGTCCACTTCCATATACTACAAAAAGAGCGTTTCAAACCTGCTCTAGGAAAGGCAATGTTCAACTCCGTGACTTGAATGCAGACATCCCAGAGCAGTTTCAGAGAATGCTTCTGTCTAGATTTTATAGGAAGATATTCCCGTTTCCAACGAAATCTTCACACCTATCCAAATATCCACTTGCAGATTCTACAAAAAGAGTGTATCAAAACTGCTCTGTCAAAAGGAAGGTTCTTCTCTGTTAGGTGAGTGCATACGTCATAAAGGAGTTTCTGAGAATGTTTCTGTCTAGTGGTTATGGGAAGATATTTGCTTTTTCCCCGTAGGCCTCAGGGCGCTCCAAATGTCCACTTGCACATGCTACAAAATGAGTGCTTCAAAGCTACTCTCTGGAAGGGAATGTTCAACTCTATGAGTTGAATGCAAACATCACAAAGACGTTTCTGAGAATGCTTCCGTCTAGATTTGATATGAAGATATTCCCGTTTCCAACGACATCTTCAAATCTATCCAAATGTCCACTTGCAGATTCAACAAAAAGTGTTTTTCAGAACTGCTCTATCAAAAGAAAGATCCACCTCGGTTAGCTGAGTTCACACATCACAAACAAGTTTATGAGAATGCTTCTGTCTAGTTTTTATTTGAAGATATTTCCTTTCTCAATATAGACCTGAAAGCTGTCCTAATATTCACTTTCAGATACTACAGAAAGAGTGTTTCAAAACTGCTGTACGAAAGGGAATGTTCAACTCTGTGACTTGAATGCACACATCACAAAGAAGTTTCTGAGGATGCTGCTGTCTACTTTTTATACGTAATCCCGTTTCCAACGAAATCCTCTAAGCTATCCAAATATCCACTTGCAGATTCCACAGAAAGACTGTTTCAAAACTGCTCTGTCAATAGAAAGGTTCAACTCTGTTAGCTGCATGCATATATCCCAAAGAAGATTCTGAGATTGCTTCTGTCTAGTTTTTATGGAAGATATTTCCCTTTTCACCGTAGGCGTCAAGGCGCTCCAAATGTCCACTTCCAGATACTACAAAAAGAGTGTTTCAAACCTACTCTGTGAAAGGGAATATTCAACTCTGTGACTTGAATGCACATATCACAAAGAAGTTTCTGAGAATGCTTCTGTCGAGATTTTGTATGAAGATATTCCCGTTTCCAACGAAATCCTGAAATCTATCCAAATTTCCGCTCGCAGATTCTACAAAAAGAGTGTTTCAAAACTGCTCTGTGAAAAGAAAGGTTCAACTCTGTTAGTTGAGTACACACATCACAAACAAGTTTCACAGAATGCTTCTTTCTAGCTTGTAGGGGAAGATATTCCCTTTATCATCATGGGCCTCAAACCGTACGAAACGTCCACTTCCATATACTACAAAAAGAGCGTTTCAAACCTGCTCTATGAAAGGCAATGTTCAACTCTGTGACTTGAATGCAGACATCACAGAGCAGTTTCTGAGAATGCTTCTGTATAGATTTTATAGGAAGATATTCCCGTTTCCAAAGAAATCTTCACAGCTATCCAAATATCCACTTGCAGATTCTACAAAAAGAGTGTATCAAAACTGCTCTGTCAAAAGGAAGGTTCTTCTCTGTTAGCTGAGTGCATACGTCATAAAGGAGTTTCTGAGAATGTTTCTGTCTAGTGGTTATGGGAAGATATTTGCTTTTTCACCTTAGGCCTCAGAGTGCTCCAAATATCCCCTTGCACATACTACAAAAAGAGTGCTTCAAAGCTGCTCTCTGAAACGGAATGTTCAACTCTATGAGTTGAATGCAAACATCACAAAGACGTTTCTGGGAATGCTTCTGTCTAGATTTGATATGAAGATATTCCCGTTTCCAACGAAATCTTCAAATCTATCCTAATGTCCACTTGCAGATTCAACAAAAAGTGTTTTTCAGAACTGCTGTATCAAAAGAAAGATCCACCTGCTGTTAGCTGAGTTCACACATCACAAACAAGTTTATGAGAATGCTTTCTGTCTAGTTTTTATTTGAAGATATTTCCTTTCTCACCATAGACCCGAAAGCTGTCCTAATGTTCACTTCCAGATACTACAGAAAGAGTGTTTCAAAACTGCTGTACGAAAGGGAATGTTCAACTCTGTGACTTGAATGCACACATCACAAAGAAGTTTCTGAGGATGCTGCTGTCTACTTTTTATACGTAATCCCGTTTCCAACGAAATCCTCCAAGCTATCCAAATATCCACTTGCAGATTCCACAGAAAGACTGTTTCAAAACTGCTCCGTCAATAGAAAGGTTCAACTCTGTTAGCTGCGTGCATATATCCCAAAGAAGATTCTGAGATTGCTTCTGTCTAGTTTTTATGGGAAGATATTTCCCTTTTCACCGTAGGTGTCAAGGCGCTCCAAATGTCCACTTCCAGATACTACAAAAAGAGTGTTTCAAACCTACTCTCTGAAAGGGAATATTCAACTCTGTGACTTGAATGCACATATCACAAAGAAGTTTCTGAGAATGCTTCTGTCGAGATTTTATATGAAGATATTCCCGTTCCAACGAAATCCTGAAATCCATCCAAATATCCCCTCGCAGATTCTACAAAAAGAGTGTTTCAAAACTGCTCTGTAAAAAGAAAGGTTCAACTCTGTTAGTTGAGTACACACATCACAAACAAGTTTCACAGAATGCTTCTTTCTAGCTTGTAGGGGAAGATATTCCCTTTATCACCATGGGCCTCAAACCGTCCGAAACGTCCACTTCCATATACTACAAAAAGAACGCTTCAAACCTGCTCTATGAAAGACAATGTTCAACTCTGTGACTTGAATGCAGACATCACAGAGCAGTTTCTGAGAATGCTTCTGTCTAGATTTTATAGGAAGATATTCCCGTTTCCAACGAAATCTTCACAGCTATCCAAATATCCTCTTGCAGATTCTACAAAAAGAGTGTATCAAAACTGCTCTGTCAAAAGGAAGGTTCTTTTCTGTTAGGTGAGTGCATACGTCATAAAGGAGTTTCTGATAATGTTTTCTGTCTAGTGGTTATGGGAAGATATTTGCTTTTTCACCGTAGGCCTCAGAGCGCTCCAAATATCCCCTTGCACATACTACAAAAAGAGTGCTTCAAAGCTGCTCTCTGAAAGGGAATGTTCAACTCTGTGAGTTGAATGCAAACATCACAAAGACTTTTCTGAGAATGCTTCTGTCTAGATTTGATATGAAGATATTCCCGTTTCCAACGAAATCTTCAAATCTATCCAAATGTCCACTTGCAGATTCAACAAAAAGTGTTTTTCAGAACTGCTCTATCAAAAGAAAGATCCACCTCTGTTAGCTGAGTTCACACATCACAAAGAAGTTTATGAGAATGCTTCTGTCTAGTTTTTATTTGAAGATATTTCCTTTCTCACCATAGAGCTGAAAGCTGTCCTAATGTTCACTTCCAGATACTACAGAAAGAGTGTTTGAAAACTGCTGTACGAAAGGGAATGTTCAACTCTGTGACTTGAATGCACACATCACAAAGAAGTTTCGGAGGATGCTGCTGTCTACTTTTTATGCGTAATCCCGTTTCCAACGAAATCCTCCAAGCTATCCAAATATCCACTTGCAGATTCCACAGAAAGACTGTTTCAAAACTGCTCTGTCAATAGAAAGGTTCAAATCTGTTAGCTGCGTGCATATATCCCAAAGAAGATTCTGAGATTGCTTCTGTCTACTTTTTATGAGAAGATATTTCCCTTTTCACCGTAGGCGTCAAGGCGCTCTAAATGTCCACTTCCAGATACTACAAAAAGATTGTTTCAAACCTACTCTGTGAAAGGGAATATTCAACTCTGTGACTTGAATGCACATATCACAAAGAAGCTTCTGAGAATGCTTCTGTCGAGATTTTATATGAAGATATTCTCGTTTCCAATGAAATCCTGAAATCTATCCAAATATCCCCTCGCAGATTCTACAAAAAGAGTGTTTCAAAACTGCTCTGTAAAAAGAAAGGTTCAACTCTGTTAGTTGAGTACACACATCACAAACAAGTTTCACAGAATGCTTCTTTCTAGCTTGTAGGGGAAGATATTCCCTTTATCACCATGGGCCTCAAACCGTCCGAAACTTCCACTTCCATATACTACAAAAAGAGCGTTTCAAACCTGCTCTATGAAAGGCAATGTTCAACTCTGTGACTTGAATGCAGACATCACAGAGCAGTTTCTGAGAATGCTTCTGTCTAGATTTTATAGGAAGATATTCCCGTTTCCAACGAAAGCTTCACAGCTATCCCAATATCCACTTGCAGATTCTACAAAAAGAGTATCTCAAAACTGCTCTGTCAAAAGGAAGGTTCTTCTCTGTTAGGTGAGTGCATACGTCATAAAGGAGTTTCTGAGAATGTTTCTGTCTAGTGGTTATGGGAAGATATTTGCTTTTTCACCGAAGGCCTCAGAGCGCTCCAAATATCCACTTGCACATACTACAAAAAGAGTGCCTCAAAGCTGCTCTCTGAAACGGAATGTTCAACTCTATGAGTTGAATGCAAACATCACAAAGACGTTTCCGAGAATGCTCTGTCTAGATTTGATATGAAGATATTCCCGTTTCCAACGAAATCTTCAAATCTATCCAAATGTCCACTTGCAGATTCAACAAAAAGTGTTTTTCAGAACTGCTCTATCAAAAGAAAGATCCACCTCTGTTAGCTGAGTTCAGACATCACAAACAAGTTTATGAGAATGCTTTCTGTCTAGTTTTTATTTGAAGATATATCCTTTCTCACTATAGACCTGAAAGCTGTCCTAAAGTTCACTTCCAGATACTACAGAAAGAGTGTTTCAAAACTGCTGTACGAAAGGGAATGTTCAACTCTGTGACTTGAATGCACACATCACAAGGGATGTTTCTGAGGATGCTGCTGTCTACTTTTTATACGTAATCCCGTTTCCAAAGAAATCCTCCAAGCTATCCAAATATCCACTTGCAGATACCACAGAAAGACTGTTTCAAAACTGCTCTGTCAATAGAAAGGTTCAACACTGTTAGCTGCGTCCATATATCTCAAAGAGGATTCTGAGATTGCTTCTGTCTAGTTTTTATGGGAAGATATTTCCATTTTCACCGTAGGTGTCAAGGCGCTCCAAATGTCCACTTCCAGATACTACAAAAAGAGTGTTTCAAACCTACTCTGTGAAAGGGAATATTCAACTCTGTGACTTGAATGCACATATCACAAAGAAGTTTCTGAGAATGCTTCTGTCGAGATTTTGTATGAAGATATTCCCGATTCCAACGAAATCCTGAAATCTATCCAAATTTCCCCTCGCAGATTCTACAAAAAGAGTGTTTCAAAACTGCTCTGTGAAAAGAAAGGTTCAACTCTGTTAGTTGAGTACACACATCATAAACAAGTTTCACAGAATGCTTCTTTCTAGCTTGTAGGGGAAGATATTTCCTTTATCACCATGGTCCTCAAACCGTCCGAAACGTCCACTTCCATATACTAAAAAAAGAGTGTTTGAAACCTGCTCTATGAAAGGCAACGTTCAACTCTGTGACTTGAATGCAGACATCACAGAGCAGTTTCAGAGAATGCTTCTGTATAGATTTTATAGGAAGATATTCCCGTTTCCAACGAAATCTTCACAGCTATCCAAATATCCACTTGCAGATTCTACAAAAAGAGTGTATCAAAAGTGCTCTGTCAAAAGGAAGGTTCTTCTCTGTTAGGTGAGTGCATACGTCATGAAGGAGTTTCTGAGAATGTTTCTGTCTAGTGGTTATGGGAAGATATTTGCTTTTTCACCATAGGCCTCAGAGCGCTCCAAATATCCACTTGCACATACTACAAAAAGAGTGCTTCAAAGCTGCTCTCTGAAAGGGAATGTTCAACTCTATGAGTTGAATGCTAACATCACAAAGACGTTTCTGAGAATGCTTCTGTCTAGATTTGATATGAAGATATTCCCGTTTCCAACGAAATCTTCAAATCTATCCAAATGTCCACTTGCAGATTCAACAAAAAGTGTTTTTCAGAACTGCTCTATCAAAAGAAAGATCCACCTCTGTTAGCCTGAGTTCACACATCACAAACAAGTTTATGAGAATGCTTCTGTCTAGTTTTTATTTGAAGATATTTCCTTTCTCACCATAGAGCTGAAAGCTGTCCTAATGTTCACTTCCAGATACTACAGAAAGAGTGTTTCAAAACTGCTGTACGAAAGGGAATGTTCAACTCTGTGACTTGAATGCACACATCACAAAGAAGTTTCTGAGGATGCTGGCTGTCTACTATTTATACGTAATCCCGTTTCCAACGAAATCCTCCAAGCTATCCAAATATCCACTTGCAGATTCCACAGAAAGACTGTTTCAAAACTGCTCTGTCAATAGAAAGGTTCAACTCTGTTAGCTGCGTGCATATATCCCAAAGCTGATTCTGAGATTCCTTCTGTCTAGTTTTTATGGGAAGATATTTCCCTTTTCACCGTAGGCGTCAAGGCGCTCCAAATGTCCACTTCCAGATACTACAAAAAGAGTGTTTCAAACCTACTCTGTGAAAGGGAATATTCAACTCTGTGACTTGAAGGCAGATATCACAAAGAAGTTTCTCAGAATGCTTCTGTCGAGATTTTATATGAAGATACTCCCGTTTCCAACGAAATCCTGAAATCTATCCAAATATCCCCTCGCAGATTCTACAAAAAGAGTGTTTCAAAACTGCTCTGTAAAAAGAAAGGTTCAACTCTGTTAGTTGAGTACACACATCACAAACAAGTTTCACAGAATGCTTCTTTCTAGCTTGTAGGGGAAGATATTCCCTTTATCACCATGGGCCTCAAACCGTCCGAAACGTCCACTTCCATATACTAAAAAAAGAGTGTTTCAAACCTGCTCTATGAAAGGCAATGTTCAACTCTGTGACTTGAATGCAGACATCACAGAGCAGTTTCTGAGAATGCTTCTGTCCAGAATTTATAGGAAGATATTCCCGTTTCCAACGAAATCTTCACAGCTATCCAAATATCCACTTGCAGATAGTACAAAAAGAGTGTATCAAAAATGCTCTGTCAAAAGGAAAGTTCTTCTCTGCTAGTTGAGTACATACGTCATAAAGGAGTTTCTGAGAATGTTTCTGTCTAGTGGTTATGGGAAGATATTTGCTTTTTCACCGTAGGCCTCAGAGCGCTCAAAATATCCACTTGCACATACTACAAAAAGAGTGCTTCAAAGCTGCTCTCTGAAAGGGAATGTTCAACTCTATGAGTTGAATGCAAACATCACAAAGACGTCTCTGAGAATGCTTCTGTCTAGATTTGATATGAAGATATTCCCGTTTCCAACGAAATCTTCAAATCTATCCAAATGTCCACTTGCAGATTAAACAAAAAGTGTTTTTCAGAACTGCTCTATCAAAAGAAAGATCCACGTGTGTTAGCTGAGTTCACACATTACAAACAAGTTTATGAGAATGCTTCTGTCTAGTTTTTATTTGAAGATATTTCCTTTCTCACCATAGACCTGAAAGCTGTCCTAATGTTCACTCCCAGATACTACAGAAAGAGTGTTTCAAAAATGCTGTACGAAACAACTCTGTTACTTGAATGCACATATCACAAAGAAGTTTCTGAGGATGCTGCTGTCTACTTTTTATACGTAATCCCGTTTCCAACGAAATCCTCCAAGCTATCAAAATATCCACTTGCAGATTCCACAGAAAGACTGTTTCAAAACTGCTCTGTCAATAGAAAGGTTCAACTCTGTTAGCTGCGTGCATATATCCCAAAGAAGATTCTGAGATTGCTTCTGTCTAGTTTTTATGGGAAGATATTTCCCTTTTCACCGTAGGCGTCAAGGTGCTCCAAATGTCCACTTCCAGATACTACAAAAGGAGTGTTTCAAACCTACTCTGTGAAAGGGAATATTCAACTCTGTGACTTGAATGCAGATATCACAAAGAAGTTTCTGAGAATGTTTCTGTCGAGATTTTATATGAAGATATTCCCGTTTCCAACGAAATCCTGAAATCTATCCAAATATCCCCTCGCAGATTCTACAAAAAGAGTGTTTCAAAACTGTTCTGTAAAAAGAAAGGTTTAACTCTGTTAGTTGAGTACACACATCACAAACAAGTTTCACAGAATGCTTCTTTCTAGCTTGTAGGGGAAGATATTCCCTTTATCACCATGGTCCTCAAACCGTCCGAAACGTCCACTTTCATATACTACAAAAAGAGTGTTTCAAACCTGCTCTAGGAAAGGCAATGTTCAACTCTGTGACTTGAATGCAGACATCACAGAGCAGTTTCTGAGAATGCTTCCTGTCTAGATTTTATAGGAAGATATTCCCGTTTCCAACGAAATCTTCACAGCTATCCAAATATCCACTTGCAGATTCTACAAAAAGAGTGTATCAAAACTGCTCTGTCAAAAGGAAGGTTCTTTTCTGTTAGGTGAGTGCATACGTCATAAAGGAGTTTCTGAGAATGTTTCTGTCTAGTGGTTATGGGAAGATATTTGCTTTTTCACCGTAGGCCTCACAGCGCTCCAAATATCCCCTTGCACATACTACAAAAAGAGTGCCTCAAAGCTGCTCTCTGAAACGGAATGTTCAACTCTATGAGTTGAATGCAAACATCACAAAGACGTTTCTGAGAATGCTTCTGTCTAGATTTTACATGAAGATATTCCCGTTTCCAACGAAATCTTCAAATCTATCCAAATGTCCACTTGCAGATTCAACAAAACGTGTTTTTAAGAACTGCTCTATCAAAAGAAAGATCCAACTCTGTTAGCTGAGTTCACACATCACAAACAAGTTTATGAGAATGC
Organism: Homo sapiens; assembly: GCF_000001405.40. Taxonomy (NCBI): domain Eukaryota; kingdom Metazoa; phylum Chordata; class Mammalia; order Primates; family Hominidae; genus Homo; species Homo sapiens. The sequence goes on along the minus strand of NC_000014.9, from coordinate 16,823,163 downwards.
TTCTGTCTAGTTTTTATTTGAAGATGTTTCCTTTCTCACCATAGACCTGAAAGCTGTCCTAATGTTCACTTCCAGATACTACAGAAAGAGTGTTTCAAAACTGCTGTACGAAAGGGAATGTTCAACTCTGTGACTTGAATGCACACATCACAAAGAAGTTTCTGAGGATGCTGCTGTCTACTTTTTATACGTAATCCCGTTTCCAAAGAAATCCTCCAAGCTATCCAGATATCCACTTGCAGATTCCACAGAAAGACTGTTTCAAAACTGCTCTGTCAATAGAAAGGTTCAACTCTGTTAGCTGCGTGCATATATCCCAAAGAAGATTCTGAGATTGCTTCTGTCTACTTTTTATGAGAAGATATTTCCCTTTTCACCGTAGGCGTCAAGGCGCTCCAAATGTTCACTTCCAGATACTACAAAAAGAGTGTTTCAAACCTACTCTGTAAAAGGGAATATTCAACTCTGTGACTTGAATGCACATATCACAAAGAAGTTTCTGAGAATGCTTCTGTCGAGATTTTATATGAAGATATTCCCGTTTCCAACGAAATCTTGAAATCTATCCAAATATCCCCTCGCAGATTCTACAAAAAGAGTGTTTCAAAACTGCTCTGTAAAAAGAAAGGTTCAACTCTGTTAGTTGAGTACACACATCACAAACAAGTTTCACAGAATGCTTCTTTCTAGCTTGTAGGGGAAGATATACCCTTTATCACCATGGTCCTCAAACCGTTCGAAACGTCCTCTTCCATATAGTACAAAAAGAGCGTTTCAAACCTGCTCTATGAAAGGCAATGTTCAACTCTGTGACTTGAATGCAGACATCACAGAGCAGTTTCTGAGAATGCTTCTGTCTAGATTTTATAGGAAGATATTCCCGTTTCCAACGAAATCTTCACAGCTATCCAAATATCCACTTGCAGATTCTACAAAAAGAGTGTATCAAAACTGCTCTGTCAAAAGGAAGGTTCTTCTCTGTTAGGTGAGTGCACACGTCATAAAGGAGTTTCTGAGAATGTTTCTGTCTAGTGGTTATGGGAAGATATTTGCTTTTTCACCGTAGGCCTCAAAGCGCTCCAAATCTCCACTTGCACATACTACAAAAAGAGTGCTTCAAAGCTGCTCTCTGAAAGGGAATGTTCAACTCTATGAGTTGAATGCAAATATCACAAAGACGTTTCTGAGAATGCTTCTGTCTAGATTTGATATGAAGATATTCCCGTTTCCAACGAAATCTTCAAATCTATCCAAATGTCCACTTGCAGATTCAACAAAAAGTGTTTTTCAGAACTGGTCTACCAAAAGAAAGATCCACCTCTGTTAGCTGAGTTCACACATCACAAACAAGTTTATGAGAATGCTTTTGTCTAGTTTTTATTTGAAGATATTTCCTTTCTCACCATAGACCTGAAAGCTGTCCTAATGTTCACTTCCAGATACTACAGAAAGAGTGTTTCAAAACTGCTGTACGAAAGGGAATGTTCAACTCTGTGACTTGAATGCACACATCACAAAGAAGTTTCTGAGGATGCTGCTGTCTACTTTTTATAAGTAATCCCGTTTCCAACGAAATCCTCCAAGCTATCCAAATATCCACTTGACAGATTCCACAGAAAGACTGTTTCAAAACTGCTCTGTCAATAGAAAGGTTCAACTCTGTTAGCTGCGTGCATATATCCCAAAGAAGATTCTGAGATTGCTTCTGTCTAGTTTTTATGGGAAGATATTTCCCTTTTCACCGTAGGTGTCAAGGCGCTCCAAATGTCCACTTCCAGATACTACAAAAAGAGTGTTTCAAACCTACTCTGTGAAAGGGAATATTCAACTCTGTGACTTGAATGCAGATATCACAAAAGAAGTTTCTGAGAATGCTTCTGTCGAGATTTTATATGAAGATATTCCCGTTTCCAACGGAATCCTGAAATCTATCCAAATATCCCCTCGCAGATTCTACAAAAAGAGTGTTTCAAAACTGCTCTGTAAAAAGAAAGGTTCAACTCTGTTAGTTGAGTACACACATCACAAACAAGTTTCACAGAATGCTTCTTTCTAGCTTGTAGGGGAAGATATTTCCTTTATCACCATGGGCCTCAAACCGTCCGAAACGTCCACTTCCATATACTAAAAAAAGAGTGCTTGAAACCTGCTCTATGAAAGGCAATGTTCAACTCTGTGACTTGAATGCAAACATCAAAGAGCAGTTTCTGAGCAATGCTTCTGTCGAGATTTTATATGAAGATATTCCCGTTTCCAACGAAATCCTGAAATCTATCCAAATATCCCCTCGCAGATTCTACAAAAAGAGTGTATCAAAACTGCTCTGTCAAAAGGAAGGTTCTTCTCTGTTAGGTGAGTGCATACGTCATAAAGGAGTTTCTGAGAATGTTTCCATCTAGTGGTTATGGGAAGATATTTGCTTTTTCACCGAAGGCCTCAGAGCGCTCCAAATATCCACTTGCACATACTACAAAAAGAGTGCCTCAAAGCTGCACTCTGAAACGGAATGTTCAACTCTATGAGTTGAATGCAAACATCGCAAAGACGTTTCTGAGAATGCTTCTGTCTAGATTTGATATGAAGATATTCCCGTTTCCAACGAAATCTTCAAATCTATCCAAATGTCCACTTGCAGATTCAACAAAAAGTGTTTTTCAGAACTGCTCTATCAAAGGAAAGATCCACCTCTGTTAGCTGAGTTCACACTTCACAAACAAGTTTATCAGAATGCTTCTGTCTAGTTTTTATTTGAAGATATATCCTTTCTCACTATAGACCTGAAAGCTGTCCTAATGTTCACTTCCAGATACTACAGAAAGAGTGTTTCAAAACTGCTGTACGAAAGGGAATGTTCAACTCTGTGACTTGAATGCACACATCACAAGGATGTTTCTGAGGATGCTGCTGTCTACTTTTTACACGTAGTCCCGTTTCCAAAGAAATCCTCCAAGCTATCCAAATATCCACTTGCAGATTCCACAGAAAGACTGTTTCAAAACTGCTCTGTCAATAGAAAGGTTCAACTCTGTTAGCTGCGTGCATATATCCCAAAGAAGATTCTGAGATTGCTTCTGTCAAGTTTTTATGGGAAGATATTTCCCTTTTCACCGTAGGCGTCAAGGCGCTCCAAATGTCCACTTCCAGATACTACAAAAAGAGTGTTTCAAACCTACTCTGTGAAAGGGAATATTCAACTCTGTGACTTGAATGCAGATATCACAAAGAAGTTTCTGAGAATGCTTCGGTCTAGATTTTATATTAAGACATCCCCGTTTCCGACGAAATCTTTAAATCTATCCAAATATCCACTTGCAGGTTCTACAAAAAGAGTTTTTCAAAACTGTTCTGTAAAAGAAAGGTTCAACTCCATTAGTTGAGTACACACATCACAAAGAAGTTCCTGAGAATGCTTCTTTCTAGCTTGTAGGGGAAGATATTCCCTTTATCACCATGGGCCTCAAACTGTCCGAAACGTCCACTTCCATATACTACAAAAAGAGCGTTTCAAACCTGCTCTATGAAAGGCAATGTTCAGCTCTGTGACTTGAATGCAGACATCACAGAGCAGTTTCTGAGAATGCTTCTGTCTAGATTTTATAGGAATATATTCCCGTTTCCAACGAAATCTTCACAGCTATCCAAATATCCACTTGCAGATTCCACAAAAAGAGTGTATCAAAACTGCTCTGTCAAAAGGAAGGTTCTTTTCTGTTAGGTGAGTGCATACGTCATAAAGGAGTTTCTGAGAATGTTCCTGTCTAGTGGTTATGAGAAGATATTTGCTTTTTCCCCGTAGGCCTCAAAGCGCTCCAATTGTCCACTTGCACATACTACAAAAAGAGTGCTTCAAAGCTGCTCTCTGAAAGGGAATGTTCAACTGTATGAGTTGAATGCAAACATCACAAAGACGTTTCTGAGAATGCTTCTGTCTAGATTTGATATGAAGATATTCCCGTTTCCAACGAAATCTTCAAATCTATCGAAATGTCCACTTGCAGATTCAACAAAAAGTGTTTTTCAGAACTGCTCTATCAAAAGAAAGATCCACCTCTCTTAGCTGAGTTGACACATCACAAACAAGTTTATGAGAATGCTTCTGTCTAGTTTTTATTTGAAGATATTTCCTTTCTCACCATAGACCTGAAAGCTGTCCTAATGTTCACGTCCAGATACTACAGAAAGAGTGTTTCAAAACTGCTGTACGAAAGGGAATGTTCAACTCTGTGACTTGAATGCACACATCACAAAGAAGTTTCTGAGGATGCTGCTGTCTACTTTTTATACGTAATCCCGTTTCCAACGAAATCCTCCAAGCTATCCAAATATCCACTTGCAGATTCCACAGAAAGACTGTTTCAAAACTGCTCTGTCAATAGAAAGGTTCAACTCTTTTAGCTGCGTGAATATATCCCAAAGAAGATTCTGAGATTGCTTCTGTCTAGTTTTTATGGGAAGATATTTCCCTTTTCACCGTAGGCGTCAAGGCGCTCCAAATGTCCACTTCCAGATACTACAACAAGAGTGTTTCAAACCTACTCTGTGAAAGGGAATATTCAACTCTGTGACTTGAATGCACATATCACAAAGAAGTTTCTGAGAATGCTTCTGTCGAGATTTTATATGAAGATATTCCCGTTTCCAACGAAATCCTGAAATCTATCCAAATATCCCCTCGCAGATTCTACAGAAAGAGAGTTTCAAAACTGCTCTGTAAAAAGAAAGGTTCTACTCTGTTACTTGAGTACACACATCACAAACAAGTTTCACAGAATGCTTCTTTCTAGCTTGTAGGGGAAGATATTCCCTTTATCACCATGGGCCTCCAACCGTCCGAAACATCCACTTCCATATACTACAAAAAGAGCGTTTCAAACCTGCTCTATGAAAGGCAATGTTCAACTCTGTGACTTGAATACAGACATCACAGAGCAGTTTCTGAGAATGCCTCTGTCGAGATTTTATAGGAAGATATTCCCGTTTCCAACGAAATCTTCACAGCTATCCAAATATCCACTTGCAGATTCTACAAAAAGAGTGTATCAAAACTGCTCTGTCAAAAGGAAGGTTCTTCTCTGTTAGTTGAGTACATACGTCATACAGGAGTTTCTGAGAATGTTTCTGTCTAGTGGTTATGGGAAGATATTTGCTTTTTCACCGTAGGCCTCAGGGCGCTCCAAATTTTCTCTTGCACATGCTACAAAAAGAGTGCTTAAAAGCTGCTCTCTCAAAGGGAATGTTCAACTCTATGAGTTGAATGCAAACATCGCAAAGACGTTTCTGAGAATGCTTCTGTCTAGATTTGATATGAAGATATTCCCGTTTCCAACGAAATCTTCAAATCTATCCAAATGTCCACTTGCAGATTCAACAAAAAGTGTTTTTCAAAACTGCTGTAACAAAAGAAAGATCCGCCTCTGTTAGCTGAGTTCACACATCACAAACAAGTTTATGAGAATGCTTCTGTCTAGTTTTTATTTGAAGATATTTCCTTTCTCACCATAGACCTGAAAGGTGTCCTAATGTTCACTTCCAGATACTACAGAAAGAGTGTTTCAAAACTGCTGTACGAAAGGGAATGTTCAACTCTGTGACTTGAATGCACACATCACAAAGAAGTTTCTGAGGATGCTGCTGTCTACTTTTTATACGTAATCCCGTTTCCAACGAAATCCTCCAAGTTATCCAAATATCCACTTGCAGATTCCACAGAAAGACTGTTTCAAAACTGCTCTGTCAATAGAAAGGTTCAACTCTGTTAGCTGCGTCCATATATCCCAAAGAAGATTCTGAGATTGCTTCTGTCTAGTTTTTATGGGAAGATATTTCCCTTTTCACCGTAGGCGTCAAGGCGCTCCAAATGTCCACTTCCAGATACTACAAAAAGAGTGTTTCAAACCTATTCTGTGAAAGGGAATATTCAACTCTGTGACTTGAATGCACATATCACAAAGAAGTTTCTGAGAATGCTTCTGTCGAGATTTTATATGAAGATATTCCCGTTTCCAACGAAATCCTGAAATCTATCCAAATATCCCCTCGCAGATTCTACAAAAAGAGTGTTTCAAAACTGCTCTGTAAAAAGAAAGGTTCAACTCTGTTAGTTGAGTACACACCTCACAAACAAGTTTCACAGAATGCTTCTTTCTAGCTTGTAGGGGAAGATATTCCTTTATCACCATGGGCCTCAAACTGTCCGAAACGTCTACTTCCATATACTACAAAAAGAGCGTTTCAAACCTGCTCTATGAAAGGCAATGTTCAGCTCTGTGACTTGAATGCAGACATCACAGAGCAGTTTCTGAGAATGCTTCTGTCTAGATTTTATAGGAAGATATTCCCGTTTCCAACGAAATCTTCACAGGTATCCAAATATCCACCTGCAGATTCTACAAAAAGAGTGTATCAAAACTGCTCTGTCAAAAGGAAGGTTCTTCTCTGTTAGGTGAGTGCATACGTCATAAAGGAGTTTCTGAGAATGTTTCTGTCTAGTGGTTATGGGAAGATATTTGCTTTTTCCCCGTAGGCCTCAGGGCGCTCCAAATGTCCACTTGCACATGCTACAAAAAGAGTGCTTCAAAGCTACTCACTGGAAGGGAATGTTCAACTCTATGAGTTGAATGCAAACATCACAAAGACGTTTCTGAGAATGCTTCTGTCTAGATTTGATATGAAGATATTCCCGTTTCCAACGAAATCTTCAAATCTATCCAAATGTCCACTTGCAGATTCAACAAAAAGTGTTTTTCAGAACTGCTCTATCGAAAGATCCACCTCTGTTAGCTGAGTTCACACATCACAAACAAATTTATGAGAATGCTTCTGTCTAGTTTTTATTTGAAGGTATTTCCTTTCTCACCATAGACCTGAAAGCTGTCCTAATGTTCACTTCCAGATACTACAGAAAGAGTGTTTCAAAACTGCTGTACGAAAGGGAATGTTCAACTCTGTGACTTGAATGCACACATCACAAAGAAGTTTCTGAGGATGCTGCTGTCTACTTTTTATACGTAATCCCGTTTCCAACGAAATCCTCCAAGCTATCCAAATATCCAATTGCAGATTCCACAGAAAGACTGTTTCAAAACTGCTCTGTCAATAGAAAGGTTCAACTCTGTTAGCTGCGTGCATATATCCCAAAGAAGATTCTGAGATTACTTCTATCTAGTTTTTATGGGAAGATATTTCCCTTTTCACCGTAGGCGTCAAGGCGCTCCAAATGTCCACTTCCAGATACTGCAAAAAGAGTGTTTCAAACCTACTCTGTGAAAGGGAATATTCAACTCTGTGACTTGAATGCAGATATCACAAAGAAGTTTCTGAGAATGCTTCTGTCGAGATTTTATATGAAGATATTCCCGTTTCCAACGAAATCCTGAAATCTCTCCAAATATCCCCTCGCAGATTCTACAAAAAGAGTGTTTCAAAACTGCTCTGTAAAAAGAAAGGTTCAACTCTGTTAGTTGAGTACACACATCAAAAACAAGTTTCACAGAATGCTTCTTTCTAGCTTGTAGGGGAAGATATTCCCTTTATCACCATGGGCCTCAAACCGTCTGAAACGTCCACTTCCATATACTACAAAAAGAGCATTTCAAACCTGCTCTATGAAAGGCAATGTTCAACTCTGTGACTTGAATGCACACATCACAGAGCAGTTTCTGAGAATGCTTCTGTCTAGATTTTATAGGAAGATATTCCCGTTTCCAACGAAATCTTCACAGCTATCCAAATATGCACTTGCAGATTCTACAAAAAGAGTGTATCAAAACTGCTCTGTGAAAAAGAATGTTCTTCTCTGTTAGTTGAGTACATACGTCATAAAGGAGTTTCTGAGAATGTTTCTGTCTAGTGGTTATGGGAAGATATTTGCTTTTTCACCGTAGGCCTCAGAGCGCTCCAAATATCCACTTGAACATACTACAAAAAGAGTGATTCAAAGCTGCTCTCTGAAACGGAATGTTCAACTCTATGAGTTGAATGCAACCATCACAAAGACGTTTCTGAGAATGCTTCTGTCTAGATTTGATATGAAGATATTCCCGTTTCCAACGAAATCTTCAAATCTATCCAAATGTCCACTTGCAGATTCAACAAAAGAGTTTTTCAGAACTGCTCTATCAAAAGAAAGATCCACCTCTGTTAGCTGAGTTCACACATCACAAACAAGTTTATGAGAATGCTTCTGTCTAGTTTTTATTTGAAGATATTTCCTTTCTCACCATAGACCTGAAAGCTCTCCTAATGTTCACTTCCAGATACTACAGAAAGAGTGTTTCAAAACTGCTGTATGAAAGGGAATGTTCAACTCTGTGACTTGAATGCACACATCACAAAGAAGTTTCTGAGGATGCTGCTGTCTACTTTTTATACGTAATCCCGTTTCCAACGAAATCCTCCATGCTATCCAAATATCCACTTGCAGATTCCACAGAAAGACTGTTTCAAAACTGCTCTGTCAATAGAAAGGTTCAACTCTGTTAGCTGTGTGCATATATCTCAAAGAAAATTCTGAGATTGCTTCTGTCTTGTTTTTATGGGAAGATATTTCCCTTTTCACCGTAGGCGTCAAGGCGCTCCAAATGTCCACTTCCAGATACTACAAAAAGAGTGTTTCAAACCTACTCTGTGAAAGGGAATATTCAACTCTGTGACTTGAATGCACATATCACAAGGAAGTTTCTGAGAATGCTTCCTGTCGAGATTTTATATGAAGATATTCCCGTTTCCAACGAAATGCTGAAATGTATCCAAATATCCCCTCGCAGATTCTACAAAAAGAGTGTTTCAAAACTGCTCTGTAAAAAGAAAGGTTCAACTCTGTTAGTTGAGTACACACATCACAAACAAGTTTCACAGAATGCTTTCTTTCTAGCTTGTAGGGGAAGATATTCCCTTTATCACCATGGGCCTCAAACCGTCCGAAAAGTCCACTTCCATATACTACAAAAAGAGCGTTTCAAACCTGCTCTATGAAAGGCAATGTTCAACTCTGTGACTTGAATGCAGACATCACAGAGCAGTTTCTGAGAATGCTTCTGTCTAGATTTTATACGAAGATATTCCCGTTTCCAACGAAATCTTCACAGGTATCAAAATATCCACTTGCAGATTCTACAAAAAGAGTGTATCAAAACTGCTCTGTCAAAAGGAAGGTTCTTCTCTGTTAGGTGAGTGCATACGTCATAAAGGAGTTTCTGAGAATGTTTCTGTCTAGTGGTTATGGGAAGACATTTGCTTTTTCACCGTAGGCCACAGAGCGCTCCAAATATCCACTTGCACATACTACAAAAAGAGTGCCTCAAAGCTGCTCTCTGAAAGGGAATGTTCAACTCTATGAGTTGAATGCAAACATCGCAAAGACGTTTCTGAGAATGCTTCTGTCTAGATTTGATATGAAGATATTCCCGTTTCCAACGAAATCTTCAAATTTATCCAAATGTCCACTTGCAGATTCAACAAAAAGTGTTTTTCAGAACTGCTCTATCAAAAGAAAGATCCACCTCTGTTAGCTGAGTTCACACATCACAAACAAGTTTATGAGAATGCTTCTGTCTAGTTTTTATTTGAAGATATTTTCTTTCTCACCATAGACCTGAAAGCTGTCCTAATGTTCACTTCCAGATACTACAGAAAGAGTGTTTCAAAACTGCTGTACGAAAGGGAATGTTCAACTCTGTGACTTGAATGCACACATCACAAAGAAGTTTCTGAGGATGCTGCTGTCTACTTTTTATGCGTAATCCCGTTTCCAACGAAATCCTCCAAGCTATCCCAATATCCACTTGCAGATTCCACAGAAAGACTGTTTCAAAACTGCTCTGTCAATAGAAAGGTTCAACTCTGTTAGCTGCGTGCATATATCCCAAAGAAGATTCTGAGATTGCTTCTGTCTAGTTTTTATGGGAAGATATTTCCCTTTTCACCGTAGGTGTCAAGGCGCTCCAAATGTCTACTTCCAGATACTACAAAAAGAGTGTTTCAAACCTACTCTGTGAAAGGGAATATTCAACTCTGTGACTTGAATGCACATATCACAAGGAAGTTTCTGAGAATGCTTCTGTCGAGATTTTGTATGAAGATATTCCCGTTTCCAACGAAATCCTGAAATCTATCCAAATTTCCCCTCGCAGATTATACAAAAAGAGTGTTTCAAAACTGCTCTGTGAAAAGAAAGGTTCAACTCTGTTAGTTGAGTACACACATCACAAACAAGTTTCACAGAATGCTTCTTTCTAGCTTGTAGGGGAAGATATTCCCTTTATCACCATGGGCCTCAAACCGTCCGAAAAGTCCACTTCCATATACTACAAAAAGAGCGTTTCAAACCTGCTCTATGAAAGGCAATGTTCAACTCTGTGACTTGAATGCAGACATCACAGAGGCAGTTTCTGAGAATGCTTCTGTCTAGATTTTATAGGAAGATATTCCCGTTTCCAACGAAATCTTCACAGCTATCCAAATATCCACTTGCAGATTCTACAAAAAGAGTGTATCAAAACTGCTCTGTCAAAAGGAAGGTTCTTCTCTGTTAGGTGAGTGCATACGTCATAAAGGAGTTTCTGAGAATGTTTTCTGTCTAGTGGTTATGGGAAGATATTTGCTTTTTCACCGTAGGCCTCAGAGCGCTCCAAATATCCACTTGCACATACTACAAAAAGAGTGCCTCAAAGCTGCTCTTTGAAACGGAATGTTCAACTCTATGAGTTGAATGCAAACATCACAAAGACGTTTCTGAGAATGCTTCTGTCTAGATTTGATATGAAGATATTCCCGTTTCCAACGAAATCTTCAAATCTATCCAAATGTCCACTTGCAGATTCAACAAAAAGTGTTTTTCAGAACTGCTCTATCAAAAGAAAGATCCACCTCTGTTAGCTGAGTTCACACATCACAAACAAGTTTATGAAAATGTTTCTGTCTAGTTTTTATTTGAAGATATTGCCTTTCTCACCATAGACCTGAAAGCTGTCCTAATGTTCACTTCCAGATACTACAGAAAGAGTGTTTCAAAACTGCTGTACGAAAGGGAATGTTCAACTCTGTGACTTGAATGAACACATCACAAAGAAGTTTCCTGAGGATGCTGCTGTCTACTTTTTATACGTAATCCCGTTTCCAACGAAATCCTCCAAGCTATCCAAATATCCACTTGCAGATTCCACAGAAAGACTGTTTCAAAACTGCTCTGTCAATAGAAAGGTTTAACTCTGTTAGCTGCGTGCATATATCCCAAAGAAGATTCTGAGATTGCTTCTGTCTAGTTTTTATGGGAAGATATTTCCCTTTTCACCGTGGGCATCAAGGCGCTCCAAATGTCCACTTCCAGATACTACAAAAAGAGTGTTTCAAACCTACTCTGTGAAAGGGAATATTCAACTCTGTGACTTGAATGCACATATCACAAGGAAGTTTCTGAGAATGCTTCTGTCGAGTATTTTATATGAAGATATTCCCGTTTCCAACGAAATCCTGAAATCTATCCAAATATCCCCTCGCAGATTCTACAAAAAGAGTGTTTCAAAACTGCTCTGTAAAAAGAAAGGTTCAACTCTGTTAGTTGAGTACACACATCACAACAAGTTTCACAGAATGCTTCTTTCTAGCTTGTAGGGGAATATATTCCCTTTATCACCATGGGTCTCAAACCGTCCGAAACGTCCACTTCCATATACTACAAAAAGAGCGGTTCAAACCTGCTCTATGAAAGGCAATGTTCAACTCTGTGACTTGAATGCAGACATCACAGAGCTGTTTCTGAGAATGCTTCTGTCTAGATTTTATAGGATGATATTCCCGTTTCCAACGAAATCTTCACAGCTATCCAAATATCCACTTGCAGATTCTACAAAAAGAGTGTATCCAAACTGCTCTGGCAAAAGGAAGGTTCTTCTCTGTTAGGTGAGTGCATACGTCATAAAGGAGTTTCTGAGAATGTTTCTGTCTAGTGGTTATGGGAAGATATTTGCTTTTTCACCTTAGGCCTCAGAGTGCTCCAAATATCCTTTTGCACATACTACAAAAAGAGTGCTTCAAAGCTGCTCTCTGAAACGGAATGTTCAACTCTATGAGTTGAATGCAAACATCACAAAGACGTTTCTGGGAATGCTTCTGTCTAGATTTGATATGAAGATATTCCCGTTTCCAACGAAATCTTCAAATCTATCCAAATGTCCACTGGCAGATTCAACAAAAAGTGTTTTTCAGAACTGCTCTATCAAAAGAAAGATCCACCTCTGTTAGCTGAGTTCACACATCACAAAGAGGTTTATGAGAATGCTTCTGTCTAGTTTTTATTTGAAGATATTTCCTTTCTCACCATAGACCTGAAAGCTGTCCTAATGTTCACTTCCATGTACTACAGAAAGAGTGTTTCAAAACTGCTGTACGAAAGGGAATGTTCAACTCTGTGACTTGAATGCACACATCACAAAGAAGTTTCTGAGGATGCTGCTGTCTACTTTTTATACGTAATCCCGTTTCCAACGAAATCCTCCAAGCTATCCAAATATCCACTTGCAGATTCCACAGAAAGACTGTTTCAAAACTGCTCTGTCAATAGAAAGGTTCAACTCTGTTAGCTGCGTGCATATATCCCAAAGAAGATGCTGAGATTGCTTCTGTCTAGTTTTTATGGGAAGATATTTCCCTTTTCACCGTAGGCGTCAAGGCGCTCCAAATGTCCACTTCCAGATACTACAAAAAGAGTGTTTCAAACCTACTCTGTGAAAGGGAATATTCAACTACTGTGACTTGAAGGCAGATATCACAAAGAAGTTTCTGAGAATGCTTTCTGTCGAGATTTTATATGAAGATATTCCCGTTTCCAACGAAATCCTGAAATCTATCCAAATATCCTCTCGCAGATTCTACAAAAAGAGTGTTTCAAAACTGCTCTGTAAAAAGAAAGGTTCAACTCTGTTAGTTGAGTACACACATCAAAAACAACTTTCACAGAATGCTTCTTTCTAGCTTGTAGGGGAAGATATTCCCTTTATCACCATGGGCCTCCAACCGTCCGAAACATTCTCTTCCATATACTACAAAAAAGCATTTCAAACCTGCTCTATGAAAGGCAATGTTCAACTCTGTGACTTGAATGCAGACATCACAGAGCAGTTTCTGAGAATGCTTCTGTCTAGATTTTATAGGAAGATATTCCCGTTTCCAACGAAATCTTCACAGCTATCCAAATATCCACTTGCAGATTCTACAAAAAGAGTGTATCAAAACTGCTCTGTCAAAAGGAAGGTTCTTCTCCGTTAGGTGAGTGCACACGTCATAAAGGAGTTTCTGAGAATGTTTCAGTGTAGTGGTTATGGGAAGATATTTGCTTTTTCCCCGTAGGCCTCAGAGCGCTCCAAATATCCACTTGCACATACTACAAAAAGAGTACTTCAAAGCTGCTCTCTGAAACGGAATGTTCAACTCTATGAGTTGAATGCAAACATCACAAAGACGTTTCTGAGAATGCTTCTGTCTAGATTTGATATGAAGATATTCCCGTTTCCAACGAAATCTTCAAATCTATCCAAATGTCCACTTGCAGATTCAACAAAAAGTGTTTTTCAGAACTGCTCTATCAAAAGAAAGATCCACCTCTCTTAGCTGAGTTCACACATCACAAACAAGTTTATGAAAATGCTTCTGTCTAGTTTTTATTTGAAGATATTTCCTTTCTCACCATAGAGCTGAAAGCTGTCCTAATGTTCACTTCCAGATACTACAGAAAGAGTGTTTCAAAACTGCTGTACCAAAGGGAATGTTCAACTCTGTGACTTGAATGCACACATCACAAAGAAGTTTCGGAGGATGCTGCTGTCTACTTTTTATACGTAATCCCGTTTCCAACGAAATCCTCCAATCTATACAAATATCCACTTGCAGATTCCACAGAAAGACTGTTTCAAAACTGCTCTGTCAATAGAAAGGTTCAACTCTGTTAGCTGCGTGCATATATCCCAAAGAAGATTCTGAGATTGCTTCTGTCTACTTTTTATGAGAAGATATTTCCCTTTTCACCGTAGGCGTCAAGGCGCTCCAAATGTCCACTTCCAGATACTACAAAAAGAGTGTTTCAAACCTACTCTGTGAAAGGGAATATTCAACTCTGTGACTTGAATGCACATATCACAAAGAAGCTTTCTGAGAATGCTTCTGTCGAGATTTTATATGAAGATATTCCCATTTCCAACGAAATCCTGAAATCTATCCAAATATCCCCTCTCAGATTCTACAAAAAGAGTGTTTCAAAACTGCTCTGTAAAAAGAAAGGTTCAACTCTGTTAGTTGAGTACACACATCACAAACAAGTTTCACAGAATGCTTCTTTCTAGCTTGTAGGGGAAGATATTCCCTTTATCACCATGGGCCTCAAACCGTCCGAAACGTCCACTTCCATATACTACAAAAAGAGCGTTTCAAACCTGCTCTAGGAAAGGCAATGTTCAACTCTGTGACTTGAATGCAGACATCACAGAGCAATTTCTGAGAATGCTTCTGTCTATATTTTATAGGAAGATATTCCCGTTTCCAACGAAATCTTCACAGCTATCCAAATATCCACTTGCAGATTCTACAAAAAGAGTGTATCAAAACTGCTCTGTCAAAAGGAAGGTTCTTTTCTGTTAGGTGAGTGCATACGTCATAAAGGAGTTTCTGAGAATGTTTCTGTCTAGTGGTTATGGGAAGATATTTGCTTTTTCACCTTAGGCCTCAGAGCGCTCCAAATATCCCCTTGCACATACTACAAAAAGAGTGCTTCAAAGCTGCTCTCTGAAAGGGAATGTTCAACTCTATGAGTTGAATGCAAACATCACAAAGACGTTTCTGGGAATGCTTCTGTCTAGATTTGATATGAAGATATTCCCGTTTCCAACGGAATCTTCATATCTATCCAAATGTCCACTTGCAGATTCAACAAAAAGTGTTTTTCAAAACTGCTGTATCAAAAGAAAGATCCACGTCCGTTAGCTGAGTTCACACATCACAAACAAGTTTATGAGAATGCTTCTGTCTAGTTTTTATTTGAAGATATTTCCTTTCTCACCATAGACCTGAAAGCTGTCCTATTGTTCACTTCCAGATACTACAGAAAGAGTGTTTCAAAACTGCTGTACGAAAGGGAATGTTCAACTCTGTGACTTGAATGCACACATCACAAAGAAGTTTCTGAGGATGCTGCTGTCTACTTTTTATACGTAATCCCGTTTCCAAAGAGATCCTCCAAGCTATCCAAATATCCACTTGCAGATTCCACAGAAGGACTGTTTCTAAACTGCTCTGTCAATAGAAAGGTTCAACTCTGTGAGCTGCGTGCATATATCCCAAAGAAGATTCTGAGATTGCTTCTGTCTACTTTTTATGAGAAGTTATTTCCCTTTTCACCGTAGGTGTCAAGGCGCTCCAAATGTCCACTTCCAGATACTACAAAAAGAGTGTTTCAAACCTACTCTGTGAAAGGGAATATTCAACTCTGTGACTTGAATGCACATATCACAAAGAAGTTTCTGAGAATGCTTTCTGTCGAGAATTTTCTATGAAGATATTCCCGTTTCCAACGAAATCCTGAAATCTATCCAAATATCCCCTCGCAGATTCTACAAAAAGAGTGTTTCAAAACTGCTCTGTAAAAAGAAAGGTTCAACTCTGTTACTTCAGTACACACATCACAAACAAGTTTCACAGAATGCTTCTTTCTAGCTTGTAGGGGAAGATATTCCCTTTATCACCATGGGCCTCAAACCGTCCGAAACGTCCACTTCCATATACTACAAAAAGAGCGTTTCAAACCTGCTCTATGAAAGGCAATGTTCAACTCTTTGACTTGAATGCAGACATCACAGAGCAGTTTCTGAGAATGCTTCTGTCTAGACTTTATAGGAAGATATTCCCGTTTCCAACGAAATCTTCACAGCTATCCAAATATGCACTTGCAGATTCTACAAAAAGAGTGTATCAAAAGTGCTCTGTCAAAAGGAAGGTTCTTCTCTGTTAGTTGAGTACATACGTCATAAAGGAGTTTCTGAGAATGTTTTCTGTCTAGTGGTTATGGGAAGATATTTGCTTTTTCACCTTAGGCCTCAGAGCGGCTCCATATATCCCCTTGCACATACTACAAAAAGAGTGCTTCAAAGCTGCTCTCTGAAAGGGAATGTTCAACTCTATGAGTTGAATGCAAACATCACAAAGACGTTTCTGAGAATGCTTCTGTCTAGATTTGATATGAAGATATTCCCGTTTCCAAAGAAATCTTCAAATCTATCCAAATGTCCACTTGCAGATTCAACAAAAAGTGTTTTTCAAAACTGCTCTATCAAAAGAAAGATCCACGGCTCTTAGCTGAGTTCACACATCACGAACAAGTTTATGAGAATGCTTCTGTCTAGTTTTTATTTGAAGATATTTCCTTTCTCACCATAGACCTGAAAGCTGTCCTAATGTTCACTTCCAGATACTACAGAAAGAGTGTTTCAAAACTGCTGTACGAAAGGTAATGTTCAACTCTGTGACTTGAATGCACACATCACAAAGAAGTTTCTGAGGATGCTGCTGTCTACTTTTTATACGTAATCCCGTTTCCAACGAAATCCTCCAATCTATCCAAATATCCACTTGCAGATTCCACAGAAAGACTGTTTCAAATCTGCTCAGTCAATAGAAAGGTTCAACTCTGTTAGCTGCGTGCATATATCCCAAAGAAGATTCTGAGATTGCTTCTGTCTAGTTTTTATGGGAAGATATTTCCCTTTTCACCGTAGGTGTCAAGGCGCTCCAAATGTCCACTTCCAGATACTACAAAAAGAGTGTTTCAAACCTACTCTGTGAAAGGGAATATTCAACTCTGTGATTGAATGCACATATCACAAAGAAGTTTCTGAGAATGCTTCTGTCGCGATTTTATATGAAGATATTCCCGTTTCCAACAAAATCCTGAAATCTTTCCAAATATCTCCTCGCAGATTCTACAAAAAGAGTGTTTCAAAACTGCTCTGTAAAAAGAAAGGTTCAACTCTGTTAGTTGAGTACACACATCACAAACAAGTTTCACAGAATGCTTCTTTCTAGCTTGTAGGGGAATATATTCCCTTTATCACCATGGGCCTCCAACCGTCCGAAACATCCACTTCCATATACTACAAAAAGAGCGTTTCAAACCTGCTCTATGAAAGGCAATGTTCAACTCTGTGACTTGAATGCAGACATCACAGAGCAGTTTCTGAGAATGCTTCTGTCTAGATTTTATAGGAAGATATTCCCGTTTCCAACGAAATCTTCACAGCTATCCAAATATCCACTTGCAGATTCTACAAAAAGAGTGTATCAAAACTGCTCTGTCAAAAGGAAGGTTCTTCTCTGTTGGGTGAGTGCATACGTCAGAAAGGAGTTTCTGAGAATGTTTCTGTCTAGTGGTTATGGGAAGATATTTGCTTTTTCACCTTAGGCCTCAGAGCGATCCAAATATCCACTTGCACATACTACAAAAAGAGTGCTTCAAAGCTGCTCTCTGAAAGTGAATGTTCAACTCTATGAGTTGAATGCAAACATCACAAAGACGTTTCCGAGAATGCTTCTGTCTAGATTTGATATGAAGATATTCCCGTTTCCAACGAAATCTTCAAATCTATCCAAATGTCTACTTGCAGATTCAACAAAAAGTGTTTTTCAAAACTGCTGTATCAAAAGAAAGATCCACGTCTGTTAGCTCAGTTCACACATCACAAACAAGTTTATGAGAATGCTTCTGTCTAGTTTTTATTTGAAGATATTTCCTTTCTCACCATAGACCTGAAAGCTGTCCTAATGTTCACTTCCAGATACTACAGAAAGAGTGTTTCAAAACTGCTGTACGAAAGGGAATGTTCAACTGTGTGACTTGAATGCACACATCACAAAGAAGTTTCTGAGGATGCTGCTGTCTACTTTTTATACGTAATGCCGTTTCCAACGAAATCCTCCAAGCTATCCAAATATCCACTTGCAGATTCCACAGAAAGACTGTTTCAAAACTGCTCTGTCAATAGAAAGGTTCAACTCTGTTAGCTGCGTGCATATATCCCAAAGAAGATTCTGAGATTGCTTCTGTCTAGTTTTTATGGGAAGATATTTCCCTTTTCACCGTAGGCGTCAAGGCGCTCCAAATGTCCACTTCCAGATACTACAAAAAGAGTGTTTCAAACCTACTCTGTGAAAGGGAATATTCAACTCTGTGACTTGAATGCAGATATCACAAAGAAGTTTATGAGAATGCTTCTGTCGAGATTTTATATGAAGATATTCCCGTTTCCAACGAAATGCTGAAATGTATCCAAATATCCCCTCGCAGATTCTACAAAAAGAGTGTTTCAAAACTGCTCTGTAAAAAGAAAGGTTCATCTCTGTTAGTTGAGTACACACATCACAAACAAGTTTCACAGAATGCTTCTTTCTAGCTTGTAGGGGAAGATATTCCCTTTATCACCATGGGCCTCAAACCGTCCGAAACATCCACTTCCATATACTACAAAAAGAGCGTTTCCAACCTGCTCTATGAAAGGCAATGTTCAACTCTGTGACTTGAATGGAGACATCACAGAGCAGTTTCTGAGAATGCTTCTGTCTAGATTTTATAGGAAGATATTCCCGTTTCCAACGAAAGCTTCACAGCTATCCAAATATCCACTTGCAGATTCTACAAAAAGAGTGTATCAAAACTGCTCTGTCAAAAGGAAGGTTCTTCTCTGTTAGGTGAGTGCATACGTCATACAGGAGTTTCTGAGAATGTTTCTGTCTAGTGGTTAGGGGAAGATATTTGCTTTTTCACCTTAGGCCTCACAGCGCTCCAAATATCCCCTTGCACATACTACAAAAAGAGTGCTTCAAAGCTGCTCTCTGAAACGGAATGTTCAACTGTATGAGTTGAATGCAAACATCACAAAGACGTTTCTGAGAATGCTTCTCTCTAGATTTGATATGAAGATATTCCCGTTTCCAACGAAATCTTCAAATCTATCCAAATGTCCACTTGCAGATTCAACAAAAAGTGTTTTTCAGAACTGCTCTATCAAAAGAAAGATCCACCTCTGTTAGCTGAGTTCACACATCACAAACAAGTTTATGAGAATGCTTCTGTCTAGTTTTTATTTGAAGATATTTCCTTTCTCACCATAGACCTGAAAGCTGTCCTAATGTTCACTTCCAGTTACTACAGAAAGAGTGTTTCAAAACTGCTGTACGAAAGGGAATGTTCAACTTCTGTGACTTGAATGCACACATCACAAAGAAGTTTCTGAGGATGCTGCTGTCTACTTTTTATACTTAATCCCGTTTCCAACGAAATCCTCCAAGCTATCCAAATATCCACTTGCAGATTCCACAGAAAGACTGTTTCAAAACTGCTCTGTCAATAGAAAGGTTCAATTCTGTTAGCTGCGTGCATATATCCCAAAGAAGATTCTGAGATTGCTTCTGTCTAGTTTTTATGGGAAGATATTTCCCTTTTCACCGTGGGCGTCAAGGCGCTCCAAATGTCCACTTCCAGATACTACAAAAAGAGTGTTTCAAACCTACTCTGTGAAAGGGAATATTCAACTCTGTGACTTGAATGCACATATCACAAGGAAGTTTTCTGAGAATGCTTCTGTCGAGATTTTATATGAAGATATTCCCGTTTCCAACGAAATCCTGAAATCTATCCAAATATCCCCTCGCAGATTCTACAAAAAGAGTGTTTCAAAACTGCTCTGTAAAAAGAAAGGTTCAACTCTGTTAGTTGAGTGCACATATCACAAACAAGTTTCACAGAATGCTTCTTTCTAGCTTGTAGGGGAAGATATTCCCTTTATCACCATGGGCCTCAAACCGTCCGAAACGTCCACTTCCATATACTACAAAAAGAGCGTTTCAAACCTGTTCTAGGAAAGGCAATGTTCAACTCTGTGACTTGAATGCAGACATCACAGAGCAGTTTCTGAGAATGCTTCTGTCTAGATTGTATAGGAAGATATTCCCGTTTCCAACGAAATCTTCACAGCTATCCAAATATCCACTTGCAGATTCTACAAAAAGAGTGTATCAAAACTGCTCTGTCAAAAGGAAGGTTCTTCTCTGTTAGGTGAGTGCATACGTCATAAAGGAGTTTCTGAGAATGTTTCTGTCTAGTGGTTATGGGAAGATATTTGCTTTTTCACCTTAGGCCTCAGAGTGCTCCAAATATCCCCTTGCACATACTACAAAAAGAGTGCTTCAAAGCTGCTCTCTGAAAGGGAATGTTCAACTCTATGAGTTGAATGCAAACATCACAAAGACGTTTCTGAGAATGCTTCTGTCTAGATTTGATATGAAGATATTCCCGTTTCCAACGAAATCTTCAAATCTATCCAAATGTCCACTTGCAGATTCAACAAAAAGTGTTTTTCAGAACTGCTCTATCAAAAGAAAGATCCACATCTGTTAGCTGAGTTCACACATCACAAACAACTTTATGAGAATGCTTCTGTGTAGTTTTTATTTGAAGATATTTCCTTTCTCACCATAGAGCTGAAATCTGTCCTAATGTTCACTTCCAGATACTACAGAAAGAGTGTTTCAAAACTGCTGTACGAAAGGGAATGTTCAACTCTGTGACTTTAATGCACACATCACAAAGAAGTTTCTGAGGATGCTGCTGTCTACTTTTTATACGTAATCCCGTTTCCAACGAAATCCTCCAAGCTATCCAAATATCCACTTGCAGATTCCACAGAAAGACTGTTTCTAAACTGCTCTGTCAATAGAAAGGTTCAACTCTGTTAGCTGCGTGCATATATCCCAAAGAAGATTCTGAGATTCCTTCTGTCTAGTTTTTATGGGAAGATATTTCCCTTTTCACCGTAGGCGTCAAGGCGCTCCAAATGTCCACTTCCAGATACTACAAAAAGAGTGTTTCAAACCTACTCTGTGAAAGGGAATATTCAACTCCTGTGACTTGAAGGCAGATATCACAAAGAAGTTTCTGAGAATGCTTCTGTCGAGATTTTATATGAAGATATTCCCGTTTCCAACGACATCCTGAAATCTATCCAAATATCCCCTCGCAGATTCTACAAAAAGAGTGTTTCAAAACTGCTCTGTAAAAAGAAAGGTTCAACTCTGTTAGTTGAGTACACACCTCACAAACAAGTTTCACAGAATGCTTCTTTCTAGCTTGTAGGGGAAGATATTCCCTTTATCATCATGGGCCTCAAACCGTCCGAAACGTCCACTTCCATATACTACAAAAAGAGCGTTTCAAACCTGCTCTATCAAAGGCAATGTTCAACTCTGTGACTTGAATGCAGACATCACAGAGCAGTTTCTGAGAATGCTTCTGTCTAGATTTTATAGGAAGATATTCCCGTTTCCAACGAAATCTTCACAGCTATCCAAATATCCACTTGCAGATTCTACAAAAAGAGTGTATCAAAACTGCTCTGTCAAAAGGAGGGTTCTTCTCTGTTAGTTGAGTACATACGTCATAAAGGAGTTTCTGAGAATGTTTCTGTCTAGTGGTTATGGGAAGATATTTGCTTTTTCACCGTAGGCCTCAGAGCGCTCCAAATATCCCCTTGCACATACTACAAAAAGAGTGCTTCAAAGCTGCGCTCTGAAAGGGAATGTTCAACTCTGTGAGTTGAATGCAAACATCACAAAGACGTTTTCTGAGAATGCTTCTGTCTAGATTTGATATGAAGATATTTCCGTTTCCAATGAAATCTTCAAATCTATTCAAGTGTCCACTTGCAGATTCAACAAAAAGTGTTTTTCAAAAGGGCTGTATAAAAAGAAAGATCCACCTCTGTTAGTTGAGTTCACACATCAAAACAAGTTTATGAGAATGCTTCTGTCTAGTTTTTATTTGAAGATATTTCCTTTCTCACAATAGACCTGAAAGCTCTCGTCCCGTTCACTTCCAGGTACTAGAGAAAGAGTGTTTCAAACCTGCTGTACGAAAGGGAATGTTCAACTCTTTGACTTGAATGCACACATCACAAAGAAGTTTCTGAGAATGCTGCTGTCTACTTTTTATACGTAATCCTGTTTCCAACGAAATCCTCCAAGCTATCCAAATATCCACTTGCAGATTCCACAGAAAGACTGTTTCAAAACTGCTATGTCAATAGAAAAGTTCAACTCTGTTAGCTGTGTGCATATATCCCAAAGAAGATTCTGAGATTGCTTCTGTCTAGTTTTTATGGGAAGATATTTCCCTTTTCACCGTAGGTGTCAAGGCGCTCCAAATGTCCACTTCCAGATATTACAAAAAGAGTGTTTCAAACCTACTCTCTGAAAGGGAATATTCAACTCTGTGACTTGAATGCAGATATCACAATGAAGTTTCTGAGAATGCTTCTGTCGAGATTTTATATGAAGATATTCCCGTTTCCAACGAAATGCTGAAATCTATCCAAATATCCCCTCGCAGATTCTACAAAAAGAGTGTTTCAAAACTGCTCTGTAAAAAGGAAGGTTCAACTCTGTTAGTTGAGTACACACATCACAAACAAGTTTCACAGAATGCTTCTTTCTAGCTTGTAGGGGAAGATATTCCCTTTATCACCATGGGCCTCAAACCGCCCGAAACGTCCACTTCCATATACTACAAAAAGAGGGTTTCAAACCTGCTCTATGAAAGGCAATGTTCAACTCTGTGACTTGAATGCAGACATCACAGAGCAGTTTCTGAGAATTCTTCTGTCTAGATTTTATAGGAAGATATTCCCGTTTCCAACGAAATCTTCACAGCTATCCAAATATCCACTTGCAGATTCTACAAAAAGAGTGTATCAAAACTGCTCTGTCAAAAGGAAGGTTCTTCTGTGTTAGGTGAGTGCATACGTCATAAAGGAGTTTCTGAGAATGTTTCTGTCTAGTGGTTATGGGAGATATTTGCTTTTTCCCCGTAGGCCTCAAAGCGCTCCAAATGTCCACTTGCACATACTACAAAAAGAGTGCTTCAAAGCTGCTCTCTGAAAGGGAATGTTCAACTCTATGAGTTGAATGCAAACATCACAAAGACGTTTCTGAGAATGCTTCTGTCTAGATTTGATATGAAGATATTCCCGTTTCCAACGAAATCTTCAAATCTATCCAAATGTCCACTTGCAGATTCAACAAAAAATGTTTTTCAGAACTGCTCTATCAAAAGAAAGATCCACCTCTGTTAGCTGAGTTCACACATCACAAACAAGTTTATGAGAATGCTTCTGTCTAGTTTATATTTGAAGATATTTCCTTTCTCACCATAGACCTGAAAGCTGTCCTAATGTTCACTTCCAGATACTACAGAAAGAGTGTTTCAAAACTGCTGTACGAAAGGGAATGTTCAACTCTGTGACTTGAATGCACACATCACAAAGAAGATTCTGAGGATGCTGCTGTCTACTTTTTATACGTAATCCCGTTTCCAACGAAATCCTCCAAGCTATCCAAATATCCACTTGCAGATTCCACAGAAAGACTGTTTCAAAACTGCTCTGTCAATAGAAAGGTTCAACTCTGTTAGCTGCGTGCATGTATCCCAAAGAAGATTCTGAGATTGCTTCTGTCTAGTTTTTATGGGAAGATATTTCCCTTTTCACCGTAGACGTCAAGGCGCTCCAAATGTCCACTTCCAGATACTACAAAAAGAGTGTTTCAAACCTACTCTGTGAAAGGGAATATTCAACTCTGTGACTTGAATGCACATATCACAAAGAAGTTTCTGAGAATGCTTCTGTCTAGATTTTATAGGAAGATATTCCCGTTTCCAACGAAATCTTCACAGCTATACAAATATCCACTTGCAGATAGTACAAAAAGAGTGTATCAAAAATGCTCTGTCAAAAGGAAAGTTCTTCTCTGCTAGTTGAGTACATACGTCATAAAGAAGTTTCTGAGAATGTTTCTTTCTAGCTTGTAGGGGAAGATATTCCCTTTATCACCATGGGCCTCCAACCGTCCGAAACATCCACTTCCATATACTCCAAAAAGAGCGTTTCAAACCTGCTCTATGAAAGGCAATGTTCAACTCTGTGACTTGAATGCAGACATCACAGAGCAGTTTCTGAGAATGCTTCTGTATAGATTTTATAGGAAGATATTCCCGTTTCCAACGAAATCTTCACAGCTATCCAAATATCCACTTGCAGATTCTACAAAAAGAGTGTATCAAAACTGCTCTGTCAAAAGGAAGGTTCTTTTCTGTTAGGTGAGTGCATACGTCATAAAGGATTTTCTGAGAATGCTTTTGTCTAGTGGTTATGGGAAGATATTTGCTTCTTCCCCGTAGGCCTCAGAACGCTCCAAATATCCACTTGCACATACTACAAAAAGAGTGCTTCAAAGCTGCTCTCTGAAACGGAATGTTCAACTCTATGAGTTGAATGCAAACATCACAAAGACGTTTCTGAGAATGCTTCTGTCTAGATTTGATATGAAGATATTCCCGTTTCCAACGAAATCTTCAAATCTATCCAAATGTCCACTTGCAGATTCAACAAAATGTGTTTTTCCGAACTGCTCTATCAAAAGAAAGATCCGCCTCTGTTAGCTGAGTTCACACATCACAAACAAGTTTATGAGAATGCTTCTGTCTAGTTTTTATTTGAAGATATTTCCTTTCTCAATATAGACCTGAAAGCTGTCCTAATATTCACTTTCAGATACTACAGAAAGAGTGTTTCAAAACTGCTGTATGAAAGGGAATGTTCAACTCTGTGACTTGAATGCACACATCACAAAGAAGTTTCTGAGGATGCTGCTGTCTACTTTTTATACGTAATCCCGTTTCCAACGAAATCCTCCAAGCTATCCAAATATCCACTTGCAGGTTCCACAGAAAGACTGTTTCAAAACTGCTATGTCAATAGAAAAGTTCAACTCTGTTAGCTGTGTGCATATATCCCAAAGAAGATTCTGAGATTGCTTCTGTCTAGTTTTTATGGGAAGATATTTCCCTTTTCACCGTAGGTGTCAAGGTGCTCCAAATGTCCAATTCCAGATACTACAAAAAGAGTGTTTCAAACCTACTCTGTGAAAGGGAATATTCAACTCTGTGACTTGAATGTAGATATCACAAAGAAGTTTCTGAGAATGCTTCTGTCGAGATTTTATATGAAGATATTCCCGTTTCCAACGAAATCCTGAAATCTATCCAAATATCCCCTCGCAGATTCTACAAAAAGAGTGTTTCAAAACTGCTCTTTAAAAAGAAAGGTTCAACTCTGTTAGTTGAGTACACACATCACAAACAAGTTTCACAGAATGCTTCTTTCTAGCTTGTAGGGGAAGATATTCCCTTTATCACCATGGGCCTCAAACCGTCCGATAAGTCCACTTCCATATACTACAAAAAGAGCGTTTCAAACCTGCTCTATGAAAGACAACGTTCAACTCTGTGACTTGAATGCAGACATCACAGAGCAGTTTCTGAGAATGCTTCTGTCTAGATTTTATAGGAAGATATTCCCGTTTCCAACGAAATCTTCACAGCTATCCAAATATCCACTTGCAGATTCTATAAAAAGAGTGTATCAAAACTGCTCTGTCAAAAGGAAGGTTCTTTTCTGTTAGGTGAGTGCATACGTCATAAAGGAGTTTCTGAGAATGTTTCTGTCTAGTGGTTATGGGAAGATATTTGCTTTTTCCCCGTAGGCCTCAGGGCACTCCAAATGTCCACTTGCACATGCTACAAAAAGAGTGCTTCAAAGCTACTCTCTGGAAGGGAATGTTCAACTCTATGAGTTGAATGCAAACATCACAAAGACGTTTCTGAGAATGCTTCTGTCTAGGTTTGATATGAAGATATTCCCGTTTCCAACGAAATCTTCAAATCTATCCAAATGTCCACTTGCAGATTCAACAAAAAGTGTTTTTCAGAACTGCTCTATCAAAAGAAAGATCCACCTCTGTTAGCTGAGTTCACACATCACAAACAAGTTTATGAGAATGCTTCTGTCTAGTTTTTATTTGAAGATATTTCCTTTCTCACCATAGACCTGAAAGCTGTCCTAATGTTCACTTCCAGATACTACAGAAAGAGTGTTTCAAAACTGCTGTACGAAAGGGAATGTTCAACTCTGTGACTTGAATGCACACATCACAAAGAAGTTTCTGAGGATACTGCTGTCTACTTTTTATACGTAATCCCATTTCCAACGAAATCCTCCAAGCTATCCAAATATCCACTTGCAGATTCCACAGAAAGACTGTTTCAAAACTGCTCTGTCAATAGAAAGGTTCAACTCTGTTAGCTGCATGCATATATCCCAAAGAAGATTCTGAGATTGCTTCTGTCTAGTTTTTATGGGAAGATATTTCCCTTTTCACCGTAGGTGTCAAGGCGCTCCAAATGTCCACTTCCAGATACTACAAAAAGAGTGTTTCAAACCTTCTCTATGGAAGGGAATATTGAACTCTGTGACTTGAATGCAGATATCACAAAGAAGTTTCTGAAAATGCTTCTGTCGAGATTTTATAGGAAGATATTCCCGTTTCCAACGAAATCCTGAAATCTATCCAAATAACCCCTCGCAGATTCTACAAAAAGAGTGTTTCAAAACTGCTCTGTAAAAAGAAAGGTTCAACTCTGTAAGATGAGTACACACACCACAAACAAGTTTCACAGAATGCTTCTTTCTAGCTTGTAGGGAAAGATATTCCCTTTATCACCATGGGCCTCAAAGCGTCCGAAACGTCCACTTCCATATACTACAAAAAGAGCGTTTCAAACCTGCTCTAGGAAAGGCAATGTTCAACTCTGTGACTTGAATGCAGACATCACAGAGTAGTTTCTGAGAATGCTTCTGTCTAGATATTATAGGAGGATATTCCCGTTTCCAACGAAATCTTCACAGCTATCCAAATATCCACTTGCAGATTCTACAAAAAGAGTGTATCAAAACTGCTCTGTCAAAAGGAAGGTTCTTCTCTGTTAGATGAGTGCATACGTCATAAAGGAGTTTCTGAGAATGTTTCTGTGTAGTGGTTATGGGAAGATATTTGCTTTTTCCCCGTAGGCCTCAGAGCGCTCCAAATATCCACTTGCACATACTACAAAAAGAGTGCTTCAAAGCTGCTCTCTGAAACGGAATGTTCAACTCTATGAGTTGAATGCAAACATCACAAAGACGTTTCTGAGAATGCTTCTGTCTAGATTTGATATGAAGATATTCCCGTTTCCAATGAAATCTTCAAATCTATCCAAATGTCCACTTGCAGATTCAACGAAAAGTGTTTTTCAAAACTGCTGTATCAAAAGAAAGATCCACCTCTGTTAGCTGAGTTCACACATCACAAACAAGTTTATGAGAATGCTTCTGTCTAGTTTTTATTTGAAGATATTTCCTTTCTCACCATAGACCTGAAAGCTGTCCTAATGTTCACTTCCAGATACTACAGAAAGAGTGCTTCAAAACTGCTGTACGAAAGGGAATGTTCAACTCTGTGACTTGAATGCACACATCACAAAGAAGTTTCTGAGGATGCTGCTGTCTACTTTTTATACGTAATCCCGTTTCCAACGAAATCCTCCAAGCTATCCAAATATCCACTTGCAGATTCCACAGAAAGACTGTGTCAAAACTGCTCTGTCAATAGGAAGGTTCAACTCTGTTAGCTGCGTGCATATATCCCAAAGAAGATTCTGAGATTGCTTCTGTCTAGTTTTTATGGGAAGATATTTCCCTTTTCACCGTAGGCGTCAAGGCGCTCCAAATGTCCACTTCCAAATACTACAAAAAGAGTGTTTCAAACCTACTCTGTGAAAGGGAATATTCAACTCTGTGACTTGAATGCACATATCACAAAGAAGTTTCTGAGAATGCTTCTGTCGAGATTTTATATGAAGATATTCCCGTTTCCAACGAAATCCTGAAATCTATCCAAATATCCCCTCGCAGATTCTACAAAAAGAGTGTTTCAAAACTGCTCTGTAAAAAGAAAGGTTCAACTCTGTTAGTTGAGTACACACATCACAAACAAGTTTCACAGAATGTTTCTTTCTAGCTTGTAGGGGAAGATATTCCCTTTATCACCATGGGCCTCAAACCGTCCGAAACGTCCACTTCCATATACTACAAAAAGAGCGTTTCAAACCTGCTCTAGGAAAGGCAATGTTCAACTCTGTGACTTGAATGCAGACATCACATAGCAGTTTCTGAGAATGCTTCTGTCTAGATTTTATAGGAAGATATTCCCGTTTCCAACGAAATCTTCACAGCTATCCAAATATCCACTGGCAGATTCTACAAAAAGAGTGTATCAAAACTGCTCTGTCAAAAGGAAGGTTCTTCTCTGTTAGTTGAGTACATACGTCATAAAGGAGTTTCTGAGAATGTTTCTGTCTAGTGGTTATGGGAAGATATTTGCTTTTTCACCGTAGGCCTCAGAGCGCTGCAAATATCCGCTTGCACATACTACAAAAAGAGTGCTTCAAAGCTGCTCTCTGAAACGGAATGTTCAACTCTATGAGTTGAATGCAAACATGACAAAGACGTTTCTGAGAATGCTTCTGTCTAGATTTGATATGAAGATATTCCCGTTTCCAATGACATCTTCAAATCTATCCAAATGTCCACTTGCAGATTCAACAAAACGTGTTTTTCAGAACTGCTCTATCAAAAGAAAGATCCACCTCTGTTAGCTGAGTTCACACATCACAAAAAAGTTTATGAGAATGCTTCTGTCTAGTTTTTATTTGTAGATATTTCCTTTCTCACCATAGAGCTGAAAGCTGTCCTAATGTTCACTTCCAGATACTACAGAAAGAGTGTTTCAAAACTGCTGTACGAAAGGGAATGTTCAACTCTGTGACTTGAATGCACACATCACAAAGAAGTTTCTGAGGATGCTGCTGTCTACTTTTTATACGTAATCCCGTTTCCAAAGAAATCCTCCAAGCTATCCAAATATCCACTTGCAGATACCACAGAAAGACTGTTTCAAAACTGCTCTGTCAATAGAAAGGTTCAACTCTGTTAGCTGCGTCCATATATCTCAAAGAGGATTCTGAGATTGCTTCTGTCTACTTTTTATGAGAAGATATTTCCCTTTTCACGGTAGGTGTCAAGGCGCTCCAAATGTCC
The DNA here is from genome assembly GCF_000001405.40 of Homo sapiens. NCBI lineage: Eukaryota > Metazoa > Chordata > Mammalia > Primates > Hominidae > Homo > Homo sapiens. Next base: position 16,794,106 of record NC_000014.9, on the reverse strand, counting down.
ACTTCCAGATACTACAAAAAGAGTGTTTCAAACCTACTCTGTGAAAGGGAATATTCAACTCTGTGACTTGAATGCACATATCACAAAGAAGTTTCTGAGAATGCTTCTGTCGGGATTTTATATGAATATATTCACGTTTCCAACGAAATCCTGAAATCTATCCAAATATCCCCTCGCAGATTCTACAAAAAGAGTGTTTCAAAAGTGCTCTGTAAAAAGAAAGGTTCAACTCTGTTAGTTGAGTACACACATCACAAACAAGTTTCACAGAATGCTTCTTTCTAGCTTGTAGGGGAAGATATTCCCTTTATCACCATGGGCCTCAAACCGTCCGAAACGTCCACTTCCATATAATACAAAAAGAACGCTTCAAACCTGCTCTATGAAAGACAATGTTCAACTCTGTGACTTGAATGCAGACATCACAGAGCAGTTTCTGAGAATGCTTCTGTCTAGATTTTACAGGAAGATATTCCCGTTTCCAACGAAATCTTCACAGCTATCCAAATATCCACTTGCAGATTCTACAAAAAGAGTGTATCAAAACTGCTCTGTCAAAAGGAAGGTTCTTCTCTTTTAGGTGAGTGCATACGTCATAAAGGAATTTCTGAGAATGTTTCTGTCTAGTGGTTATGGGAAGATATTTGCTTTTTCACCGTAGGCCTCAGAGCCCTCCAAATATCCACTTGCACATACTACAAAAAGAGTGCTTCAAACCTGCTCTCTGAAACGGAATGTTCAACTCTGAGTTGAATGCAAACATCACAAAGACGTTTCTGAGAATGCTTCTGTCTAGATTTGATATGAAGATATTCCCGTTTCCAACGAAATCTTCAAATCTATCCAAATGTCCACTTGCAGATTCAACAAAAAGTGTTTTTCAGAACTGCTCTATCAAAAGGAAAGATCCACCTCTGTTAGCTGAGTTCACACATCACAAACAAGTTTATGAGAATGCTTCTGTCTAGTTTTTATTTAAAGATATTTCCTTTCTCACCATAGAGCTGAAAGCTGTCCTAATATTCACTTCCAGATACTACAGAAAGAGTGTTTCAAAACTGCTGTACGAAAGGGAATGTTCAACTCTGTGACTTGAATGCACACATCACAAAGAAGTTTCTGAGGATGCTGCTGTCTACTTTTTATACGTAATCCCGTTTCCAACGAAATCCTCCAAGCTATCCAAATATCCACCTGCAGATTCCACAGAAAGACTGTTTCAAAACTGCTCTGTCAATAGAAAGGTTCAACTCTATTAGCTGCGTACATATATCCCAAAGAAGATTCTGAGATTGCTTCTGTCTAGTTTTTATGGGAAGATATTTCCCTTTTCACCGTAGGTGTCAAGGCGCTCCAAATGTCCACTTCCAGATACTACAAAAGGAGTGTTTCAAACCTACTCTGTGAAAGGGAATATTCAACTCTGTGACTTGAATGCAGATATCACAAAGAAGATTCTGAGAATGCTTCTGTCGAGATTTTATATGAAGATATTCCCGTTTCCAACGAAATCCTGAAATCTATCCAAATATCGCCTCGCAGATTCTACAAAAAGAGTGTTTCAAAACTGCTCTGTAAAAAGAACGGTTCAACTCTGTTAGTTGAGTACACACATCACAAACAAGTTTCACAGAATGCTTCTTTCTAGCTTGTAGGGGAAGGTATTCCCTTTATCACCATGGGCCTCAAACCGTCCGAAACGTCCACTTCCATATACTACAAAAAGAGCGTTTCAAACCTGCTCTAGGAAAGGCAATGTTCAACTCTGTGACTTGAATGCAGACATCACAGAGCAGTTTCTGAGAATGCTTCTGTCTAGGTTTTATAGGAAGATATTCCCGTTTCCAACGAAATCTTCACAGCTATCCAAATATCCACTTGCAGATTCTACAAAAAGTGTGTATCAAAACTGCTCTGTCAAAAGGAAGGTTCTTCTCTGTTAGTTGAGTACATACGTCATAAAGGAGTTTCTGAGAATGTTTCTGTCTAGTGGTTATGGGAAGATATTTGCTTTTTCACCGTAGGCCTCAGAGCGCTCCAAATATCCACTTGCACATACTACAAAAAGAGTGCCTCAAAGCTGCTCTCTGAAACGGAATGTTCAACTCTATGAGTTGAATTCAAACATCACAAAGACGTTTCTGAGAATGCTTCTGTCTAGATTTGATAGGAAGATATTCCCGTTTCCAACGAAATCTTCAAATCTATCCAAATGTCCACTTGCAGATTCAACAAAAAGTGTTTTTCAGAACTGCTCTATCAAAAGAAATATCCACCTCTGTTAGCTGAGTTCACACATCAAAAACAAGTTTATGAGAATGCTTCTGTCTAGTTTTTATTTGAAGATATTTCCTTTCTCACCATAGACCTGAAAGCTGTCCTAATGTTCACTTCCAGATACTACAGAAAGAGTGTTTCAAAACTGCTCTACGAAAGGGAATGTTCAACTCTGTGACTTGAATGCACACATCACAAAGAAGTTTCTGAGGATGCTGCTGTCTACTTTTTATACGTAATCCCGTTTCCAACAAAATCCTCCAAGCTATCCAAATATCCACTTGCAGATTCCACAGAAAGACTGTTTCAAAACTGCTCTGTCAATAGAAAGGTTCAACTCCGTTAGCTGCGTGCATATATCCCAAAGAAGATTCTGAGATTGCTTCTGTCTAGTTTTTATGGGAAGATATTTCCCTTTTCACTGTAGGCGTCAAGGCGCTCCAAATGTCCACTTCCAGATACTACAAAAAGAGTGTTTCAAACCTACTCTGTGAAAGGGAATATTCAACTCCTGTGACTTGAATGCAGATATCACAAAGAAGTTTGCTGAGAATGCTTCTGTCGAGATTTTATATGAAGATATTCCCCTTTCCAACGAAATCCTGAAATCTATCCAAATATCCCCTCGCAGATTCTACAAAAAGAGTGTTTCAAAACTGCTCTGTAAAAAGAAAGGTTCAACTCTGTTAGTTGAGTACACACATCACAAAGAAGTTTCACAGAATGCTTCTTTCTAGCTTGTAGGGGAAGATATTCCCTTTATCACCATGGGCCTCAAACCGTCTGAAACGTCCACTTCCATATACTACAAAAAGAGCATTTCAAACCTGCTCTATGAAAGGCAATGTTCAACTCTGTGACTTGAATACAGACATCACAGAGCAGTTTCTGAGAATGCTTCTGTCTAGATTTTATAGGAAGATATTCCCGTTTCCAACGATATCTTCACAGCTATCCCAATATCCACTTGCAGATTCTACAAAAAGAGTGTATCAAAACTGCTCTGTCAAAAGGAAGGTTCTTCTCTGTTAGGTGAGTGCATACCGTCATAAAGGAGTTTCTGAGAATGTTTCTGTCTAGTGGTTATGGGAAGATATTTGCTTTTTCACCGTAGGCCTCAGAGCGCTCCAAATATCCCCTTGCACATACTACAAAAAGAGTGCTTCAAAGCTGCTCTCTGAAACGGAATGTTCAAATCTATGAGTTGAATGCAAACATCACAAAGACGTTTCTGGGAATGCTTCTGTCTAGATTTGATATGAAGATATTCCCGTTTCCAACGAAATCTTCAAATCTATCCAAATGTCCACTTGCAGATTCAACAAAGTGTTTCTCAAAACTGCTGTATCAAAAGAAAGATCCACCTCTGTTACCTGAGTTCACACTTCGCAAACAAGTTTATGAGAATGCTTCTGTCTAGTTTTTATTTGAAGATATTGCCTTTCTCACCATAGACCTGAAAGCTGTCCTAATGTTCACTTCCAGATACTACAGAAAGAGTGTTTCAAAACTGCTGTACGAAAGGGAATGTTCAACTCTGTGACTTGAATGCACACATCACAAAGTAGTTTCTGAGGATGCTGCTGTCTACTTTTTATACGTAATCCCGTTTCCAACGGAAATCCTCCAAGCTATCCAAATATCCACTTGCAGATTCCACAGAAAGACTGTTTCAAAACTGCTCTGTCAATAGAAAGGTTCAACTCTGTTAGCTGCATGCATATATCCCAAAGAAGATTCTGAGATTGCTTCTGTCTAGTTTTTATGGGAAGATATTTCCCTTTTCACCGTAGGTGTCAAGGCGCTCCAAATGTCCACTTCCAGATACTACAAAAAGAGTGTTTCAAACCTACTCTGTGAAAGGGAATATTCAACTCTGTGACTTGAATGCACATATTACAAAGAAGTTTCTGAGAATGCTTCTGTCGAGATTTTATATGAAGATATTCCCGTTTCCAACGAAATGCTGAAATGTATCAAATATCCCCTCGCAGATTCTACAAAAAGAGTGTTTCAAAACTGCTCTGTAAAAAGAGAGGTTCAACTCTGTTAGTTGAGTACACACATCACAAACAAGTTTCACAGAATGCTTCTTTCTAGCTTGTAGGGGAAGATATTCCCTTTATTACCATGGGCCTCCAACCGTCCGAAACATCCACTTCCATATACTACAAAAAGAGCGTTTCAAACCTGCTCTATGAAAGGCAATGTTCAACTCTGTGACTTGAATGCAGACATCACAGAGCAGTTTCTGAGAATGCTTCTCTCTAGATTTTATAGGAAGATATTCCCGTTTCCAACGAAATCTTCACAGCTATCCAAATATCCACTTGCAGATTCTACAAAAAGAGTGTATCAAAACTGCTCTGTCAAAAGGAAGGTTCTTCTCTGTTAGGTGAATGCATACGTCATAAAGGAGTTTCTGAGAATGTTTCTGTCTAGTGGTTATGGGAAGATATTTGCTTTTTCACCGTAGGCCTCAGAGCGCTCCAAATATCCACTTGCACATACTACAAAAAGAGTGCTTCAAATCTGGTCTCTGAAACGGAATGTTCAACTCTATGAGTTGAATGCAAACATCACAAAGACGTTTCTGAGAATGCTTCTGTCTAGATTTGATATGAAGATATTCCCGTTTCCAACGAAATCTTCAAATCTATCCAAATGTCCACTTGCAGATTCAACAAAAAGTGTTTTTCAGAACTGCTCTATCAAAAGAAAGATCCACCTCTGTTAGCTGAGTTCACACATCACAAACAATTTATGAGAATGCTTCTGTCTAGTTTTTATTTGAAGATATATCCTTTCTCACTATAGACCTGAAATCTGTCCTAAAGTTCACTTCCAGATACTACAGAAAGAGTGTTTCAAAACTGCTGTACGAAAGGGAATGTTCAACTCTGTGACTTGAATGCACACATCACAAGGATGTTTCTGAGGATGCTGCTGTCTACTTTTTATACGTAATCCCGTTTCCAACGAAATCCCCCAAGCTATCCAAATATCCACTTGCAGATTCCACAGAAAGACTGTTTCAAAACTGCTCTGTCAATAGAAAGGTTCAACTCTATTAGCTGCGTACATATATCCCAAAGAAGATTCTGAGATTGCTTCTGTCTAGTTTTTATGGGAAGATATTTCCCTTTTCACCGTAGGCGTCAAGGCGCTCCAAATGTCCACTTCCAGATACTACAAAAAGAGTGTTTCAAACATACTCTGTGAAAGCGAATATTCAACTCTGTGACTTGAATGCACATATCACAAAGAAGTTTCTGAGAATGCTTCTGTCGAGATTTTATATGAAGATATTCCCCTTTCCAACGAAATCCTGAAATCTATCCAAATATCCCCTCGCAGATTCTACAAAAAGAGTGTTTCAAAACTGCTCTGTAAAAAGAAAGGTTCAACTCTGTTAGTTGAGTAAACACATCACAAACAAGTTTCACAGAATGCTTCTTTCTAGCTTGTAGGGGAAGATATTCCCTTTATCACCATGGGCCTCAAACCGTCCGAAAAGTCCACTTCCATATACTACAAAAAGAGCATTTCAAACCTGCTCTATGAAAGGCAATGTTCAACTCTGTGACTTGAATGCAGCCATCACAGAGCAGTTTCTGAGAATGCTTCTGTCTAGATTTTATAGGAAGATATTCCCGTTTCCAACGAAATCTTCACAGCTATCCAAATATCCACTTGCAGATTCTACAAAAACAGTGTATCAAAACTGCTCTGTCAAAAGGAAGGTTCTTCTCTGTTAGGTGAGTGCATACGTCATAAAGGAGTTTCTGAGAATGTTTCTGTCTAGTGGTTATGGGAAGATATTTGCTTTTTCACCTTACGCCTCAGAGTGCTCCAAATATCCTTTTGCACATACTACAAAAAGAGTGTTTCAAAGCTGCTCCCTGAAACGGAATGTTCAAATCTATGAGTTGAATGCAAACATCACAAAGACGTATCTGGGAATGCTTCTGTCTAGATTTGATATGAAGATATTCCCGTTTCCAACGAAATCTTCAAATCTATCCAAATGTCCACTTGCAGATTCAACAAAAAGTGTTTTTCCGAACTGCTCTATCAAAAGAAAGATCCACATCTGTTAGCTGAGTTCACACATCACAAACAAGTTTATGAGAATGCTTCTGTCTAGTTTTTATTTGAAGATATTACCTTTCTCACCATAGACCTGAAAGCTGTCCTAATGTTCACTTCCAGATACTACAGAAAGAGTGTTTCAAAACTGCTGTACGAAAGGGAATGTTCAACTCTGTGACTTGAATGCACACATCACAAAGAAGTTTCTGAGGATGCTGCTGTCTAATTTTTATACGTAATCCCGTTTCCAACGAAATCCTCCAAGCTATCCAAATATCCACTTGCAGATTCCACAGAAAGACTGTTTCAAAACTACTCTGCCAATAGAAAGGATCAACTCTGCTAGCTGCGCGCATATATCCCAAAGAAGATTCTGAGATTGCTTCTGTCTAGTTTTGATGGGAAGATATTTCCCTTTTCACCGTAGGCGTCAAGGCGCTCCAAATGTCCACTTCCAGATACTGCAAAAAGAGTGTTTCAAACCTACTCTGTGAAAGGGAATATTCAACTCTGTGCCTGGAATGCAGATATCACAAAGAAGTTTCTGAGAATGCTTCTGTCGAGATTTTATATGAAGATATTCCCGTTTCCAACGAAACCCTGAAATCTATCAAAATATCCCCTCGCAGATTCTACAAAAAGAGTGTTTCAAAACTGCTCTGTAAAAAGAAAGGTTCAACTCTGTTAGTTGAGTACACACATCACAAACAAGTTTCACAGAATGCTTCTTTCTAGCTTGTAGGGGAAGATATTCCCTTTATCACCATGGGCCTCAAACCTTCCGAAAAGTCCACTTCCATATACTACAAAAAGAGCGTTTCAAACCTGCTCTATGAAAGGCAATGTTCAACTCTGTGACTTGAATGCAGACATCACAGAGCAGTTTCTGAGAATGCTTCTGTCTAGATTTTATAGGAAGATATTCCCGTATCCAACGAAATCTTCACAGCTATCCAAATATCCACTTGCAGATTCTACAAAAAGAGTGTATCAAAACTGCTCTGTCTAAAGGAAGGTTCTTCTCTGTTAGTTGAGTACATACGTCATAAAGGAGTTTCTGAGAATGTTTCTGTCTAGTGGTTATGGGAAGATATTTTCTTTTTCACCGTAGGCCTCAGAGCGCTCCAAATATCCACTTGCACATACTACAAAAAGAGTGTTTCAAAGCTGCTCTCTGAAAGGGAATGTTCAACTCTATGAGTTGAATGCAAACAGGACAAAGACGTTTCTGAGAATGCTTCTGTCTAGATTTTATATGAAGATATTCCCGTTTCCAACGAAATCTTCAAATCTATCCAAATGTCCACTTGCAGATTCAACAAAAAGTGTTTTTCAGAACTGCTCTATCAAAAGAAAGATCCACCTCTGTTAGCTGAGTTCACACATCACAAACAAGTTTATGAGAATGCTTCTGTCTAGTTTTTATTTGAAGATATTGCCTTTCTCACCATAGACCCGAAAGCTGTCCTAATGTTCACTTCCAGATACTACAGAAAGAGTGTTTCAAAACTGCTGTACGAAAGGGAATGTTCAACTCTGTGACTTGAATGCACACATCACAAAGAAGTTTCTGAGGATGCTGCTGTCTACTTTTTATACATAATCCCGTTTCCAACGAAATCCTCCAAGCTATCCAAATATCCACTTCCAGATTCCACAGAAAGACTGTTTCAAAACTGCTCTGTCAATAGAAAGGTTCAACTCTGTTAGCTGCGTGCATATATCCCAAAGAAGATTCTGAGATTGCTTCTGTCTAGTTTTTATGGGGAGATATTTCCCTTTTCACCGTAGGCGTCAAGGCGCTACAAATGTCCACTTCCAGATACTACAAAAAGAGTGTTTCAAACCTACTCTGTGAAAGGGAATATTCAACTCTGTGACTTGAATGCACATATCACAAAGAAGTTTCTGAGAATGCTTCTGTCGAGATTTTATATGAAGATATTCCCGTTTCCAACGAAATCCTGAAATCTATCCAAATATCCCCTCGCAGATTCTACAAAAAGAGTGTTTCAAAACTGCTCTGTAAAAAGAAAGGTTCAACTCTGTTACTTCAGTACACACATCACAAACAAGTTTCACAGAATGCTTCTTTCTAGCTTGTAGGGGAAGATATTCCCTTTATCACCATGGGCCTCAAACCGTCCGAAACGTCCACTTCCATATAGTACAAAAAGAGCGTTTCAAACCTGCTCTAGGAAAGGCAATGTTCAACTCTGTGACTTGAATGCAGACATCACAGAGCAGTTTCTGAGAATGCTTCTGTCTAGATTTTATAGGAAGAATTTCCCGTTTCCAACGAAATCTTCACAGCTATCCAAATATCCACTTGCAGATTCTACAAAAAGAGTGTATCAAAACTGCTCTGTCAAAAGGAAGGTTCTTCTCTGTTAGGTGAGTGCATACGTCATAAAGGAGTTTCTGAGAATGTTTCTGTCTAGTGGTTATGGGAAGATATTTGCTTTTTCACCATAGGCCTCAGAGGGCTCCATATATCCACTTGCACATACTACAAAAAGAGTGCTTCAAAGCTGCTCTCTGAAAGGGAATGTTCAACTCTATGAGTTGAATGCTAACATCACAAAGACGTTTCTGAGAATGCTTCTGTCTAGATTTGATATGAAGATATTCCCGTTTCCAACGAAATCTTCAAATCTATCCAAATGTCCTCTTGCATATTCAACAAAAAGTGTTTTTCAGAACTGCTCTATCAAAAGAAAGATCCACGTGTGTTAGCTGAGTTCACGCATCACGAACAAGTTTATGAGAATGCTTCTGTCTAGTTTTTATTTGAAGATATTTCCTTTCTCACCATAGACCTGAAAGCTGTCCTAATGTTCACTTCCAGATACTACAGAAACAGTGTTTCAAAACTGCTGTATGAAAGGGAATGTTCAACTCTGTGACTTGAATGCACACATCACAAAGAAGTTTCTGAGGATGCTGCTGTCTACTTTTTATACGTAATCCCGTTTCCAATGAAATCCTCCAAGCTATCTAAATATCCACTTGCAGATTCCACAGAAAGACTGTTTCAAAACTGCTCTGTCAATAGAAAGGCTCAACTCTGTTAGCTGCGTGCATATATCCCAAAGAAGATTCTGAGATTGCTTCTGTCTACTTTTTATGAGAAGTTATTTCCCTTTTCACCGTAGGTGTCAAGGCGCTCCAAATGTCCACTTCCAGATACTACAAAAAGAGTGTTTCAAACCTACTCTGTGAAAGGGAATATTCAACTCTGTGACTTGAATGCACATATCACAAAGAAGTTTCTGAGAATGCTTCTGTCGAGATTTTATATGAAGATATTCCCGTTTCCAACGAAATCCTGAAATGTATCCAAATATCCCCTCGCAGATTCTACAAAAAGAGTGTTTCAAAACTGCTCTGTAAAAAGAAAGGTTCAACTCTGTTACTTGAGTACACACATCACAAACAAGTTTCACAGAATGCTTCTTTCTAGCTTGTAGGGGAAGATATTTCCTTTATCACCATGGTCCTCAAACCGTCCGAATCGTCCACTTCCATATACTAAAAAAAGAGTGTTTGAAACCTGCTCTATGAAAGGCAATGTTCAACTCTGTGACTTGAATCCAGACATCACAGAGCAGTTTCTGAGAATGCTTCTGTCCAGACTTTATAGGAAGATATTCCCGTTTCCAACGAAATCTTCACAGCTATCCACATATCCACTTGCAGATACTACAAAAAGTGTGTATCCAAAGTGCTCTGTCAAAAGGAAAGTTCTTCTCTGCTACTTGAGTACATACATCATAAAGAAGTTTCTGAGAATGTTTCTGTCTAGTGGTTATGGGAAGATATTTGCTTTTTCACCGTAGGCCTCAGATCGCTCCAAATATCCACTTGCACATACTACAAAAAGAGTGCTTCAAACCTGCTCTCTGAAACGGAATGTTCAACTCTATAAGTTGAATGCAAACATCACAAAGACGTTTCTGAGAATGCTTCTGTCTAGATTTGATATGAAGATATTCCCGTTTCCAACGAAATCTTCAAATCTATCCAAATGCCCACTTGCAGATTCAACAAAAAGTGTTTTTCAGAACTGCTCTATCAAAAGAAAGATCCACCTCTGTTAGCTGAGTTCACACATCACAAACAAGTTTCTGAGAATGCTTCTGTCTAGTTTTTATTTGAAGATATTTCCTTTCTCACCATAGAGCTGAAAGCTGTCCTAATGTTCACTTCCAGATACTACAGAAAGAGTGTTTCAAAACTGCTGTAGGAAAGGGAATGTTCAACTCTGTGACTTGAATGCACACATCACAAAGAAGTTTCTGAGGATGCTGCTGTCTACTTTTGATACGTAATCCCGTTTCCAACGAAATCCTCCAATCTATCCAAATATCCACTTGCAGATTCCACAGAAAGACTGTTTCAAATCTGCTCAGTCAATAGAAAGGTTCAACTCTGTTAGCTGCGTGCATATATCCCAAAGAAGATTCTGAGATTGCTTCTGTCTAGTTTTTACGGGAAGATATTTCCCTTTTCACCGTAGGTGTCAATGCGCTCCAAATGTCCACTTCCAGATACTACAAAAAGAGTGTTTGAAACCTACTCTGTGAAAGGGAATATTCCGCTCTGTGACTTGAATGCAGATATCACAATGAAGTTTCTGAGAATGCTTCTGTCGAGATTTTATATGAAGATATTCCCGTTTCCAACGAAATCCTGAAATGTATCCAAATATCCCCTCGCAGATTCTACAGAAAGAGTGTTTCAAAACTGCTCTGTAAAAAGAAAGGTTCAACTCTGTTAGTTGAGTACACACATCACAAACAAGTTTCACAGAATGCTTCTTTCTAGCTTGTAGGGGAAGATATTCCCTTTATCACCATGGGCCTCAAACCGTCCGAAACGTCCACTTCCATATACTACAAAAAGAGCGTTTCAAACCTGCTCTATGAAAGGCAATGTTCAACTCTGTGACTTGAATGCAGACATCACAGAGCGGTTTCTGAGAATGCTTCTGTCTAGATTTTATAGGAAGATATTCCCGTTTCCAACGAAATCTTCACAGCTACCCAAATATCCACTTGCAGATTCTACAAAAAGAGTGTATCAAAACTGCTCTGTCAAAAGGAAGGTTCTTTTCTGTTAGTTGAGTGCATACATCATAAAGGAGTTTCTGAGAATGTTTCTGTCTAGTGGTTATGGGAAGATATTTGCTTTTTCCCCGTAGGCCTCAGGGCGCTCCAAATGTCCACTTGCACATGCTACAAAAAGAGTGCTTCAAAGCTACTCTCTGGAAGGGAATGTTCAACTCTATGAGTTGAATGCAAACATCACAAAGACGTTTCTGAGACTGCTTCTGTCTAGATTTGATATGAAGATATTCCCGTTTCCAACGAAATCTTCAAATCTATACAAATGTCCACTTGCAGATTCAACAAAGTGTTTTTCAAAACTGCTGTATCAAAAGAAAGATCCACCTGTGTTAGCTGAGTTCACACTTCACAAACAAGTTTATCAGTATTCTTCTGTCTAATTTTTATTTGAAGATATATCCTTTCTCACTATAGACCTGAAAGCTCTCCTAATGTTCACTTCCAGATACTACAGAAAGAGTGTTTCAAAACTACTGTACGAAAGGGAAAGTTCAACTCTGTGACTGGAATGCACAAATCACAAGGAAGTTTCTGAGGATGCTGCTGTCTACTTTTTATACGTAATCCCGTTTCCAACGAAATCCTCCAATCTATCCAAATATCCACTTGCAGATTCCACAGAAAGACTGTTTCAAAACTGCTCTGTCAATAGAAAGGTTCAACTCTGTTAGCTGTGTGCATATATCCCAAAGAAGATTCTGAGATTGCTTCTGTCTAGTTTTTATGGGAAGATATTTTCCTTTTCACCGTAGGCGTCAAGGCGCTCCAAATGTCCACTTCCAGATACTACAAAAAGAGTGTTTCAAACCTACTCTGTGAAAGGGAATATTCAACTCTGTGACTTGAATGCACATATCACAAGGAAGTTTCTGAGAATGCTTCTGTCGAGATTTTCGATGAAGATATTCGCGTTTCCAACGAAATCCTGAAATCTATCCAAATATCCCCTCGCAGATTCTACAAAAAGAGTGTTTCAAAACTGCTCTGTAAAAAGAAAGGTTCAACTCTGTTAGTTGAGTACACACATCACAAACAAGTTTCACAGAATGCTTCTTTCTAGCTTGTAGGGGCAGATATTCCCTTTATCACCATGGGCCTCAAACCGTCCGAAACGTCTACTTCCATATACTACAAAAAGAGCGTTTCAAACCTGCTCTATGAAAGGCAATGTTCAACTCTGTGACTTGAATGCAGACATCACAGAGCAGTTTCTGAGAATGCTTCTGTCTAGATTTTATAGGAAGATATTCCCATTTCCAACGAAATCTTCACAGCTATCCAAATATCCACTTGCAGATTCTACAAAAAGAGTGTATCAAAACTGCTCTGTCAAAAGGAAGGTTCTTCTCTGTTAGTTGAGTACATACGTCATAAAGGAGTTTCTGAGAATGTTTCTGTCTAGTGGTTATGGGAAGATATTTGCTTTTTCCCCGTAGGCCTCAGAGCGCTCCAAATATCCACTTGCACATACTACAAAAAGAGTGCTTTAAAGCTGCTCTCTGAAAGTGAATGTTCAACTCTATGAGTTGAATGCAAACATCACAAAGACGTTTCTGAGAATGTTTCTGTCTACATTTGATATGAAGATATTCCCGTTTCCAACGAAATCTTCAAATTTATCCAAATGTCCACTTGCAGATTCAACAAAGTGTTTTTCAAAACTGCTGTATCAAAAGAAAGATCAAACTCTGTTAGCGGAGTTCACACTTCACAAACAAGTTTATCAGAATTCTTGTGTCTAGTTTTTATTTGAAGATATTTCCTTTCTCACCATAGACCTGAAAGCTGTCCTAATGTTCACTTCCAGATACTACAGAAAGAGTGTTTCAAAACTGCTGTACGAAAGGGAATGTTCAACTCTGTGACTTGAATGCACACATCACAAAGAAGTTTCTGAGGATGCTGCTGTCTACTTTTTATACGTAATCCCGTTTCCAACGAAATCCTCCAAGCTATCCAAATATCCACTTGCAGATTCCACAGAAAGACTGTTTCAAAACTGCTCTGTCAATAGAAAGGTTCAACTCTGTTAGCTGCGTGCATATATCCCAAAGAAGATTCTGAGATTACTTCTGTCTAGTTTTTATGGGAAGATATTTCCCTTTTCACTGTAGGTGTCATGGCGCTCCAAATGTCCACTTCCAGATACTACAAAAAGAGTGTTTCAAACCTACTCTGTGAAAGGGAATATTCAACTCTGTGACTTGAATGCACATATCACAAAGAAGTTTCTGAGAATGCTTCTGTCGAGATTTTATATGAAGATATTCCCGTTTCCAACGAAATCCTGAAATCTATCCAAATATCCCCTCGCAGATTCTACAAAAAGAGTGTTTCAAAACTGCTCTGTAAAAAGAAAGGTTCAACTCTGTTAGTTGAGTACACACATCACAAACAAGTTTCACACAATGCTTCTTTCTAGCTTGGAGGGGAAGATATTCCCTTTATCACCATGGGCCTCCAACCGTCCGAAACATCCACTTCCATATACTACAAAAAGAGCGTTTCAAACCTGCTCTATGAAAGGCAATGTTCAACTCTGTGACTTGAATGCAGACATCACAGAGCAGTTTCTGAGAATGCTTCTGTCTAGATTTTATAGGAAGATATTACCGTTTCCAACGAAATCTTCACAGCTATCCCAATATCCACTTGCAGATTCTACAAAAAGAGTGTATCAAAACTGCTCTGTAAAAAGGAAGGTTCTTCTCTGTTAGGTGAGTGCACACGTCATAAAGGAGTTTCTGAGAATGTTTCTGTCTAGTGGTTATGGGAAGATATTTGCTTTTTCACCGTAGGCCTCAGAGCGCTCCAAATATCCACTTGCACATGCTACAAAAAGAGTGCTTCAAAGCTGCTCTCTGAAACGGAATGTTCAACTCTATGAGTTGAATGCAAACATCACAAAGACGTTTCTGAGAATGCTTCTGTCTAGATTTGATATGAAGATATTCCCGTTTCCAACGAAATCTTCAAATCTATCCAAATGTCCACTTGCAGATTCAACAAAACGTGTTTTTCAGAACTGCTCTATCAAAAGAAAGATCCACGTCTGTTAGCTGAGTTCAGACATCACAAACAAGTTTATGAGAATGCTTCTCTCTAGTTTTTATTTGAAGATATTTCCTTTCTCACCATAGAGCTGAAAGCTGTCCTAATGTTCACTTCCAGATACTACAGAAAGAGTGTTTCAAAACTGCTGTACGAAAGGGAATGTTCAACTCTGTGACTTGAATGCACACATCACAAAGAAGTTTCGGAGGATGCTGCTGTCTACTTATTATACGTAATCCCGTTTCCAACGAAATCCTCCAAGCTATCCAAATATCCACTTGCAGATTCCACAGAAAGACTCTTTCAAAACTGCTCTGTCAATAGAAAGGTTCAACTCTGTTAGCTGCGTGCATATATCCCAAAGAAGATTCTGAGATTGCTTCTGTCTACTTTTTATGAGAAGATATTTCCCTTTTCACCGTAGGTGTCAAGGCGCTCCAAATGTCCACTTCCAGATACTAGAAAAAGAGTGTTTCAAACCTACTCTGTGAAAGGGAATATTCAACTCTGTGACTTGAATGCACATATCACAAAGAAGCTTCTGAGAATGCCTCTGTCGAGATTTTATGTGAAGATATTCCCGTTTCCAACGAAATCCTGAAATCTATCCAAATATCCCCTCGCAGATTCTACAAAAAGAGTGTTTCAAAACTGCTCTGTAAAAAGAAAGGTTCAACTCTGTTAGTTCAGTACACACATCACAAACAAGTTTCACAGAATGCTTCTTTCTAGCTTGTAGGGGAAGATATTCCCTTTATCACCATGGGCCTCAAACCGTCTGAAACGTCCACTTCCATATACTACAAAAAGAGCATTTCAAACCTGCTCCATGAAAGGCAATGTTCAACTCTGTGAGTTGAATGCAGACATCACAGAGCAGTTTCTGAGAATGCTTCTGTCCAGACTTTATAGGAAGATATTCCCGTTTCCAACGAAATCTTCACAGCTATCCAAATATCCACTTACA
The DNA here is from genome assembly GCF_000001405.40 of Homo sapiens. Lineage (NCBI taxonomy): Eukaryota > Metazoa > Chordata > Mammalia > Primates > Hominidae > Homo > Homo sapiens. The sequence goes on along the minus strand of NC_000014.9, from coordinate 16,778,587 downwards.
GATACTACAAAAAGAGTGTATCAAAAATGCTCTGTCAAAAGGAAAGTTCTTCTCTGCTAGTTGAGTACATACGTCATAAAGAAGTTTCTGAGATTGTTTCTGTTTAGTGGTTATGGGAAGATATTTGCTTTTTCACCTTAGGCCTCAGAGCGCTCCAAATATCCCCTTGCACATACTACAAAAAGAGTGCTTCAAAGCTGCTCTCTGAAACGGAATGTTCAACTCCATGAGTTGAATGCAAACATGACAAAGACGTTTCCGAGAATGCTTCTGTCTAGATTTGATATGAAGATATTCCCGTTTCCAACGAAATCTTCAAATCTATCCAAATGTCCACTTGCAGATTCAAGAAAAAGTGTTTTTCAGAACTGCTCTATCAAAAGAAAGATCCACCTCTGTTAGCTGAGTTCACACATCACAAACAAGTTTATGAGAATGCTTCTGTCTAGTTTTTATGGGAAGATATTTCCCTTTTCACCGTAGGCGTCAAGGCGCTCCAAATGTCCACTTCCAGATACTACAAAAAGAGTGTTTCAAACCTACTCTGTGAAAGGGAATATTCAACTCTGTGACTTGAATGCACACATCACAAAGAAGTTTCTGAGGATGCTGCTGTCTACTTTTTATACGTAATCCCGTTTCCAACGAAATCCTCCAAGCTATCCAAATATCCACTTGCAGATTCCACAGAAAGACTGTTTCAAAACTGCTCTGTCAATAGAAAGGTTCAACTCTGTTAGCTGCGTGCATATATCCCAAAGAAGTTTCTGAGATTGCTTCTGTCTAGTTTTTATGGGAAGATATTTCCCTTTTCACCGTAGGTGTCAAGGCGCTCCAAATGTCCACTTCCAGATACTACAAAAAGAGTGTTTCAAACCTACTCTGTCAAAGGGAATATTCAACTCTGTGACTTGAATGCACATATCACAAAGAAGTTTCTGAGAATGCTTCTGTCGAGATTTTATATGAAGATATGCCCGTTTCCAACGAAATCCTGAAATCTATCCAAATATCCCCTCGCAGATTCTACAAAAAGAGTGTTTCAAAACTGCTCTGTAAAAAGAAAGGTTCAACTCTGTTAGTTGAGTACACACATCACAAACAAGTTTCACAGAATGCTTCTTTCTAGCTTGTAGGGGAAGATATTCCCTTTATCACCATGGGCCTCAAACCGTCCGAAACGTCCACTTCCATATGCTACAAAAAGAGCGTTTCAAACCTGCTCTATGAAAGGCAATGTTCAACTCTGTGACTTGAATGCAGACATCACAGAGCAGTTTCTGAGAATGCTTCTGTCTACATTTTATAGGAAGATATTCCCGTTTCCAACGAAATCTTCACAGCTATCCAAATATCCACTTGCAGATTCTACAAAAAGAGTGTATCAAAACTGCTCTGTCAAAAGGAAGGTTCTTCTCTGTTAGGTGAGTGCATACGTCATAAAGGAGTTTCTGAGAATGTTTCTGTCTAGTGGTTATGGGAAGATATTTGTTTTTTCACCGTAGGCCTCAGAGCGCTCCAAATATCCACTTGCACATACGACAAAAAGAGTGTTTCAAAGCTGCTCTCTGAAAGGGAATGTTCAACTCTATGAGTTGAATGCAAACATGACAAAGACGTTTCTGAGAATGCTTCTGTCTAGATTTGATATGAAGATATTCCCGTTTCCAACGAAATCTTCAAATATATCCAAATGTCCACTTGCAGATTCAACAAAAAGTGTTTTTCAAAACTGCTGTATCAAAAGAAAGATCCACGTCTGTTAGCTGAGTTCACACATCACAAACAAGTTTATGAGAATGCTTCTGTCTAGTTTTTATTTGAAGATATTTCCTTTCTCACCATAGACCTGAAAGCTGTCCTAACGTTCACTTCCAGATACTACAGAAAGAGTGTTTCAAAACTGCTGTACGAAAGGGAATGTTCAACTCTGTGACTTGAATGCACACATCACAAAGAAGTTTCTGAGGATGCTGCTGTCTACTTTTTATACGTAATCCCGTTTCCAAAGAAATCCTCCAATCTATCCAAATATCCACTTGCAGATTCCACAGAAAGACTGTTTCAAAACTGCTCTGTCAATAGAAAGGTTCAACTCTGTTAGCTGCGTGCATATATCCCAAAGAAGATTCTGAGATTGCTTCTGTCTAGTTTTTATGAGAAGATATTTCCCTTTTCACCGTAGGCGTCAAAGCGCTCCAAATGTCCACTTCCAGATACTACAAAAAGAGTGTTTCAAACCTACTCTGTAAAAGGGAATATTCAACTCTGTGACTTGAATGCACATATCACAATGAAGTTTCTGAGAATGCTTCTGTCGAGATTTTATATGAAGATATTCCCGTTTCCAACGAAATCCTGAAATCTATCCAAATATCCCCTCGCAGATTCTACAAAAAGAGTGTTTCAAAACTGCTCTGTAAATAGAAAGGTTCAACTCTGTTAGTTGAGTACACACATCACAAACAAGTTTCACAGAATGCTTCTTTCTAGCTTGTAGGGGAAGATATTCCCTTTATCACCATGGGCCTCAAACCGTCCGAAACGTCCACTTCCATATACTACAAAAAGAGTGTTTCAAACCTGCTCTATGAAAGGCAATGTTCAACTCTGTGACGTGAATGCAGACATCACAGAGCAGTTTCTGAGAATGCTTCTGTCTAGATTTTATAGGAAGATATTCACGTTTCCAACGAAATCTTCACAGCTATCCAAATATCCACTTGCAGATTCTACAAAAAGAGTGTATCAAAACTGCTCTGTCAAAAGGAAGGTTCTTTTCTGTTAGGTGAGTGCATACGTCATAAAGGAGTTTCTGAGAATGTTTCTGTCTAGTGTTTATGGGAAGATATTTGCTTTTTCACCATAGGCCTCATAGCGCTCCAAATGTCCACTTCCACATACTACAAAAAGAGTTCTTCAAAGCTGCTCTCTTAAAGGGAGTGTTCACCTCTATGAGTTGAATGCAAACATCACAAAGTCGTATCTGAGAACGCTTCTGTCTAGATTTGATATGAAGATCTTCCCGTTTCCAACGAAATCTTCAAATCTATCCAAATGTCCACTTGCAGATTCAACAAAAAGTGTTTTTCAGAACTGCTCTATCAAAAGAAAGATCCACCTCTGTTAGCTGAGTTCAGACATCACAAACAAGTTTATGAGAATGCTTCTGTCTAGTTTTTATTTGAAGATATTTCCTTTCTCACCATAGACCTGAAAGCTGTCCTAATGTTGACTTCCAGATACTACAGAAACAGTGTTTCAAAACTGCTGTACGAAAGGGAATGTTCAACTCTGTGACTTGAATGCACACCTCACAAATAAGTTTCTGAGGATGCTGCTGTCTACTTTTTATGCGTAATCCCGTTTCCAACGAAATCCTCGAAGCTATCCAAATATCCACTTGCAGATTCCACAGAAAGACTGTTTCAAAACTGCTCTGTCAATAGAAAGGTTCAACTCTGTTAGCTGCGTGCATATATCCCAAAGAAGATTCTGAGATTGCTTCTGTCTAGTTTTTATGGGAAGATATTTCCCTTTTCACCGTAGGCGTCAAGGCGCTCCAAATGTCCACTTCCAGATACTACAAAAAGAGTGTTTCAAACCTACTCTGTGAAAGGGAATATTCAACTCTGTGACTTTAATGCACATATCACAAAGAAGTTTCTGAGAATGCTTCTGTCGAGATTTTATATGAAGATATTCAAGTTTCCAACGAAATCCTGAAATCTATCCAAATATCCCCTCGCAGATTCTACAAAAAGAGTGTTTCAAAACTGCTCTGTAAAAAGAAAGGTTCAACTCTGTTAGTTGAGTACACACATCACAAACAAGTTTCACAGAATGCTTCTTTCTAGCTTGTAGGGGAAGATATTCCCTTTATCACCATGGGCCTCCAACCGTCCGAAACATCCACTTCCATATAGTACAAAAAGAGCGTTTCAAACCTGCTCTATGAAAGGCAATGTTCAACTCTGTGACTTGAATGCAGACATCACAGAGCAGTTTCTGAGAATGCTTCTGTCTAGATTTTATAGGAAGATATTCCCGTTTCCAACGAAATCTTCACAGCTATCCAAATATCCACTTGCAGATTCTGCAAAAAGAGTGTATCAAAACTGCTCAGTCAAAAGGAAGGTTCTTCTCTGTTAGGTGAGTGCATACGTGATAACGGAGTTTCTGAGAATGTTTCTGTCTAGTGGTTTTGGGAAGATATTTGCTTTTTCACCGTAGGCCTCACAGCGCACCAAATATCCACTTGCACATACTACAAAAAGAGTGCCTCAAAGCTGCTCTCTGAAACGGAATGTTCAACTCTATGGGTTGAATGCAAACATCACAAAGACGTTTCTGAGAATGCTTTCTGTCTAGATTTGATATGAAGATATTCCCGTTTCCAACGAAATCTTCATATCTATCCAAATGTCCACTTGCAGATTCAACAAAAAGTGTTTTTCAAAACTGCTGTATCAAAAGAAAGATCCACGTGTGTTAGCTGAGTTCACACATCACAAACAAGATTATGAGAATGCTTCTGTCTAGTTTTTATTTGAAGATATTTCCTTTCTCACCATAGACCTGAAAGCTGTCCTAATGTTCACTTCCAGTTACTACAGAAAGAGTGTTTCAAAACTGCTGTACGAAAGGGAATGTTCAACTCTGTGACTTGAATGCACACATCACAAAGAAGTTTTTGAGGATGCTGCTGTCTACTTTTTATACGTAATCCCGTTTCCAACGAAATCCTCCAAGCTATCCAAATATCCACTTGCAGATTCCACAGAAAGACTGTTACAAAACTGCTCTGTCAATAGAAAGGTTCAACTCTGTTAGCTGCGTGCATATATCCCAAAGAAGATTCTGAGATTGCTTCTGTCTAGTTTTTATGGGAAGATATTTCCCTTTTCACCGTAGGTGTCAAGGAGCTACAAATGTCCACTTCCAGATACTACAAAAAGAGTGTTTCAAACCTACTCTGTGAAAGGGAATATTCAACTCTGTGACTTGAGTGCAGATATCACAAAGAAGTTCCTGAGAATGCTTCTGTCGAGATTTTATATGAAGATAGTCCCGTTTCCAACGAAATCCTGAAATCTATCCAAATATCCCCTCGCAGATTCTACAAAAAGAGTGTTTCAAAACTGCTCTGTAAAAAGAAAGGTTCAACTCTGTTAGTTGTGTACACACATCACAAACAAGTTTCACAGAATGCTTATTTCTAGCTTGTAGGGGAAGATATTCCCTTTATCACCATGGGCCTCAAACCGTCCGAAACGTCCACTTCCATATACTACAAAAAGAGCGTTTCAAACCTGCTCTAGGAAAGGCAATGTTCAACTCTGTGACTTGAATGCAGACATCTCAGAGCAGTTTCTGAGAATGCTTCTGTCTAGATTTTATAGGAAGATATTCCCGTTTCCTACGAAATCTTCACAGCTATCCAAATATCCACTTGCAGATTCTACAAAAAGAGTGTATCAAAACTGCTCTGTCAAAAGGAAGGTTCTTTTCTGTTAGGTGAGTGCATACGTCATAAAGGAGTTTCTGAGAATGTTTCTGTCTAGTGGTTATGGGAAGATATTTGCTTTTTCACCATAGGCCTCAGAGCGCTCCAAATATCCCCTTGCACATACTACAAAAAGAGTGCTTCAAAGCTGCTCTCTGAAACGGAATGTTCAAATCTATGAGTTGAATGCAAACATCACAAAGACGTTTCTGAGAATGCTTCTGTCTAGATTTGATATGAAGATATTCCCGTTTGCAACGAAATCTTCAAATCTATCCAAATGTCCACTTGCAGATTCAACAAAAAGTGTTTTTCAGAACTGCTCTATCAAAAGAAAGATCCACGTGTGTTAGCTGAGTTCACACATCACGAACAAGTTTATGAGAATGCTTCTGTCTAGTTTTTATTTGAAGATATTTCCTTTCTCACCATAGACCTGAAAGCTGTCCTAATGTTCACTTCCAGGTACTACAGAAAGAGTGTTTCAAAACTGCTGTACGAAAGGGAATGTTCAACTCTGTGACTTCAATGCACACATCACAAAGAAGTTTCTGAGGATGCTGCTGTCTACTTTTTATACATAATCCCTTTTCCAACGAAATCCTCCAAGCTATCCAAATATCCACTTGCAGATTCCACAGAAAGACTGTTTCAAAACTGCTCTGTCAATAGAAAGGTTCAACTCTGATAGCTGCGTGCATATATCCCAAAGAAGATTCTGAGATTGCTTCTGTCTAGTTTTTATGGGAAGATATTTCCCTTTTCACCGTAGGTGTCAAGGAGCTCCAAATGTCCACTTCCAGATACTACAAAAAGAGTGTTTCAAACCTACTCTGTGAAAGGGAATATTCAACTCTGTGACTTAAAGGCAGATATCACAAAGAAGTTTCTGAGAATGCTTCTGTCGAGATTTTATAGGAAGATATTCCCGTTTCCAACAAAATCTTCACAGCTATCCAAATATCCACTTGCAGATTCTACAAAAAGAGTGTATCAAAACTGCTCTGTCAAAAGGAAGGTTCTTCTCTGTTAGGTGAGTGCATACGTCATAAAGGAGTTTCTGAGAATGTTTCTTTCTAGCTTGTAGGGGAAGATATTCCCTTTATCACCATGGGCCTCAAACCATCCGAAACGTCCACTTCCATATACTACAAGAAGAGCGTTTCAAACCTGCTCTAGGAAAGGGAATGTTCAACTCTGTGACTTGAATGCAGACATCACAGAGCAGTTTCTGAGAATGCTTCTGTCTAGATTTTATAGGAAGATATTCCCGTTTCCAACGAAATCTTCACAGCTATCCAAATATCCACTTGCAGATTCTACAAAAAGAGTGTATCAAAACTGCTCTGTCAAAAGGAAGGTTCTTCTCTGTTAGGTGAGTGCATACGTCATAAAGGAGTTTCTGAGAAAGTTTCTGTCTAGTGGTTATGGGAAGATATTTGCTTTTTCACCGAAGGCCTCAGAGCGCTCCAAATATCCACTTGCACATACTACAAAATGAGTGCCTCAAAGCTGCTCTCTGAAACGGAATGTTCAATTCTATGAGTTGAATGCAAACATCACAAAGACGTTTCCGAGAATGCTTCTGTCTAGATTTGATATGAAGATATTCCCGTTTCCAACGAAATCTTCAAATCTATCCAAATGTCCACTTGCAGATTCAACAAAAGAGTTTTTCAGAACTGCTCTATCAAAAGAAAGATCCACCTCTGTAAGCTGAGTTCACACATCACAAACAAGTTTATGAGAATGCTTCTGTCTAGTTTTTATTTGAAGATATTTCCTTTCTCACCATAGACCTGAAAGCTGTCCTAATGTTCACTTCCAGATACTACAGAAAGAGTGTTTCAAAACTGCTGTATGAAAGGGAATGTTCAACTCTGTGAATTGAATGCACACATCACAAAGAAGTTTCTGAGGATGCTGCTGTCTACTTTTTATACGTAATCCCGTTTCCAACGAAATCCTCCAAGCTATCCAAATATCCACTTGCAGATTCCACAGAAAGACTGTTTCAAATCTGCTCAGTCAATAGAAAGGTTCAACTCTGTTAGCTGCGTGCATATATCCCAAAGAAGATTCTGAGATTGCTTCTGTCTAGTTTTTATGGGAAGATATTTCCCTTTTCACCGTAGGTGTCAAGGCGCTCCAAATGTCCACTTCCAGATACTACAAAAAGAGTGTTTTAAACCTACTCTGTGAAAGGGAATATTCAACTCTGTGACTTGAATGCACATATCACAAAGAAGTTTCTGAGAATGCTTCTGTCGAGATTTTATATGAAGATATTCCCGTTTCCAACGAAATCCTGAAATCTATCCGAATATCCCCTCGCAGATTCTACAAAAAGAGTGTTTCAAAACTGCTCTGTAAAAAGAAAGGTTCAACTCTGTTAGTTGAGTACACACATCACAAACAAGTTTCACAGAATGCTTCTTTCTAGCTTGTAGGGGAAGATATTCCCTTTATCACCATGGGCCTCAAACCGTCCGAAACGTCCACTTCCATATACTACAAAAACAGCATTTCAAACCTGCTCTAGGAAAGGCAATGTTCAACTCTGTGACTTGAATGCAGACATCACAGAGCAGTTTCTGAGAATGCTTCTGTCTAGATTTTATAGGAAGATATTCCCGTTTCCATCGAAAACTTCACAGCTATCCAAATATCCACTTGCAGATTCTACAAAAAGAGTGTATCAAAACTGCTCTGTCAAAAGGAAGGTTTTTCTCTGTTAGTTGAGTGCATACGTCATAAAGGAGTTTCTGAGAATGTTTCTGTCTAGTGGCTATGGGAAGATATTTGCTTTTTCACCGTAGGCCTCAGAGCGCTCCAAATATCCACTTGCACATACTACAAAAAGAGTGCCTCAAAGCTGCTCTCTGAAACGGAATGTTCAACTCTATGAGTTGAATGCAAACATCACAAAGACGTTTCTGAGAATGCTTCTGTCTAGATTTGATATGAAGATATTCCCGTTTCCAACGAAATCTTCAAATCTATCCAAATGTCCACTTGCATAATCAACAAAAAGTGTTTTTCACAACTGCTCTATCAAAAGAAAGATCCACCTCTGTTAGCTGAGTTCACACATCACAAACAAGTTTATGAGAATGCTTCTGTCTAGTTTTTATTTGAAGATATATCCTTTCTCACTATAGACCTGAAAGCTCTCCTAATGTTCACTTCCAGATACTACAGAAAGAGTGTTTCAAAACTGCTGTACGAAAGGGAAAGTTCAACTCTGTGACTTGAATGCACACATCACAAGGAAGTTTCTGAGGATGCTGCTGTCTACTTTTTCTACGTAATCCTGTTTCCAACGAAATCCTCGAAGCTATCCAAATATCCACTTGCAGATTCCACAGAAAGACTGTTTCAAACCTGCTCTGTCAATAGAAAGGTTCAACTCTGTTAGCTACGTGCATATATCCCAAAGAAGATTCTGAGATTGCTTCTGTCTAGTTTTTATGGGAAGATATTTTCCTTTTCACCGTAGGCGTCAAGGCGCTCCAAATGTCCACTTCCAGATACTACAAAAAGAGTGTTTCAAACCTACTCTGTGAAAGGGAATATTCAACTCTGTGACTTGAATGCACATATCACAAAGAAGTTTCTGAGAATGCTTCTGTCGAGATTTTATATGAAGATATTCCCCTTTCCAACGAAATCCTGAAATCTATCCAAATATCCCATCGCAGATTCTACAAAAAGAGTGTTTCAAAACTGCTCTGTAAAAAGAAAGGTTCAACTCTGTTAGTTGAGTACACACATCACAAACAAGTTTCACAGAATGCTTCTTTCTAGCTTGTAGAGAGAAGATATTCCCTTTATCACCATGGGCCTCAAACCGTCCGAAACGTCCACTTCCATATACTACAAAAAGAGCGTTTCAAACCTGCTCTATGAAAGGCAATGTTCAACTCTGTGACTTGAATGCAGACATCACAGAGCAGTTTCTGAGAATGCTTCTGTCTAGATTTTATAGGAAGATATTCCCGTTTCCAACAAAATCTTCACAGCTATCCAAATATCCACTTACAGATTCTACAAAAAGAGTGTATCAAAACTGCTCTGTCAAAAGGAAGGTTCTTCTCTGTTAGGTGAGTGCATACGTCATAAAGGAGTTTCTGAGAATGTTTCTGTCTAGTGGTTATGGGAAGATATTTGCTTTTTCACCGTAGGCCTCAGAGCGCTCCAAATATCCACTTGCACATACTACAAAAAGAGTGCCTCAAAGCTGCTCTCTGAAAGGGAATGTTCAACACTATGAGTTGAATGCAAACATCGCAAAGACGTTTCTGAGAATGCTTCTGTCTAGCTTTGATATGAAGATATTCCCGTTTGCAACGAAATCTTCAAATCTATCAAAATGTCCACTTGCAGATTCAACAAAACGTGTTTTTCAGAACTGCTCTATCAAAGGAAAGATACACCTCTGTTAGCTGAGTTCACACATCACAAACAAGTTTATGAGAATGCCTTCTGTCTTGTTTTTATTTGAAGATATTTCCTTTCTCACCATAGACCTGAAAGCTGTCCTAATGTTCACTTCCAGATACTACAGAAAGAGTGTTTCAAAACTGCTGTACGAAAGGGAATGTTCAACACTGTGACTTGAATGCACACATCACAAAGAAGTTTCTGAGGATGCTGCAGTCTACTTTTTATACGTAATCCCGTTTCCAAAGAAAACCTCCAAGCTATCCAAATATCCACTTGCAGATTCCACAGAAAGACTGTTTCAAAACTGCTCTGTCAATAGAAAGGTTCAACTCTGTTAGCTCCGTGCATATATCCCAAAGAAGATTCTGAGATTGCTTCTGTCTAGTTTTTATGGGAAGATATTTCCTTTTTCACCGTAGGCGTCAAGGCGCTCCAAATGTCCACTTCCAGATACTACAAAAAGAGTGTTTCAAACCTACTCTGTGAAAGGGAATATTCAACTCTGTGACTTGAATACACATATCACAAGGAAGTTTCTGAGAATGCTTCTGTCGAGATTTTATATGAAGATATTCCCGTTTCCAACGAAATCCTGAAATCTATCCAAATATCCCCTCGCAGATTCTACAAAAAGAGTGTTTCAAAACTGTTCTTTAAAAAGAAAGGTTCAACTCTGTTAGTTGAGTACACACATCACAAACAAGTATCACAGAATGCTTCTTTCTAGCTTGTAGGGGAAGATATTCCCTTTATCACCATGGGCCTCAAACCGTCCGAAAAGTCCACTTCAATATACTACAAAAAGAGCGTTTCAAACCTGCTCTATGAAAGGCAATGTTCAACTCTGTGACTTGAATGCAGACATCACAGAGCTGTTTCTGAGAATGCTTCTGTCCAGACTTTATAGGAAGATATTCCCGTTTCCAAGGAAATCTTCACAGCTATCCAAATATCCACTTGCAGATACTACAAAAAGAATGTATCAAAAATGCTCTGTCAAAAGGAAAGTTCTTCTCTGCTAGTTGAGTACATACGTCATAAAGAAGTTTCTGAGAATGTTTTCTGTCTAGTGGTTATGGGAAGATATTTGCTTTTTCACCGTAGGCCTCAGTAGCGCTCCAAATATCCGCTTGCACATACTACAAAAAGAGTGCTTCAAAGCTGCTCTCTGAAACGGAATGTTCAACTCTATGAGTTGAATGCAAACATGACAAAGACGTTTCTGAGAATGCTTCTGTCTAGATTTGATATGAAGATATACCCGTTTCCAACGAAATCTTCAAATCTATCCAAATGTCCACTTGCAGATTCAACAAAAAGTGTTTTTCAGAACTGCTCTATCAAAAGAAAGATCCACCTCTGTTAGCTGAGTTAACACATCACAAACAAGTTTATGAGAATGCTTCTGTCTAGTTTTTATTTGAAGATATTTCCTTTCTCACCATAGACCTGAAAGCTGTCCTAATGTTCACTTCCAGATACTACAGAAAGAGTGTTTCAAAACTGCTGTACGAAAGAGAATGTTCAACTCTGTGACTTCAATGCACACATCACAAAGAAGTTTCTCAGGATGCTGCTGTCTACTTTTTATACGTAATCCCGTTTCCAACGAAATCCTCCAAGCTATCCAAATATCCACTTGCAGATTCCACAGAAAGACTGTTTCAAAACTGCTCTGTCAATAGAAAGGTTCAACTCTGTTATCTGCGTGCATATATCCCAAAGAAGATTCTGAGATTGCTTCTGTCTAGTTTTTATGGGAAGATATTTCCCTTTTCACCGTAGGTGTCAAGGCGCTCCAAATGTCCACTTCCAGATACTACAAAAAGAGTGTTTCAAACCTACTCTGTGAAAGGGAATATTCAACTCTGTGACTTGAATGCAGATATCACAAAGAAGTTTCTGAGAATGATTCTGTCGAGATTTTGTATGAAGATATTCCCGTTTCCAACGAAATCCTGAAATCTATCCAAATATCCCCTCGCAGATTCTACAAAAAGAGTGTTTCAAAACTGCTCTGTGAAAAGAAAGGTTCAACTATCTTAGTTGAGTACACACATCACAAACAAGTTTCACAGAATGCTTCTTTCTAGCTTGTAGGGGAAGATATTCCCTTTATCACCATGGGCCTCAAACCGTCCGAAACGTCTACTTCCATATACTACAAAAAGAGCGTTTCAAACCTGCTCTATGAAAGGCAATGTTCAACTCTGAGACTTGAATGCAGACATCACAGAGCAGTTTCTGAGAATGCTTCTGTCTAGATTTTATAGGAAGATATTCCCGTTTCCAACGAAATCTTCACAGCTATCCAAATATGCACTTGCAGATTCTACAAAAAGAGTGTATCAAAACTGCTCTGTCAAAAGGAAGGTTCTTCTCTGTTAGTTGAGTACATACGTCATAAAGGAGTTTCTAAGAATGTTTCTGACTAGTGGTTATGGGAAGATATTTGCTTTTTCACCGTAGGCCTCAGAGCGCTCCAAATATCCACTTGCACATACTACAAAAAGAGTGCCTCAAAGCTGCTCTCTGAAACGGAATGTTCAACTCTATGAGTTGAATGAAAACATCACAAAGACGTTTCTGAGAATGCTTCTGTCTAGATTTGATATGAAGATATTCCCGTTTCCAACGAAATCTTCCAATCTATCCAAATGTCCACTTGCAGATTCAACAAAAAGTGTTTTTCAAAAGTGCTGTATCAAAAGAAAGATCCACCTCTGTTAGTTGAGTCCACACATCACAAAGAACTTTATGAGAATGCTTCTGTCTAGTTTTTATTTGAAGATATTTCCTTTCTCACCATAGACCTGAAAGCTGTCCTAATGTTCACTTCCAGATACTACAGAAAGAGTGTTTCAAAACTGCTGCATGAAAGGGAATGTTCAACTCTGTGACTTGAATGCACACATCACAAAGAAGTTTCTGAGGATGCTGCTGTCTACTTTTTATACGTAATCCCGTTTCCAACAAAATCCTCCAAGCTATACAAATATCCACTTGCAGATTCCACAGAAAGACTGTTTCAAAACTGCTCTGTCAATAGAAAGGTTCAACTCTGTTAGCTGCGTGCATATATCCCAAAGAAGATTCTGAGATTGCTTCTGTCTAGTATTTATGGGAAGATATTTCCCTTTTCACCGTAGGTGTCAAGGAGCTCCAAATGTCCACTTCCAGATACTACAAAAAGAGTGTTTCAAACCTACTCTGCGAAAGGGAATATTCAACTCTGTGACTTGAAGGCAGATATCACAAAGAAGTTTCTGAGAATGCTTCTGTCGAGATTTTATATAAAGATATTACGGTTTCCAACAAATTCCTGAAATCTATCCAAATATCCCCTCGCAGATTCTACAAAAAGAGTGTTTCAAAACTGCTCTGTAAAAAGAAAGGTTCAACTCTGTTAGTTGAGTACACACATCACAAACAAGTTTCACAGAATGCTTCTTTCTAGCTTGTAGGGGAAGATATTCCCTTTATCACCAAGGGCCTCAAACCGTCTGAAACGTCTACTTCCATATACTACAAAAAGAGCGTTTCAAACCTGCTCTATGAAAGGCAATGTTCAACTCTGTGACTTGAATGCAGACATCACAGAGCAGTTTCTGAGAATGCTTCTGTCTAGATTTTATAGGAAGATATTCCCGTTTCCAACGAAATCTTCACAGCTATCCAAATATCCACTTGCAGATTCTACAAAAAGAGTCTATCAAAACTGCTCTGTCAAAAGGAAGGTTCTTCTCTGTTAGTTGAGTACATACGTCATAAAGGAGTTTCTGAGAATGTTTCTGTCTAGTGGTTATGGGAAGATATTTGCTTTTTCACCGTAGGCCTCATAGCGCTCCAAATATCCACTTGCACATACTACAAAAAGTGTGCTTCAAAGCTGCTCTCTGAAAGGGAATGTTCAACTCTATGAGTTGAATGCAAACATCACAAAGACGTCTCTGAGAATGCTTCTGTCTAGATTTGATATGAAGATATTCCCGTTTCCAACGAAATCTTCAAATCTATCCAAATGTCCACTTGCAGATTCAACAAAAAGTGTTTTTCAGAACTGCTCTATCAAAAGAAAGATCCACCTCTTTTAGCTGGGTTCACACATCACAAACAAGTTTACGAGAATGCTTCTGTCTAGTTTTTATTTGAAGATATTTCGTTTCTCACCATAGACCTGAAAGCTGTCCTAATGTTCACTTCCAGTTACTACAGAAAGAGTGTTTCAAAACTGCTGTACGAAAGGGAATGTTCAACTCTGTGACTTGAATGCACACATCACAAAGAAGTTTCTGAGGATGCTGCTGTCTACTTTTTATACTTAATCCCGTTTCCAACGAAATCCTCCAAGCTATCCAAATATCCACTTGCAGATTCCACAGAAAGACTGTTTCAAAACTGCTCTGTCAATAGAAAGGTTCAACTCTGTTAGCTGCGTGTATATATCCCAAAGAAGATTCTGAGATTGCTTCTGTCTAGTTTTTATGGGAAGATATTTCCCTTTTCACCGTAGGCGTCAAGGCGCTCCAAATGTCCACTTCCAGATACTTCAAAAAGAGTGTTTCAAACCTACTCTGTGAAAGGGAATATTCAAGTCTGTGACTTGAATGCACATATCACAAGGAAGTTTCTGAGAATGCTTCTGTCGAGATTTTACATGAAGATATTCCCGTTTCCAACCAAATGCTGAAATCTATCCAAATATCCCCTCGCAGATTCTACAAAAAGAGTGTTTCAAAACTGCTCTGTGAAAAGAAAGGTTCAACTCTGTTAGTTGAGTACACACATCACAAACAAGTTTCACAGAATGCTTCTTTCTAGCTTGTAGGGGAAGATATTCCCTTTATCACCATGGGCCTCAAACCGTCTGAAACGTCCACTTCCATATACTTCAAAAAGAGCATTTCAAACCTGCTCTATGAAAGGCAATGTTCAACTCTGTGACTTGAATGCAGACATCACAGAGCAGTTTCTGAGAATGCTTCTGTCTAGATTTTATAGGAAGATATTCCCGTTTCCAACGAAATCTTCACAGCTATCCAAATATCCACTTGCAGATCCTACAAAAAGAGTGTATCAAAACTGCTCTGTCAAAAGGAAGGTTCTTCTCTGTTAGTTGAGTATATACGTCATAAATTAGTTTCTGAGAATGTTTCTGTCTAGTGGTTATGGGAAGATATTTGCTTTTTCACCGTAGGCCACAGAGCGATCAAAATATCCACTTGCACATACTACAAAAAGAGTGCTTCAAAGCTGCTCTCTGAAAGTGAATGTTCAACTCTATGAGTTGAATGCAAACATCACAAAGACGTTTCTGAGAATGCTTCTGTCTAGATTTGATATGAAGATATTCCCGTTTCCAACGAAATCTTCAAATCTATCCAAATGTCCACTTGCAGATTCAACAAAAAGTGTTTTTCAGAACTGCTCTATCAAAAGAACGATCCACCTCTGTTAGCTGAGTTCACACATCACAAACAAGTTTATGAGAATGCTTCTGTCTAGTTTTTATTTGAAGATATTGCCTTTCTCACCATAGACCTGAAAGCTGTCCTAATGTTCACTTCCAGATACTACAGAAAGAGTGTTTCAAAACTGCTGTACGAAAGGGAATGTTCAACTGTGTGACTTGAATGCACACATCACAAAGAAGTTTCTGAGGAGGCTGCTGTCTACTTTTTATACCTAATCCCGTTTCCAACGAAATCCTCCAAGCTATCCAAATATCCACTTGCAGATTCCGCAGAAAGACTGTTTCAAAACTGCTCTGTCAATAGAAAGGTTCAACTCTGTTAGCTGCGTGCATATATCCCAAAGAAGATTCTGAGATTGTTTCTGTCTAGTTTTTATGGGAAGATATTTCCCTTTTCACCGTAGGCGTCAAGGCGCTCCAAATGTCCACTTCCAGATACTACAAAAAGAGTGTTTCGAACCTACTCTGTGAAAGGGAATATTCAACTCTGTGACTTGAATGCACATATCACAAAGAAGTTTCTGAGAATGCTTCTGTCGAGATTTTATATGAAGATATTCCCGTTTCCAATGAAATCCTGAAATCTATCCAAATATCCCCTCGCAGATTCTACAAAAAGAGTGTTTCAAAACTGCTCTGTGAAAAGAAAGGTTCAACTCTCTTAGTTGAGTACACACATCACAAACAAGTTTCACAGAATGCTTCTTTCTAGCTTGTAGGGGAAGATATTCCCTTTATCACCATGGGCCTCAAACCGTCCGAAACGTCCACTTCCATATACTACAAAAAGAGCGTTTCAAACCTGCTCTAGGAAAGGCAATGTTCAACTCTGTGACTTGAATGCAGATATCACAGAGCAGTTTCTGAGAATGCTTCTGTCTAGATTTTATAGGAAGATATTCCCGTTTCCAACGAAACCTTCACAGCTATCCAAATATCCACTTGCAGATTCTACAAAAAGAGTGTATCAAAACTGCTCTGTCAAAAGGAAGGTTCTTTTCTGTTAGGTGAGTGCATACGTCATAAAGGAGTTTCTGAGAATGTTTCTGTCTAGTGGTTATGGGAAGATATTTGCTTTTTCACCTTAGGCCTCACAGCGATCCAAATATCCACTTGCACATACTACAAAAAGAGTGCTTCAAAGCTGCTCTCTGAAACGGAATGTTCAACTCTATGAGTTGAATGCAAACATCACAAAGACGTTTCTGAGAATGCTTCTGTCTAGATTTGATATGAAGATATTCCCGTTTCCAACGAAATCTTCAAATCTATCCAAATGTCCACTTGCAGATTCAACAAAAAGTGTTTTTCAGAACTGCTCTCTCAAAAGAAAGATCCACCTCTGTTAGCTGAGTTCACACATCACAAACAAGTTTATGAGAATGCTTCTGTCTAGTTTTTATTTGAAGATATTTCCTTTCTCACCATAGACCTGAAAGCTGTCCTAAAGTTCACTTCCAGATACTACAGAAAGAGCGTTTCAAAACTGCTGTACGAAAGGGAATGTTCAACTCTGTGACTTGAATGCACACATCACAAAGAAGTTTCTGAGGATGCTGCTGTCTACGTTTTATACGTAATCCCGTTTCCAACGAAATCCTCCAAGCTATCCAAATATCCACTTGCAGATTCCACAGAAAGACTGTTTCAAAACTGCTCTGTCAATAGAAAGGTTCAACTCTGTTAGCTGCGTGCATATATCCCAAAGAAGATTCTGAGATTGCTTCTGTCTAGTTTTTATGGGAAGATATATCCCTTTTCACCGTAGGCGTCAAGGCGCTCCAAATGTCCACTTCCGGATACTACAAAAAGAGTGTTTCAAACCTACTCTGTGAAAGGGAATATTCAACTCTGTGACTTGAAGGCAGATATCACAAAGAAGTTTCTGAGAATGCTTCTGTCGAGATTTTATATGAAGATATCCCCGTTTCCAACGAAATCCTGAAATCTATCCAAATATCCCCTCGCAGATTCTACAAAAAGAGTGTTTCAAAACTGCTCTGTAAAAAGAAAGGTTCAACTCTGTTAGTTGAGTACACACATCACAAACAAGTTTCACAGAATGCTTCTTTCTAGCTTGTAGGGGAAGATATTCCCTTTATCACCATGGGCCTCAAACCGTCCGAAACGTCCACTTCCATATACTACAAAAAGAGCGTCTCACACCTGCTCTATGAAAGGCAATGTTCAACTCTGTGACTTCAATGCAGACATCACAGAGCAGTTTCTGAGAATGCTTCTGTCCAGACTTTATAGGAAGATATTCCCGTTTCCAACGAAATCTTCACAGCTATCCAAATATCCACTTGCAGATACTACAAAAAGAGTGTATCAAAAGTGCTCTGTCAAAAGGAAAGTTCTTCTCTGCTAGTTGAGTACATACGTCATAAAGAAGTTTCTGAGAATGTTTCTGTCTAGTGGTTATGGGAAGATATTTGCTTTTTCACCGTAGGCCTCAGAGCGCTCAAAATATCCACTTGCACATACTACAAAAAGAGTGCTTCAAAGCTGCTCTCTGAAACGGAATGTTCAACTCTATGAGTTGAATGCAAACATCACAAAGACGTTTGCTGAGAATGCTTCTGTCTAGATTTGATATGAAGATATTCCCGTTTCCAACGAAATCTTCAAATCTATCCAAATGTCCACTTGCAGGTTCAACAAAATGTGTTTTTCAGAACTGCTCTATCAAAAGAAAGATCCACCTCTGTTAGCTGAGTTCACACATCACAAACAAGTTTATGAGAATGCTTCTGTCTAGTTTTTATTTGAAGATATTTCCTTTCTCACCATAGACCTGAAAGCTGTCCTAATGTTCACTTCCAGATACTAGAGAAAGAGTGTTTCAAAACTGCTGTACGAAAGGGAATGTTCAGCTCTTTGACTTGAATGCACACATCACAAAGAAGATTCTGAGGATGCTGCTGTCTACTTTTTATACGTAATCCCGTTTCCAACGAAATCCTCCAAGCTATCCAAATATCCACTTGCAGATTCCACAAAAAGACTGTTTCAAAACTGCTCTGTCAATAGAAAGGTTCAACTCTGTTAGCTGGGTGCATACATCCCAAAGAAGATTCTGAGATTGCTTCTGTCTAGTTTTTATGGGAAGATATTTCCCTTTTCACCGTAGGTGTCAAGGCGCTACAAATGTCCACTTCCAGATACTACAAAAAGAGTGTTTCAAACCTACTCTGTGAAAGGGAATATTCAACTCTGTGACTTGAATGCACATATCACAAAGAAGTTTCTGAGAATGCTTCCTTCGAGATTTTATGTGAAGATATTCCCGTTTCCAACGAAATCCTGAAATCTATCCAAATATCCCCTCGCAGATTCTACAAAAAGAGTGTTTCAAAACTGCTCTGTAAAAAGAAAGGTTCAACTCTGTTACTTGAGTACACACATCACAAACAAGTTTCACAGAATGCTTCTTTCTAGCTTGTAGGGGAAGATATTCCCTTTATCACCATGGGCCTCAAACCGTCCGAAACGTCAACTTCCATATACTACAAAAAGAGCGTTTCAAACCTGCTCTATGAAAGGCAATGTTCAACTCTGTGACTTGAATGCAGACATCACAGAGCAGTTTACTGAGAATGCTTCTGTCTAGATTTTATAGGAAGATATTCCCGTTTCCAACGAAATCTTCACAGCTATCCAAATATCCACTTGCAGATTCTACAAAAAGAGTGTATCAAAACTGCTCTGTCAAAAGGAAGGTTCTTCTCTCTTAGTTGAGTACATACGTCATAAAGGAGTTTCTGAGAATGTTCCTGTCTAGTGGTTATGGGAAGATATTTGCTTTTTCCCCGTAGGCCTCAAAGCGCTCCAAATGTCCACTTGCACATACTACAAAAAGAGTGCTTCAAAGCTGCTCTCTGAAAGGGAATGTTCAACTCTATGAGTTGAATGCAAACATGACAAAGACGTTTCTGAGAATGCTTCTGTCTAGATTTGATATGAAGATATTCCCGTTTCCAACGAAATCTTCAAATCTATCCAAATGTCCACTTGCAGATTCAACAAAAAGTGTTTTTCAGAACTGCTCTATCAAAAGAAAGATCCACGTCTCTTAGGTGAGTTCACACATCACAAACAAGTTTATGAGAATGCTTCTGTCTAGTTTTTATTTGAAGATATTGCCTTTCTCACCATAGACCTGAAAGCTGTCCTAATGTTCACTTCCAGATACTACAGAAAGAGTGTTTCAAAACTGCTGTACAAAAGGGAATGTTCAACTCTGTGACTTGAATGCACACATCACAAAGAAGTTTCTGAGGATGCTGCTGTCTACTTTTTATACGTAATCCCGTTTCCAACGAAATCCTCCAAGCTATCCAAATATCCACTTGCAGATTCCACAGAAAGACTGTTTCAAAACTGCTCTGTCAATAGAAAGGTTCAACTCTGTTAGCTGCGTGCATATATCACAAAGAAGATTCTGAGATTGCTTCTGTCTAGTTTTTATGGGAAGATATTTCCCTTTTCACCGTAGGCGTCAAGGCGCTCCAAATGTCCACCTCCAGATACTACAAAAAGAGTGTTTCAAACCTACTCTGTGAAAGGGAATATTCAACTCTGTGACTTGAATGCACATATCACAAAGAAGTTTCTGAGAATGCTTCTGTCGAGATTTTATATGAAGATATTCCCGTTTCCAACGAAATCCTGAAATCTATCCAAATATCCCCTCGCAGATTCTACAGAAAGAGTGTTTCAAAACTGCTCTGTAAAAAGAAAGGTTCAACTCTGTTACTTGAGTACACACATCAGAAACAAGTTTCACAGAATGCTTCTTTCTAGCTTGTAGGGGAAGATATTCCCTTTATCACCATGGGCCTCAAACCGTCCGAAACGTCCACTTCAATATACTACAAAAAGAGCGTTTCAAACCTGCTCTATGAAAGGCAATGTTCAACTCTGTGACTTGAATGCAGACATCACAGAGCAGTTTCTGAGAATGCTTTCTGTCTAGATTTTATAGGAAGATATTTCCGTTTCTAACGAAACCTTCACAGCTATCCAAATATCCACTTGCAGATTCTACAAAAAGAGTGGATCAAAACTGCTCTGTCAAAAGGAAGGTTCTTCTCTGTTAGTTGAGTACATACGTCATAAAGGAGTTTCTGAGAATGTTTCTGTCTAGTGGTTATGGGAAGATATTTGCTTTTTCACCGTAGGCCCCAGAGCGCTCCAAATATCCACTTGCACATACTACAAAAAGAGTGCTTCAAAGCTGCTCTCTGAAACGGAATGTTCAACTCTATGAGTTGAATGCAATCATCACAAAGACGTTTCTGAGAATGCTTCTGTCTAGATTTGATATGAAGATATTCCCGTTTCCCAACGAAATCTTCATATCTATCCAAATGTCCACTTGCAGATTCAACAAAAAGTGTTTTTCAGAACTGCTGTATCAAAAGAAAGATCCACGTCTGTTAGCTGAGTTCACACATCACAAACAAGTTTATGAGAATGCTTCTGTCTGGTTTTTATTTGAAGATATTTCCTTTCTCACCATAGAGCTGAAAGCTGTCCTAATGTTCACTTCCAGATACTACAGAAAGAGTGTTTCAAAACTGCTGTACGAAAGGGAATGTTCAACTCTGTGACTTGAATGCACACATCACAAAGAAGTTTCTGAGGATGCTGCTGTCTACTTTTTATACGTAATCCCGTTTCCAACGAAATCCTCCAAGCTATCCAAATATCCACTTGCAGATTCCACAGAAAGACTGTTTCAAAACTGCTCTGTCAATAGAAAGGTTCAACTCTGTTAGCTGCGTGCATATATCCCAGAGAAGATTCTGAGATTGCTTCTGTCTACTTTTTATGAGAAGATATTTCCCTTTTCACCGTAGGCGTCAAGGCGCTCCAAATGTCCACTTCCAGATACTACAAAAAGATTGTTTCAAACCTACTCTGTGAAAGGGAATATTCAACTCTGTGACTTGAATGCACATATCACAAAGAAGTTTCTGAGAATGCTTCTGTCGAGATTTTATATGAAGATATTCCCGTTTCCAACGAAATCCTGAAATCTATCCAAATATCCCCTCGCAGATTCTACAAAAAGAGTGTTTCAAAACTGCTCTGTAAAAAGAAAGGTTCAACTCTGTTAGTTGAGTACACACATCACAAACAATTTCACAGAATGCTTCTTTCTAGCTTGTAGGGGAAGATATTCCCTTTATCACCATGGGCCTCAAACCGTCCGAAACGTCCACTTCCATATACTACCAAAAGAGCGTTTCAAACCTGCTCTAGGAAAGGCAATGTTCAACTCCTGTGACTTGAATGCGGACATCAGAGAGCAGTTTCTGAGAATGCTTCTGTCTAGATTTTATAGGAAGATATTCCCGTTTCCAACAAAATCTTCACAGGTATCCAAATATCCACTTGCAGATTCTACAAAAAGAGTGTATCAAAACTGCTCTGTCAAAAGGAAGGTTCTTCTCTGTTAGGTGAGTGCATACGTCATAAAGGAGTTTCTGAGAATGTTTCTGTCTAGTGGTTATGGGAAGATATTTGCTTTTTCACCGTAGGCCTCAGAGCGCTCCAAATATCCACTTGCACATACTACAAAAAGAGTGCCTCAAACTGCTCTCTGAAACGGAATGTTCAACTCTATGAGTTGAATGCAAACATCGCAAAGACGTTTCTGAGAATGCTTCTGTCTAGATTTGATATGAAGATATTCCCTTTTCCAAGGAAATCTTCAAAACTATCCAAATGTCCACTTGCAGATTCAACAAAAAGTGTTTTTCAGAACTGCTCTATCAAAAGAAAGATCCACCGTTGTTAGCTGAGTTCACACATCACAAACAAGTTTATGAGAATGCTTGTCTGTCTAGTTTTTATTTGAAGATATTTCCTTTCTCACCATAGACCTGAAAGCTGTCCTAATGTTCACTCCCAGATACTACAGAAAGAGTGTTTCAAAACTGCTGTACGAAAGGGAATGTTCAACTCTGTGACTTGAATGCACACATCACAAAGAAGATTCTGAGGATGCTGCTGTCTACTTTTTATACGTAATCCCGTTTCCAACGAAATCCTCCAAGCTATCCAAATATCCACTTGCAGATTCCACAGAAAGACTGTTTCAAAACTGCTCTGTCAATAGAAAGGTTCAACTCTGTTAGCTGCGGGCATATATCCCAAAGAAGATTCTGAGATTGCTTCTGTCTAGTTTTTATGGGAAGATATTTCCCTTTTCACCGTAGGTGTCAAGGCGCTCCAAATGTCCACTTCCAGATACTACAAAAAGAGTGTTTCAAACCTACTCTGTGAAAGGGAATATTCAACTCTGTGACGTGAATGCACATATCACAAAGAAGTTTCTGAGAATGCTTCTGTCGAGATTTTATATGAAGATATTCCCGTTTCCAACGAAATCCTGAAATCTATCCAAATATCCCCTCACATATTCTACAAAAAGAGTGTTTCAAAACTGCTCTGTAAAAAGAAAGGTTCAACTCTGTTAGTTGAGTACACACCTCACAAACAAGTTTCACAGAATGCTTTCTTTCTAGCTTGTAGGGGAAGTATATTCCCTTTATCACCATGGGCCTCAAACCGTCCGAAAAGTCCACTTCCATATACTACAAAAAGAGCGTTTCAAACCTGCTCTATGAAAGGCAATGTTCAACTCTGTGACTTGAATGCAGACATCACAGAGCAGTTTCTGAGAATGCTTCTGTCTAGATTTTATAGGAAGATATTCCCGTTTCCAACGAAATCTTCACAGCTATCCAAATATCCACTTGCAGATTCTACAAAAAGAGTGTATCAAAACTGCTCTGTCAAAAGGAAGGTTCTTTTCTGTTAGGTGTGTGCATACGTCATAAAGGAGTTTCTGAGAATGTTCCTGTCTAGTGGTTATGGGAAGATATTTGCTTTTTCCCCGTAGACCTCAAAGCGCTCCAAATGTCCACTTGCACATACTACAAAAAGAGTGCTTCAAAGCTGCTCTCTGAAAGGGAATGTTCAACTCTATGAGTTGAATGCTAACATCACAAAGACGTTTCTGAGAATGCTTCTGTCTAGATTTGATATGAAGATATTCCCGTTTCCAACGAAATCTTCAAATCTATCCAAATGTCCACTTGCAGATTCAACAAAAAGTGTTTTTCAGAACTGCTCTATCAAAAGAAAGATCCACCCCTGTTAGCTGAGTTCACACATCACAAACAAGTTTATGAGTATGCTTCTGTCTAGTTTTTATTTGAAGATATTTCCTTTCTCACCATAGACCTGAAAGCTGTCCTAATGTTCACTTCCAGATACTACAGAAAGAGTGTTTCAAAACTGCTGCACGAAAGGGAATGTTCAACTCTGTGACTTGAATGCACACATCACAAAGAAGTTTCTGAGGATGCTGCTGTCTATTTTTTATACGTAATCCCGTTTCCAACGAAATCCTCCAAGCTATCCAAATATCCACTTGCAGATTCCACAGAAAGACTGTTTCAAAACTGCTCTGTCAATAGAAAGGTTCAACTCTATTAGCTGCGTGCATATATCTCAAAGAAGATTCTGAGATTGCTTCTGTCTAGTTTTTATGGGAAGATATTTCCCTTTTCACCGTAGGCGTCAAGGCGCTCCAAATGTCCACTTCCAGATACTACAAAAAGAGTGTTTCAAACCTACTCTGTGAAAGGGAATATTCAACTCTGTGACTTGAATGCAGATATCACAAAGAAGTTCCTGAGAATGCTTCTGTCGAGATTTTATATGAAGATATTCCCGTTTCCAACGAAATCCTGAAATCTATCGAAATATCCCCTCGCAGATTCTACAAAAAGAGTGTTTCAAAACTGCTCTGTAAAAAGAAAGGTTCAACTCTGTTAGTTGAGTACACACATCACAAACAAGTTTCACAGAATGCTTCTCTTTCTAGCTTGTAGGGGAAGATATTCCCTTTATCACCATGGACCTCCAACCGTCCGAAACATCCACTTCCATATACTACAAAAAGAGCGTTTCAAACCTGCTCTATGAAAGGCAATGTTCAACTCTGTGACTTGAATGCAGACATCACAGAGCAGTTTCTGAGAATGCTTCTGTCTAGATTTCATAGGAAGATATTCCCGTTTCCAACGAAATCTTCACAGCTATCCAAATATCCACTTGCAGATTCTACAAAAAGAGTGTATCAAAACTGCTCTGTCAAAAGGAAGGTTCTTCTCTGTTACTTGAGTGCATACGTCACAAAGGAGTTTCTGAGAATGTTTCTGTCTAGTGGTTATGGGAAGATATTTGCTTTTTCACCGTAGGCCTCAGAGCGCTCCAAATATCCACTTGCACATACTACAAAAAGAGTGCCTCAAAGCTGCTCTCTGAAACGGAATGTTCAAATCTATGAGTTGAATGCAAACATCACAAAGACGTTTCTGAGAATGCTTCTGTCTAGATTTGATATGAAGATATTCCCGTTTCCAACGAAATCTTCAAATCTATCCAAATGTCCACTTGCAGATTCAACAAAAAGTGTTTTTCAGAACTGCTCTATCAAAAGAAAGATCCACCTCTGTTAGCTGAGTTCACACATCACAAAGAAGTTGATGAGAATGCTTCTGTCTAGTTTTTATTTGAAGATATTTCCTTTCTCACCATAGACCTGAAAGCTGTCCTAATGTTCACTTCCAGATACTACAGAAAGAGCGTTTCAAAACTGATGTACGAAAGGGAATGTTCAACTCTGTGACTTGAATGCCCACATCACAAAGAAGTTTCTGAGGATGCTGCTGTCTACTTTTTATACGTAATCCCGTTTCCAACGAAATCCTCCAAGCTATCCAAATATCCACTTGCAGATTCCACAGAAATACTGTTTCAAAACTGCTCTGTCAATAGAAAGGTTCAACTCTGTTAGCTGCGTGCATATATCCCAAAGAAGATTCTGAGATTGCTTCTGTCTAGTTTTTATGGGAAGATATTTCCCTTTTCACCGTAGGCGTCGAGGCGCTCCAAATGTCCACTTCCAGATACTACAAAAAGAGTGTTTCAAACCTACTCTGTGAAAGGGAATATTCAACTCTGTGACTTGAATGCACATATCACAAAGAAGTTTCTGAGAATGCTTCTGTCGAGATTTTATATGAAGATATTCTCGTTTCCAACGAAATCCTGAAATCTATCCAAATATCCCCTCACAGATTCTACAAAAAGAGTGTTTCAAAACTGCTCTGTAAAAAGAAAGGTCCAACTCTGTTAGTTGAGTACACACATCACAAACAAGTTTCACAGAATGCTTCTTTCTAGCTTGTAGGGGAAGATATTCCCTTTATCACCATGGGCCTCAAACCGTCCGAAACGTCCACTTCCATATACTACAAAAAGAGCGTTTCAAACCTGCTCTAGGAAAGGCAGTGTTCAACTCTGTGACTTGAATGCAGACATCACAGAGCAGTTTCTGAGAATGCTTCTGTCTAGATTTTATAGGAAGATATTCCCGTTTGCAACGAAATCTTCACAGCTATCCAACTATCCACTTGCAGATTCTACAAAAAGAGTGTATCAAAACTGCTCTGTCAAAAGGAAGGTTCTTCTCTGTTAGGTGAGTGCATACATCATAAAGGAGTTTCTGAGAATGTTTCTGTCTAGTGGTTATGGGAAGATATTTGCTTTTTCACCGTAGGCCTCAGTAGCGCTCCAAATATCCACTTGCACATACTACAAAAAGAGTGCCTCAAAGCTGCTCTCTGAAACGGAATGTTCAACTCTATGAGTTGAATGCAAACATCGCAAAGACGTTTCTGAGAATGCTTCTGTCTAGATTTGATATGAAGATATTGCCGTTTCCAACGAAATCTTCAAATCTATCCAAATGTCCACTTGCAGATTCAACAAAAAGTGTTTTTCAGAACTGCTCTATCAAAAGAAAGATCCACCTGTGTTAGATGAGTTCACACATCACAAACAAGTTTATTAGAATGCTTCTGTCTAGTTTTTATTTGAAGATATTTCCTTTCTCACCATAGACCTGAAAGCTGTCCTAATGTTCACTTCCAGATACTACAGAAAGAGTGTTTCAAAACTGCTGTACGAAAGGGAATGTTCAACTCTGTGACTTGAATGCACACATCAAAAAGAAGTTTCTGAGGATGCTTCTGTCAAAATTTGATATGAAGATATTCCCGTTTCCAACGAAATCTTCAAATCTATCCAAATGTCCACTTGCAGATTCAACAAAAAGTGTTTTTCAGAACTGCTCTATCAAAAGAAAGATCCACCTCTGTTAGCTGAGCTCACACATCACAAACAAGTTTACGAGAATGCTTCTGTCTAGTTTTTATTTGAAGATATTTCCTTTCTCACCATAGAGCTGAAAGCTGTCCTAATGTTCACTTCCAGATACTACAGAAAGAGTGTTTCAAAACTGCTGTACGAAAGGGAATGTTCAACTCTGTGACTTGAATGCACATATCACAAAGAAGTTTCTGAGAATGCTTCTGTCGATCTTTTATATGAAGATATTCCCGTTTCCAACGAAATCCTGAAATCTATCCAAATATCCCCTCGCAGATTCTACAAAAAGAGTGTTTCAAAACTGCTCTGTAAAAAGAAAGGTTCAACTCTGTTAGTTGAGTACACACATCACAAACAAGTTTCACAGAATGCTTCTTTCTAGCTTGCAGGGGAAGATATTCCCTTTATCACCATGGTCCTCAAACCGTCCGAAACGTCCACTTCCATATACTACAAAAAGAGCGTTTCAAACCTGCTCTAGGAAAGGCAATGTTCAACTCTGTGACTTGAATGCAGACATCACAGAGCAGTTTCTGAGAATGCTTCTGTCTAGATTTTATAGGAAGATATTCCCGTTTCCAACGATATCTTCACAGCTATCCCAATATCCACTTGCAGATTCTACAAAAAGAGTGTATCAAAACTGCTCTGTCAAAAGGAAGGTTCTTCTCTGTTAGGTGAGTGCATACGTCATAAAGGAGTTTCTGAGAATGTTTCTGTCTAGTGGTTATGGGAAGATATTTGCTTTTTCACCGTAGGCCTCAGAGCGCTCCAAATATCCACTTGCACATACTACAAAAAGAGTGCTTCAAAGCTGCTCTCTGAAACGGAATGTTCAACTGCTATGAGTTGAATGCAAACATCACAAAGACGTTTCTGAGAATGCTTCTGTCTAGATTTGATATGAAGATATTCCCGTTTCCAAAGAAATCTTCAAATCTATCCAAATGTCCACTTGCAGATTCAACAAAAAGTGTTTTTCAAAACTGCTGTATCAAAAGAAAGATCCACCTCTGTTAGCTGCGTTCACACATCACAAACAAGTTTATGAGAATGCTTCTGTCTAGTTTTTATTTGAAGATATTTCCTTTCTCACCATAGAGCTGAAAGCTGTCCTAATGTTCACTTCCAGATACTACAGAAAGAGTGTTTCAAAACTGCTGTACGAAAGGGAATGTTCAAATCTGTGACTTGAATGCACACATCACAAAGAAGTTTCTGAGGATGCTGCTGTCTACTTTTTATACGTAATCCCGTTTCCAACGAAATCCTCCAAGCTATCCAAATATCCACTTGCAGATTCCACAGAAAGACTGTTTCAAAAATGCTCTGTTAATAGAAAGGTTCAACTCGGTTAGCTGCGTGCATATATCCCAAAGAAGATTCTGAGATTGCTTCTGTCTAGTTTTTATGGGAAGATATTTCCCTTTTCACCGTAGGTGTCAAGGTGCTCCAAATGTCCACTTCCAGATACTACAAAGAGTGTTTCAAACCTACTCTGTGAAAGGGAATATTCAACTCTGTGACTTGAATGCAGATATCACAAAGAAGTTTCTGAGAATGCTTCTGTCGAGATTTTATATTAAGATATTCCCGTTTCCAACGAAATCCTGAAATCTATCCAAATATCCCCTCGCAGATTCCACAAAAAGAGTGTTTCAAAACTGCTCTGTAAAAAGAAAGGTTCAACTCTGTTAGTTGAGTACACACATCACAAACAAGTTTCACAGAATGCTTCTTTCTAGCTTGTAGGGGAAGATATTTCCTTTATCACCATGGGCCTCAAACGGCTCGAAATTTCCACTTCCATATACTACAAAAAGAGCGTTTCAAACCTGCTCTATGAAAGGCAATGTTGAACTCTGTGACTTGAATGCAGACATCACAGAGCAGTTTCTGAGCATGCTTCTGTCTAGATTTTATAGGAAGATATTCTCGTTTCCAACGAAATCTTCACAGCTATCCAAATATCCACTTGCAGATTCTACAAAAAGAGTGTATCAAAACTGCTCTGTGAAAAGGAAGGTTCTTCTCTGTTAGGTGAGTGCATACGTCATAAAGGAGTTTCTGAGATTGTTTCTGTCTAGTGGTTATGGGAAGATATTTGCTTTTTCACCGTAGGCCTCAGAGTGCTCCAAATATCCACTTGCACATACTACAAAAAGAGTGCTTCAAAGCTGCTCTCTGAAACGGAATGTTCAACTCTATGAGTTGAATGCAAACATGACAAAGACGTTTCTGAGAATGCTTCTGTCTAGATTTGATATGAA
The DNA here is from genome assembly GCF_000001405.40 of Homo sapiens. NCBI lineage: Eukaryota > Metazoa > Chordata > Mammalia > Primates > Hominidae > Homo > Homo sapiens. Next base: position 16,749,636 of record NC_000014.9, on the reverse strand, counting down.
GATATTCCCGTTTCCAACGAAATCTTCAAATCTATCCAAATGTCCACTTGCAGATTCAATTAAAAGGGTTTTTCATAACTGGTGTATCAAAAGAAAGACCCACCTCTGTTAGTTGAGATCACACATCACAAACAAGTTTATGAGAATGCTTCTGTCTAGTTTTTATTTGAAGATATTTCCTTTCTCACCATAGAGCTGAAAGCTGTCCTAATGTTCACTTCCAGATACTACAGAAAGAGTGTTTCAAAACTGCTGTACGAAAGGGAATGTTCAACTCTGTGACTTGAATGCACACATCACAAAGAAGTTTCTAAGGATGCTGCTGTCTACTTTTTATACATAATCCCGTTTCCAACGAAATCCTCCAAGCTATCCAAATATCCATTTGCAGATTCCACAGAAAGACTGTTTCAAAACTGCTCTGTCAATAGAAAGGTTCAACTCTGTTAACTGCGTGCATATATCCCAAAGAAGATTCTGAGATTGCTTCTGTCTAGTTTTTATGGGAAGATATTTCCCTTTCCACCGTAGGCGTCAAGGCGCTCCAAATGTCCACTTCCAGATACTACAAAAAGAGTGTTTCAAACCTACTCTGTGAAAGGGAATATTCAACTCTGTGACTTGAATGCACATATCACAAAGAAGTTTCTGAGAATGCTTCTGTCGAGATTTTATATGAAGATATTCCAGTTTCCAACGAAATCCTGAAATCTATCCAAATATCCCCTCGCAGATTCTACAGAAAGAGCGTTTCAAAACTGCTCTGTAAAAAGAAAGGTTCAACTCTGTTACTTGAGTACACACATCACAAACAAGTTTCACAGAATGCTTCTTTCTAGCTTGTAGGGGAAGATATTCCCTTTATCACCATGGGCCTCAAACCGTCCGAAACGTCCACTTCCATATACTACAAAAAGAGAGTTTCAAACCTGCTCTATGAAACGCAATGTTCAACTCTGTGACTTGAATGCAGACATCACAGAGCAGTTTCTGAGAATGCTTCTGTCTAGATTTTATAGGAAGATATTCCCGTTTCCAACGAAATCTTCACAGCTATCCAAATATCCACTTGCAGATTCTACAAAAAGAGTGTATCAAAACTGGTCTGTCAAAAGGAAGGTTCTTCTCTGTTAGGTGAGTGCATACGTCATAAAGGAGTTTCTGAGAATGTTTCTGTCTAGTGGTTTTGGGAAGATATTTGCTTTTTCACCGTAGGCCTCACAGCGCACCAAATATCCACTTGCACATACTACAAAAAGAGTGCCTCAAAGCTGCTCTCTGAAACGGAATGTTCAACTCTATGGGTTGAATGCAAACATCACAAAGACGTTTCTGAGAATGCTTCTGTCTAGATTTGATATGACGATATTCCCGTTTCCAACGAAATCTTCAAATCTATCCAAATGTCCACTTGCAGATTCAACAAAACGTGTTTTTCAGAACTGCTCTATCAAAAGAAAGATCCACCTCTGTTAGCTGAGTTCACACATCACAAACAAGTTGATGAGAATGCTTCTGTCTAGTTGTTATTTGAAGATATTTCCTTTCTCACCATAGACCTGAAAGCTGTCCTAATGTTCACTTCCAGATACTACAGAAAGAGTGTTTCAAAACTGCTGTACGAAAGGGAATGTTCAACTCTGTGACTTGAATGCACACATCACAAAGAAGTTTCTGAGGATGCTGCTGTCTACTTTTTATACGTAATCCCGTTTCCAACGAAATCCTCGAATCTATCCAAATATCCACTTGCAGATTCCACAGAAAGACTGTTTCAAAACTGCTCTGTCAATAGAAAGGTTCAACTCTGTTAGCTGCGTGCATATATCCCAAAGAAGATTCTGAGATTGCTTCGGTCTAGTTTGTATGGGAAGATATTTCCCTTTTCACCGTAGGCGTCAAGGCGCTCCAAATGTCCACTTCCAGATACTACAAAAAGAGTGTTTCAAACCTACTCTGTGAAAGGGAATATTCAACTCTGTGACTTGAATGCACATATCACAAAGAAGTTTCTGAGAATGCTTCTGTCGAGATTTTATATGAAGATATTCTCGTTTACAACGAAATCCTGAAATCTATCCAAATATCCCCTCGCAGATTCTACAAAAAGAGTGTTTCAAAACTGCTCTGTAAAAAGAAAGGTTCAACTCTGTTAGTTGAGTACACACATCACAAACAAGTTTCACAGAATGCTTCTTTCTAGCTTGTAGGGGAAGATATTCCCTTTATCACCATCGGCCTCAAACCGTGTGAAACGTCCACTTCCATATACTACAAAAAGAGCATTTCAAACCTGCTCTATGAAAGGCAATGTTCAACTCTGTGACTTGAATGCAGACATCACAGAGCAGTTTCTGAGAATGCTTCTGTCTAGATTTTATAGGAAGATATTCCCGTTTCCAACGAAATCTTCACAGCTATCCAAATATCCACTTGCAGATTCTACAAAAAGAGTGTATCAAAACTGCTCTGTCAAAAGGAAGGTTCTTCTCTGTTAGGTGAGTGCATACATCATAAAGGAGTTTCTGAGAATGTTTCTGTCTAGTGGTTATGGGAAGATATTTGCTTTTTCACCGTAGGCCTCAGTAGCGCTCCAAATATCCACTTGCACATACTACAAAAAGAGTGCTTCACAGCTGCTCTCTGAAAGGGAATGTTCAACTCTATGAGTTGAATGCAAACATCACAAAGACGTTTCTGAGAATGCTTCTGTCTAGTTTTGATATGAAGATATTCCCGTTTCCAACGAAATCTTCAAATCTATCCAAATGTCCACTTGCAGATTCAACAAAAAGTGTTTTTCAAAACTGCTATATGAAAAGAAAGATCCACCTCTGTTAGTTGAGTTCACACATCACAAACAAGTTTATGAGAATGCTTCTGTCTAGTTTTTATTTGAAGATATTTTCTTTCTCACCATAGACCTGAAAGCTCTCGTAACGTTCACTTCCAGATACTAGAGAAAGAGTGTTTCAAACCTGCTCTACGAAAGGGAATGTTGAACTCTGTGACTTGAATGCACACATCACAACGAAGTTTCTGAGAATGCTGCTGGCTACTTTTTATACGTAATCCCGTTTCCAACGAAATCCTCCAAGCTATCCAAATATCCATTTGCAGATTCCACAGAAAGACTTTTTCAAAACTGCTCTGTCAATAGAAAGGTTCAACTCTGTTAGCTGCGTGCATATATCCCAAAGAAGATTCTGAGATTGCTTCTGTCTAGTTTTTATGGGAATATATTTCCCTTTTCACCGTAGGCGTCAAGGCGCTCCAAATGTCCACTTCCAGATACTACAAAAAGAGTGTTTCAAACCTACTCTGTGAAAGGGAATATTCAACTCTGTGACTTGAATGCACATATCAAAAAGAAGTTTCTGAGAATGCTTCTGTCGAGCATTTTATATGAAGATATTCCCGTTTCCAACGAAATGCTGAAATGTATCCAAATATCCCCTCGCAGATTCTACAAAAAGAGTGTTTCAAAACTGCTCTGTAAAAAGAAAGGTTCAACTCTGTTAGTTGAGTACACACATCACAAACAAGTTTCACAGAATGCTTCTGTCTAGATTTTATAGGAAGATATTCCCGTTTCCAACGAAATCTTCACAGCTATCCAAATATCCACTTGCAGATTCCACAAAAAGAGTGTATCAAAACTGCTCTGTCAAAAGGAAGGTTCTTTTCTGTTAGGTGAGTGCATACGTCATAAAGGAGTTTCTGAGAATGTTTCTGTCTAGTGGTTATGGGAAGATATTTGCTTTTTCACCGTAGGCCTCAGAGCGCTCCAAATATCCACTTGCACATACTACAAAAAGAGTGCTTCAAACCTCCTCTCTGAAACGGAATGTTCAACTCTATGAGTTGAATGCAAACATCACAAAGACGTTTCTGAGAATGCTTCTGTCTAGATTTGATATGAAGATATTCCCGTTTCCAACGAAATCATCAAATCTATCCAAATGTCCACTTGCAGATTCAACAAAGTGTTTTTCAAAACTGCTGTATCAAAAGAAAGATCCACCTCTGTTAGCTGAGTTCACACTTCACAAACAAGTTTATCAGAAAGCTTCTGTCTAGTTTTTATTTGAAGATATTTCCTTTCTCACCATAGACCTGAAAGCTGTCCTAATGTTCACTTCCAGTTACTACAGAAAGAGTGTTTCAAAACTGCTGTACGAAAGGGAATGTTCAACTCTGTGACTTGAATGCACACATCTCAAAGAAGTTTCTGAGGATGCTGCTGTCTACTTTTTATACTTAATCCCGTTTCCAACGAAATCCTCCAAGTTATCCAAATATCCACTTGCAGATTCCACAGAAAGACTGTTTCAAAACTGCTCTGTCAATAGAAAGGTTCAACTCTGTTAGCTGCGTGCATATATCCCAAAGAAGATTCTGAGATTGCTTCTGTCTAGTTTTTATGGGAAGATATTTCCCTTTTCACCGTAGGCGTCAAGGCGCTCCAAATGTCCACTTCCAGATACTACAAAAAGAGTGTTTCAAACCTCCTCTGTGAAAGCGAATATTCAACTCTGTGACTTGAATGCACATATCACAAAGAAGTTTCTGAGAATGCTTCTGTCGAGATTTTATATGAAGATATTCCCGTTTCCAACGAAATCCTGAAATCTATCCAAATATCCCCTCGCAGATTCTACAAAAAGAGTGTTTCAAAGCTGCTCTGTAAAAAGAAAGGTTCAACTCTGTTAGTTGAGTACACACATCACAAACAAGTTTCATAGAATGCTTCTTTCTAGCTTGTAGGGGAAGATATTCCCTTTATCACCATGGGCCTCAAACCGTCCGATAAGTCCACTTCCATATAATACAAAAAGAGCGTTTCAAACCTGCTCTATGAAAGGCAATGTTCAACTCTGTGACTTGAATGCAGACATCACAGAGCAGTTTCTGAGAATGCTTCTGTCTAGATTTTATAGGAAGATATTCCCGTTTCCAACGAAATCTTCATAGCTATCCAAATATCCACTTGCAGATTCTACAAAAAGAGTGTATCAAAACTGCTCTGTCAAAAGGAAGGTTCTTCTCTGTTAGTTGAGTACATACTTCATAAAGGAGTTTCTGAGAATGCTTCTGTCTAGTGGTTATGGGAAGATATTTGCTTTTTCACCGTAGGCCTCAGAGCGCTCCAAATATCCACTTGCACATACTACAAAAAGAGTGCCTCACAGCTGCTCTCTGAAACGGAATGTTCAAATCTATGAGTTGAATGCAAACATCGCAAAGACGTTTCTGAGAATGCTTCTGTCTAGATTTGATATGAAGATATTCCCGTTTCCAACGAAATCTTCAAATCTATCCAAATGTGCACTTGCAGATTCAACAAAAAGTGTTTTTCAGAACTGCTCTATCAAAAGAAAGATCCACGTGTGTTAGCTGAGTTCACACATTACGAACAAGTTTATGAGAATGCTTCTGTCTAGTTTTTATTTGAAGATATTTCCTTTCTCACCATAGAGCTGAAAGCTGTCCTAATGTTCACTTCCAGATACTACAGAAAGAGTGTTTCCAAACTGCTGTACGAAAGGGAATGTTCAACTCTGTGACTTGAATGCACACATCACAAAGAAGTTTCGGAGGATGCTGCTGTCTACTTTTTATACGTAATCCCGTTTCCAACGAAATCCTCCAAGCTATCCAAATATCCACTTGCAGATTCCACAGAAAGACTGTTTCAAAACTGCTCTGTCAATAGAAAGGTTCAACTCTGTTAGCTCCGTGCATATATCCCAAAGAAGATTCTGAGATTGCTTCTGTCTAGTTTTTATGGGAAGATATTTCCCTTTTCACCGTAAGCGTCAAGGCGCTCCAAATGTCCACTTCCAGATACTACAAAAAGAGTGTTTCAAACCTACTCTGTGAAAGGGAATATTCAACTCTGTGACTTGAATGCACATATCACAAAGAAGTTTCTGAGAATGCTTCTGTCGAGATTTTATATGAAGATATTCCCCTTTCCAACGAAATCCTGAAATCTATCCAAATATCCCCTCGCAGATTCTACAAAAAGAGTGTTTCAAAACTGCTCTGTAGAAAGAAAGGTTCAACTCTGTTAGTTGAGTACACACATCACAAACAAGTTTCACAGAATGCTTCTTTCTAGCTTGTAGGGGAAGATATTCCCTTTATCACCATGGGCCTCAAACCGTCCGAAACGTCAACTTCCATATACTAAAAAAAGAGCGTTTCAAACCTGCTCTATGAAAGGCAATGTTCAACTCTGTGACTTGAATGCAGACATCACAGAGCAGTTTCTGAGAATGCTTCTGTCTAGATTTTATAGGAAGATATTCCCGTTTCCAACGAAATCTTCACAGCTATCCAAATATCCACTTGGAGATTCTACAAAAAGAGTGTATCAAAAATGCTCTGTCAAAAAGAAGGTTCTTCTCTGTTAGTTGAGTACATACGTCATAAAGGAGTTTCTGAGAATGTTTCTGTCTAGTGGTTATGGGAAGATATTTGCTTTTTCACCGTAGGCCTCAGAGCGCTCAAAATATCCACTTGCACATACTACAAAAAGAGTGCCTCAAAGCTGCTCTCTGAAACGGAATGTTCAACTCTATGAGTTGAATGCCAACATCACAAAGACGTTTCTGAGAATGCTTCTGTCTAGATTTGATATGAAGATATTCCCGTTTCCAACGACATCTTCAAATCTATCCAAATGTCCACTTGCAGATTCAACAAAACGTGTTTTTCAGAACTGCTCTATCAAAAGAAACATCCACCTCTGTTAGCTGAGTTCACACATAACAAACAAGTTCTTGAGAATGCTTTCTGTCTAGTTTTTATTTGAAGATATTTCCTTTCTCACCATAGACCTGAAAGCTGTCCTAATGTTCACTTCCAGATACTACAGAAAGAGTGTTTCAAAACTGCTGTACGAAAGGGAATGTTCAACTCTTTGACTTGAATGCACACATCACAAAGAAGATTCTGAGGATGCTGCTGTCTACTTTTTATACGTAATCCCGTTTCCAACGAAATCCTCCAAGCTATCCAAATATCCACTTGCAGATTCCACAGAAAGACTGTTTCAAAACTGCTCTGTCAATAGAAAGGTTCAACTCTGTTAGCTGCGTGCATATATCCCAAAGATGATTCTGAGATTTCTTCTGTCTAGTTTTTATGGGAAGATATTTCCCTTTTCACTGTAGGCGTCAAGGCGCTCCAAATGTCCACTTCCAGATACTACAAAAAGAGTGTTTCAAACCGACTCTGTGAAAGGGAATATTCAACTCTGTGACTTGAATGCAGATATCACAAAGAAGTTTCTGAGAATGCTTCTGTCGAGATTTTATATGAAGATAATCCCCTTTCCAACGAAATCCTGAAATCTATCCAAATATCCCCTCGCAGATTCTACAAAAAGAGTGTTTCAAAACTGCTCTGTAAAAAGAAAGGTTCAACTCTGTTAGTTGAGTACACACATCACAAACAAGTTTCACAGAATGCTTGTCTTTCTAGCTTGTAGGGCAAGATATTCCCTTTATCACCATGGGCCTCAAACCGTCCGAAACGTCCACTTCCATATACTACAAAAAGAGCGTTTCAAACCTGCTCTATGAAAGGCAATGTTCAACTCTGTGACTTGAATGCAGACATCACAGAGCAGTTTCTGAGAATGCTTCTGTCTAGATTTTATAGGAAGATATTCCCGTTTCCAACGAAATCTTCACAGCTATCCCAATATCCTCTTGCAGATTCTACAAAAAGAGTGTATCAAAACTGCTCTGTCAAAAGGAAGGTTCTTCTCTGTTAGGTGAGTGCATACGTCATAAAGGAGTTTCTGAGAATGTTTTCTGTCTAGTGGTTATGGGAAGATATTTGCTTTTTCACAGAAGGCCTCAGAGCGCTCCAAATATCCACTTGCACATACTACAAAAAGAGTGCCTCAAAGCTGCTCTCTGAAACGGAATGTTCAACTTTATGAGTTGAATGCAAACATCACAAAGACGTTTCCGAGAATGCTTCTGTCTACATTTGATATGAAGATATTCCCGTTTCCAACGAAATCTTCAAATCTATCCAAATGTCCCCTTGCAGATTCAACAAAAAGTGTTTTTCAGAACTGCTCTATCAAAAGAAAGATCCACCTCTGTTAGCTGAGTTCACACATCACAAACAAGTTTATGAGAATGCTTCTGTCTAGTTTTTATTTGAAGATATTTCCTTTCTCACCATAGACCTGAAAGCTGTCCTAATGTTCACTTCCAGATGCTACAGAAAGAGTCTTTCAAAACTGGTGTACGAAAGGGAATGTTCAACTCTGTGACTTGAATGCACACATCACAAAGAAGTTTCTGAGGATGCTGCTGTCTACTTTTTATACGTAATCCCGTTTCCAACGAAATCCTCCAAGCTATCCAAATATCCACTTGCAGATTCCACAGAAAGACTGTTTCAAAACTGCTCTGTCAATAGAAAGGTTCAACACTGTTAGCTGCGTGCATATATCCCAAAGAAGATTCTGAGATTGCTTCTGTCTCGTTTTTATGGGAAGATATTTCCCTTTTCACCGTAGGCGTCAAGGCGCTCCAAATGTCCACTTCCAGATACTACAAAAAGAGTGTTTCAAACCTACTCTGTGAAAGGGAATATTCAACTCTGTGACTTGAATGCACATATCACAAAGAAGTTTCTGAGAATGCTTCTGTCGAGATTTTATATGAAGATATTCCCGTTCCCAACGAAATCCTGAAATCTATCCAAATATCCCCTCGCAGATTCTACAAAAAGAGTGTTTCAAAACTGCTCTGTAAAAAGGAAGGTTCAACTCTGTTAGTTGAGTACACACATCACAAACAAGTTTCACAGAATGCTTCTTTCTAGCTTGTAGGGGAAGATATTCCCTTTATCACCATGGGCCTCAAACCGTCCGAAACGTCTACTTCCATATACTACAAAAAGAGCGTTTCAAACCTGCTCTATGAAAGGCAATGTTCAACTCTGTGACTTGAATGCAGACATCACAGCAGCAGTTTCTGAGAATGCTTCTGTCTAGATTTTATAGGAAGATATTCCCGTTTCCAACGAAACCTTCACAGCTATCCAAATATCCACTTGCAGATTCTACAAAAAGAGTGTATCAAAACTGCTCTGTCAAAAGGAAGGTTCTTCTCTGTTAGGTGAGTGCATACGTCATACAGGAGTTTCTGAGAATGTTTCTGTCTAGTGGTTATGGGAAGCATATTTGCTTTTTCACCGTAGGCCTCAAAGCGCTCCAAATGTCCACTTGCACATACTACAAAAAGAGTGCTTCAAAGCTGCTCTCTGAAACGGAATGTTCAACTCTATGAGTTGAATGCAAACATCACAAAGACGTTTCTGAGAATGCTTCTGTCTAGATTTGATATGAAGATATTCCCGTTTCCAACGAAATTTTCAAATCTATACAAATGTCCACTTGCAGATTCAACAAAGTGTTTTTCAAAACTGCTGTATCAAAAGAAAGATCCACCTCTGTTAGCTGAGTTCACACTTCACAAACAAGTTTATCAGACTGCTTCTGTCTAGTTTTTATTTGAAGATATTTCCTTTCTCACCATAGACCTGAAAGCTGTCCTAATGTTCACTTCCAGATACTACAGAAAGAGTGTTTCAAAACTGCTGTACGAAAGGGAATATTCAACTCTGTGACTTGAATGCACACATCACAAAGAAGTTTCTGAGGATGCGGCTTTCTACATTTTATACGTAATCCCGTTTCCAACGAAATCCTCCAAGCTATCCAAATATCCACTTGCAGATTCCACAGAAAGACTGTTTCAAAACTGCTCTGTCAATAGAAAGGTTCAACTCTGTTAGCTGCGTGCATATATCCCAAAGAAGATTCTGAGATTGCTTCTGTCTACTTTTTATGAGAAGGTATTTCCCTTTTCACCGTAGGCGTCAAGGCGCTCCAAATGTCCACTTCAGATACTACAAAAAGAGTGTTTCAAACCTACTCTGTGAAAGGGAATATTCAACTCTGTGACTTGAATGCACATATCACAAAGAAGCTTATGAGAATGCTTCTGTCGAGATTTTATATGAAGATATTCCCGTTTCCAACTAAATCCTGAAATCTATCCAAACTTCCCCTCGCAGATTCTACAAAAAGAGTGTTTCAAAACTGCTCTGTAAAAAGAAAGGTTCAACTCTGTTAGTTGAGTACACACATCACAAACAAGTTTCACAGAATGCTTCTTTCTAGCTCGTAGGGGAAGATATTCCCTTTATCACCATGGGCCTCAAACCATCCGAATCGTCCACTTCCATATACTACAAAAAGAGCGTTTCAAACCTGCTCCATGAAAGGCAATGTTCAACTCTGTGACTTGAATGCAGACATCACAGAGCAGTTTCTGAGAATGCTTCTGTCTAGATTTTATAGGAAGATATTCCCGTTTCCAGCAAAATCTTCACAGCTATCCAAATATCCACTTGCAGATTCTACAAAAAGAGTGCATCAAAACTGCTCTGTCAAATGGAAGGTTCTTCTCTGTTAGGTGAGTGCATACGTCATAAACGAGTTTCTGAGAATGTTTCTGTCTAGTGGTTATGGGAAGATATTTGCTTTTTCACCGAAGGCCTCAGAGCGCTCCCAATATCCACTTGCACATACTACAAAATGAGTGCCTCAAAGCTGCTCTCTGAAACGGAATGTTCAAATACTATGAGTTGAATGCAAACATCACAAAGACGTTTCCGAGAATGCTTTCTGTCTAGATTTGATATGAAGATATTCCCGTTTCCAACGAAATCTTCAAATCTATCCAAATGTCCACTTGCAGATTCAACGAAAAGTGTTTTTCAGAACTGCTCTATCAAAAGAAAGATCCACCTCTGTTAGCTGAGTTCAGACATCGCAAACATGTTTATGAGAATGCTTCTGTCTAGTTTTTATTTGAAGATATTTCCTTTCTCACCATAGACCTGAAAGCTGTCCTAATGTTCACTTCCAGATACTACAGAAAGAGTGTTTCAAAAATGCTGTACGAAAGGGAATATTCAACTCTGTGACTTGAATGCGCACATCACAAAGAAGTTTCTGAGGATGCTGCTGTCTACTTTTTATACGTAATCCCGTTTCCAACGAAATCCTCCAATCTATCAAAATATCCACTTGCAGATTCCACAGAAAGACTGTTTCAAAACTGCTCTGTCAATAGAAAGGTTCAACTCTGTTAGCTGCGTGCACATATCCCAAAGAAGATTCTGAGATTGCTTCTGTCTAGTATTTATGGGAAGATATTTCCCTTTTCACCGTAGGTGTCAAGGAGCTCCAATTGTCCACTTCCAGATACTACAAAAAGAGTGTTTCAAACCTACTCTGCGAAAGGGAATATTCAACTCTGTGACTTGAAGGCAGATATCACAAAGAAGTTTCTGAGAATGCTTCTGTCGAGATTTTAAATGAAGATATTCCCGTTTCCAACGAAATCCTGAAATCTATCCAAATATCCCCTCGCAGATTCTACAAAAAGAGTGTTTCAAAACTGCTCTGTAAAAAGAAAGGTTCAACTCTGTTAGTTGAGTATACACATCACAAACAAGTTTCACAGAATGCTTCTTTCTAGCTTGTAGGGGAAGATATTCCCTTTATCACCATGGGCCTCAAACCGTCCGAAACGTCTACTTCCATATACTACAAAAAGAGCGTTTCAAACCTGCTCTATGAAAGGCAATGTTCAACTCTGTGACTTGAATGCAGACATCACAGGGCAGTTTCTGAGAATGCTTCTGTCTAGATTTTATAGGAAGATATTCCCGTTTCCAACGAAATCTTCACAGCTATCCAAATATCCACTTGCTGATTCTACAAAAAGAGTGTATCAAAACTGCTCTGTCAAAAGGAAGGTTCTTCTCTGTTAGGTGAGTGCATACGTCATAAAGCAGTTTCTGAGAATGTTTCTGTCTAGTGGTTATGGGAAGATATTTGCTTTTTCCCCGTAGGCCTCAGGGCGCTCCAAATATCCACTTGCACATACTACAAAAAGAGTGCCTCAAAGCTGCTCTCTGAAAGGGAATGTTCAACTCTATGAGTTGAATGCAAACATCGCAAAGACGTTTCTGAGAATGCTTCTGTCTAGATTTGATATGAAGATATTCCCGTTTCCAACGAAATCTTCAAATCTATCCAAATCTCCACTTGCAGATTCAACAAAAAGTGTTTTTCAGAACTGCTCTATCAAAAGAAAGATCCACCTCTGTTAGCTGAGTTGACACATCACAAACAAGTTTATGAGAATGCTTCTGTCTAGTTTTTATTTGAAGATATTTCCTTTCTCACCATAGAGCTGAAAGCTGTCCTAATGTTCACTTCCAGATACTACAGAAAGAGTGTTTCAAAACTGCTGTACGAAAAGGAATGTTCAACTCTGTGACTTGAATGCACACATCACAAAGAAGTTTCTGAGGATGCTGCTGTCTACTTTTTATACGTAATCCCGTTTCCAACGAAATCCTCCAAGCTATCCAAATATCCACTTGCAGATTCCACAGAAAGACTGTTTCAAAACTGCTCTGTCAATAGAAAGGTTCAACTCTGTTAGTTGCGTGCATATATCCCAAAGAAGATTCTGAGATTCCTTCTGTCGAATTTTTATGGGAAGATATTTCCCTTTTCACCGTAGGCATCAAGGCGCTCCAAATGTCCACTTCCAGATACTACAAAAAGAGTGTTTCAAACCTACTCTGTGAAAGGGAATATTCAACTCTGTGACTTGAATGCACATATCACAAAGAAGTTTCTGAGAATGCTTCTGTCGAGATTTTATATGAAGATATTCCCCTTTCCAACGAAATTCTGAAATCTATCCAAATATGCCCTCGCAGATTCTACAAAAAGAGTGTTTCAAAACTGCTCTGTAAAAAGAAAGGTTCAACTCTGTTAGTTGAGTACACACCTCACAAACAAGTTTCACAGAATGCTTCTTTCTAGCTTGTAGGGGAAGATATTCCCTTTATCACCATGGGCCTCAAACCGTCTGAAACGTCCACTTCCATATACTACAAAAAGAGCGTTTCAAACCTGCTCTATGAAAGGCAATGATCAACTCTGTGACTTGAATGCAGACATCACAGAGCAGTTTCTGAGAATGCTTCTGTCCAGACTTTATAGGAAGATATTCCCGTTTCCAACGAAATCTTCACAGCTATCCAAATATCCACTTGCAGATAGTACAAAAAGAGTGTATCAAAAATGCTCTGTCAAAAGGAAAGTTCTTCTCTGCTAGTTGAGTACATACGTCATAAAGAAGTTTCTGAGAATGTTTCTGTCTAGTGGTTATGGAAAGATATTTGCTTTTTCACCGTAGGCCTCAGAGCGCTCCAAATATCCACTTGCACATACTACAAAAAGAGTGCCTCAAATCTGCTTTCTGAAACGGAATGTTCAACTCTATGAGTTGAATGCAAACAACGCAAAGACGTTTCTGAGAATGCTTCTGTCTAGACTTGATATGAAGATATTCCCGTTTCCAACGAAATCTTCAAATCTATCCAAATGTCCACTTGCAGATTCAACAAAAAGTGTTTTTCAGAACTGCTCTATCAAAAGAAAGATCCACCTCTGTTAGCTGAGTTCACACATCACAAACAAGTTTATGAGAATGCTTCTGTCTAGTTTTTATTTGAAGATATTTCCTTTCTCACCATAGACCTGAAAGCTGTCCTAATGTTCACTTCCAGATACTACAGAAAGAGTGTTTCAAAACTGCTGTACGAAAGGGAATGTTCAACTCTGTGACTTGAATGCACCCATCACAAAGAAGTTTCTGAGGATGCTGCTGTCTACTTTTTATACGTAATCCCGTTTCCAACGAAATCCTCCAAGCTATCCAAATATCCACTTGCAGATTCCACAGAAAGACTGTTTCAAAACTGCTCTGTCAATATAAAGGTTCAACTCTATTAGCTGCGTACATATATCCCAAAGAAGATTCTGAGATTGCTTCTGTCTAGTTTTTATGGGAAGATATTTCCCTTTTCACCGTAGGCGTCAAGGCGCTCCAAATGTCCACTTCCAGATACTACAAAAAGAGTGTTTCAAACCTACTACTGTGAAAGGGAATATTCAACTCTGTGACTTGAATGCACATATCACAAGGAAGTTTCTGAGAATGCTTCTGTCAAGATTTTATATGAAGATATTCCCGTTTCCAACGAAATCCTGAAATGTATCCAAATATCCCCTCGCAGATTCTACAAAAAGAGTGTTTCAAAACTGCTCTGTAAAAAGAAAGGTTCAACTCTGTTAGTTGAGTACACACATCACAAACAAGTTTCACAGAATGCTTCTTTCTAGCTTGTAGGGGAAGATATTCCCTTTATCACCATGGGCCTCAAACCGTACGAAACGTCCACTTCCATATACTACAAAAAGAGCGTTTCAAACCTGCTCTAGGAAAGGCAGTGTTCAACTCTGTGACTTGAATGCAGACATCACAGAGCAGTTTCTGAGAATGCTTCTGTCTAGATTTTATAGGAAGATATTCCCGTTTCCAACGAAATCTTCACAGCTATCCAAATATCCACTTGCAGATTCTACAAAAAGAGTGTATCAAAACTGCTCTGTCAAAAGGAAGGTTCTTCTCTGTTAGGTGAGTACATACGTCATAAAGGAGTTTCTGAGAATGTTTCTGTCTAGTGATTATGGGAAGATATTTGCTTTTTCACCGTAGGCCTCAGAGCGCTCCAAATATCCACTTGCATATACTACAAAAAGAGTGCTTCAAAGCTGCTCTCTGAAACGGAATGTTCAACTCTATGAGTTGAATGCAAACATCACAAAGACGTTTCTGAGAATGCTTCTGTCTAGATTTGATATGAAGATATTCCCGTTTCCAACGAAATCTTCAAATCTATCCAAATGTCCACTTGCAGATTCAACAAAAAGTGTTTTTCAAAACTGCTGTATCAAAAGAAAGATCCACGTCTGTTAGCTGAGTTCAGACATCACAAACAAGTTTATGAGAATGCTTCTGTCTTGTTTTTATTTGAAGATATTTCCTTTCTCACCATAGACCTGAAAGCTGTCATAATGTTCACTTCCAGATACTACAGAAAGAGTGTTTCAAAACTGCTGTACGAAAAGGAATGTTCAACTCTGTGACTTGAATGCACACATCACAAAGAAGTTTCTGAGGATGCTGCTGTCTACTTTTTATACGTAATCCCGTTTCCAAAGAAATCCTCCTAGCTATCCAAATATCCACTTGCAGATTCCACAGAAAGACTGTTTCAAAACTGCTCTGTCAATAGAAAGGTTCAACTCTGTTAGCTGCGTGCATATATCCCAAAGAAGATTCTGAGATTGCTTCTGTCTAGTTTTTATGGGAAGATATTTCCCTTTTCACCGTAGGCGTCAAGGCGCTCCAAATGTCCACTTCCAGATACTACAAAAAGAGTGTTTCAAACCTACTCTGTGAAAGGGAATATTCAACTCTGTGACTTGAATGCACATATCACAAAGAAGTTTCTGAGGATGCTTCTGTCGAGATTTTATATGAAGATATTCCGGTTTCCAACGAAATCCTGAAATCTATCCAAATATCCCCTCGCAGATTCTACAAAAAGAGTGTTTCAAAACTGCTCTGTAAAAAGAAAGGTTCAACTCTGTTAGTTGAGTACACACATCACAAACAAGATTCACAGAATGCTTCTTTCTAGCTTGTAGGGGAAGATATTCTCATTATCACCATGGTCCTCAAACCGTCCGAAACGTCCACTTTCATATACTACAAAAAGAGCGTTTCAAACCTGCTCTAGGAAAGGCAATGTTCAACTCTGTGACTTGAATGCAGACATCACAGAGCAGTTTCTGAGAATGCTTCTGTCTAAATTTTATAGGAAGATACTCCCGTTTCCAACGAAATCTTCACAGCTATCCAAATATCCACTTGCAGATTCTACAAAAAGAGTGTATCAAAACTGCTCTGTCAAAAGGAAGGTTCTTTTCTGTTAGGTGAGTGCATACGTCATAAAGGATTTTCTGAGAATGCTTCTGTCTAGTGGTTATGGGAAGATATTTGCTTTTTCACCGTAGACCTCAGAGCGCTCCAAATATCCACTTGCACATACTACAAAAAGAGTGCCTCAAAGCTGCTCTCTGAAACGGAATGTTCTACTCTATGAGTTGAATGCAAACATCACAAAGACGTTTCTGAGAATGCTTCTGTCTAGATTTGATATGAAGATATTCCCGTTTCCAACGAAATCTTCAAATCTATCCAAATGTCCACTTGCAGATTCAACAAAAAGTGTTTTTCAGAACTGCTCTATCAAAAGAAAGATCCACCTCTGTTAGCTGAGTTCACACTTCACGAACAAGTTTATCAGAATGCTTCTGTCTAGTTTTTATTTGAAGATATTTCCTTTCTCACCATAGAGCTGAAAGCTGTCCTAATGTTCACTTCCAGATACTACAGAAAGAGTGTTTCAAAACTGTTGTACGAAAGGGAATGTTCAACTCTGTGACTTGAATGCACACATCACAAAGAAGTTTCTGAGGATGCTGCTGTCTACTTTTGATACGTAATCCCGTTTCCAACGAAATCCTCCAAGCTATCCAAATATCCACTTGCAGATTCCACAGAAAGACTGTTTCAAAACTGCTCTGTCAATAGAAAGGTTCAACTCTGTTAGCTGTGTGCATATATCCCAAAGAAGATTCTGAGATTGCTTCTGTCTAATTTTTGTGGGAAGATATTTCGCTTTTCACCGTAGGTGTCAAGGCGCTCCAAATGTCCACTTCCAGATACTACAAAAAGATTGTTTCAAACCTACTCTGTGAAAGGGAATATTCAACTCTGTGACTTGAATGCACATATCACAAAGAAGTTTCTGAGAATGCTTCTGTCGAGATTTTATAGGAAGATATTCCCGTTTCCAACGAAATCCTGAAATCTATCCAAATATCCCCTCGCAGATTCTAAAAAAAGAGTGTTTCAAAACTGTTCTGTAAAAAGAAAGGTTCAACTCTGTTAGTTGAGTACACACATCACAAACAAGTTTCACAGAATGCTTCTTTCTAGCTTGTAGGGGAAGATATTCCCTTTATCACCATGGGCCTCAAACCGTCCGAAACGTCCGCTTCCATATACTACAAAAAGAACGCTTCAAACCTGCTCTATGAAAGACAATGTTCAACTCTGTGACTTGAATGCAGACATCACAGAGCAGATTCTGAGAATGCTTCTGTCTAGATTTTATAGGAAGATATTCCCGTTTCCAACGAAATCTTCACAGCTATCCAAATATCCACTTGCAGATTCTACAAAAAGAGTGTATGAAAACTGCTCTGTCAAAAGGAAGGTTCTTCTCTGTTAGGTGAGTGCATACGTTATAAAGGAGTTTCTGAGAATGTTTCTGTCTAGTGGTTATGGGAAGATATTTGCTTTTTCACCGTAGGCCTCAGAGCGCTCCAAATATCCACTTGCACATACTACAAAAAGAGTGCCTCAAAGCTGCTCTCTGAAACGGAATGTTCAACTCTATGAGTTGAATGCAAACATCACAAAGACGTTTCTGAGAATACTTCTGTCTAGATTTGATATGAAGATATTGCCGTTTCCAACGAAATCTTCAAATCTATCCAAATGTCCACTTGCAGATTCAACAAAAAGTGTTTTTCAGAACTGCTCTATCAAAAGAAAGATCCACCTCTGTTAGCTGAGTTCACACATCACAAACAAGTTTATGAGAATGCTTCTGTCTAGTTTTTATTTGAAGATATTTTGTTTCTCACCATAGAGCTGAAAGCTGTCCTAATGTTCACTTCCAGATACTACAGAAAGAGTGTTTCAAAACTGCTGTACGAAAGGGAATGTTCAACTCTGTGACTTGAATGCACACATCACAAAGAATTTTCTGAGGATGCTGCTGTCTACTTTTTATACGTAATCCGGTTTCCAACGAAATCCTCCAAGCTATCCAAATATCCACTTGCAGATTCCACAGAAAGACTGTTTCAAAACTGCTCTGTCAATAGAAAGGTTCAACTCTGTTAGCTGCGTGCATATATCCCAAAGAAGATTCTGAGATTGCTTCTGTCTAGTTTTTATGGGAAGATATTTCCCTTTCCACCGTAGGTGTCAAGGAGCTCCAAATGTCCACTTCCAGATACTACAAAAAGAGTGTTTCAAACCTACTCTGTGAAAGGGAATATTCAACTCTGTGACTTGAATGCACATATCACAAAGAAGTTTCTGAGAATGCTTCTGTCGAGATTTTATATGAAGTTATTCCCGTTTCCAACGAAATCCTGAAATCTATCCAAATATCCCCTCGCAGATTCTACAAAAAGAGTGTTTCAAAACTGCTCTGTGAAAGGGAATATTCAACTCTGTGACTTGAATGCAGATATCACAAAGAAGTTTCTGAGAATGCTTCTGTCGAGATTTTATATGAAGATATTCCGGTTTCCAACGAAATCCTGAAATCTATCCAAATATCCCCTCGCAGATTCTACAAAAAGAGTGTTTCAAAACTGCTCTGTAAAAAGAAAGGTTCAACTCTGTTAGTTGAGTACACACATCACAAACAAGTTTCACAGAATGCTTCTGTCTAGATTTTATAGGAAGATATTCCCGTTTCCAACGAAATCTTCACAGCTATCCCAATATCCACTTGCAGATTCTACAAAAAGAGTGTATCAAAACTGCTCTGTCAAAAGGAAGGTTCTTCTCTGTTAGGTGAGTGCATACAGTCATAAAGGAGTTTCTGAGAATGTTTCTGTCTAGTGGTTATGGGAAGATATTTGCTTTTTCACCGTAGGCCTCAGAGCGCTCCAAATATCCACTTGCACATACTACAAAAAGTGTGCCTCAAAGCTGCTCTCTGAAACGGAATGTTCAAATCTATGAGTTGAATGCAAACATCACAAAGACGTTTCTGAGAATGCTTCTGTCTAGACTTGATATGAAGATATTCCCGTTTCCAACGACATCTTCAAATCTATCCAAATGTCCACTTGCAGATTCAACAAAAAGTGTTTTTCAGAACTGCTCTATCAAAAGAAAGATCCACCTCTGTTAGCTGAGTTCACACATCACAAACAAGTTTATGAGAATGCTTCTGTCTAGTTTTTATTTGAAGATATTTCCTTTCTCACCATAGACCTGAAAGCTGTCCTAATGTTCACTTCCAGATACTACAGAAAGAGTGTTTCAAAACTGCTGTACGAAAGGGAATGTTCAACTACTGTGACTTGAATGCACACATCACAAAGAAGTTTCTGAGGATGCGTGCTGTCTACTTTTTATACGTAATCCCGTTTCCAACGAAATCCTCCAAGCTATCCAAATATCCACTTGCAGATTCCACAGAAAGACTGTTTCAAAACTGCTCTGTCAATAGAAAGGTTCAACTCTGTTAGCTGCGTGCATATATCCCAAAGAAGATTCTGAGATTGCTTCTGTCTAGTTTTTATGGGAAGATATTTCCCTTTTCACCGTAGGCGTCAAGGCGCTCCAAATGTCCACTTCCAGATACTACAAAAAGAGTGTTTCAAACCTACTCTGTGAAAGGGAATATTCAACTCTGTGACTTGAATGCACATATCACAAAGAAGTTTCTGATAATGCTTCTGTCGAGATTTTATATGAAGATATTCCCGTTTCCAACGAAATCCTGAAATCTATACAAATATCCCCTCGCAGATTCTACAAAAAGAGAGTTTCAAAACTGCTCTGTAAAAAGAAAGGTTCAACTCTGTTAGTTGAGTACACACATCACAAACAAGTTTCACAGAATGCTTCTTTCTAGCTTTTAGGGGAAGATATTCCCTTTATCACCATGGGCCTCCAACCGTCCGAAACATCCACTTCCATATACTACAAAAAGAGCGTTTCAAACCTGCTCTATGAAAGGCAATGTTCAACTCTGTGACTTGAATGCAGACATCACAGAGCAGTTTCTGAGAATGCTTCTGTCTAGATTTTATAGGAAGGTATTCCCGTTTCCAACGAAATCTTCACAGCTATCCAAATATCCTCTTGCAGATTCTACAAAAAGAGTGTATCAAAACTGCTCTGTCAAAAGGAAGGTCCTTCTCTGTTATTTGAGTACATACGTCATAAAGGGGTTTCTGAGAATGTTTCTGTCTAGTGGTTATGGGAAGATATTTGCTTTTTCACCGAAGGCCTCAGAGCGCTCCAAATATCCACTTGCACATACTACAAAAAGAGTGCTTCAAATCTGCTCTCTGAAAGGGAATGTTCAACTCTATGAGTTGAATGCAAACATCACAAAGACGTTTCTGACAATGCTTCTGTCTAGATTTGATATGAAGATATTCCCGTTTCCAACGAAATCTTCAAATCTATCCAAATGTCCACTTGCAGATTCAACAAAAAGTGTTTTTCAGAACTGCTCTATCAAAAGAAAGATCCACCTCTGTTAGCTGAGTTCACACACCACAAACAAGTTTATGAGAATGCTTCTGTCTAGTTTTTATTTGAAGATATTTCCTTTCTCACCATAGAGCTGAAAGCTGTCCAAATGTTCACTTCCAGATACTACAGAAAGAGTGTTTCAAAACTGCTGTACGAAAGGGAATGTTCAACTCTGTGACTTGAATGCACACATCACAAAGAACTTTCTGAGGATGCTGCTGTCTACTTTTTATACGTAATCCCGTTTCCAACGAAATCCTCCAAGCTATCCAAATATCCACTTGCAGATTCCACAGAAAGACTGTTTCTAATCTGCTCTGTCAATAGAAAGGTTCAACTCTGTTAGCTGCGTGCATATATCCCAAAGATGATTCTGAGATTTCTTCTGTCTAGTTTTGATGGGAAGATACTTCCCTTTTCACCGTAGGCGTCAAGGCGCTCCAAATGTCCACTTCCAGATACTACAAAAAGAGTGTTTCAAACCTACTCTGTGAAAGGGAATATTCAACTCTGTGACTTGAATGCACATATCACAAAGAAGTTTCTGAGAATGCTTCTGTCGAGATTTTATATGAAGATATTCCCGTTTCCAACGAAATCCTGAAATGTATCCAAATATCCCCTCGCAGATTCTACAAAAAGAGTGTTTCAAAACTGCTCTCTAAAAAGAAAGGTTCAACTCTGTTAGTTGAGTACACACATCACAAACAAGTTTCACAGAATGCTTCTTTCTAGCTTGTAGGGGAAGATATTCCCTTTATCACCATGGGCCTCAAACCGTCCGAAACGTCCACTTCCATATACTACAAAAAGAGCGTTTCAAACCTGCTGTATGAAAGGCAATGTTCAACTCTGTGACTTGAATGCAGACATCACAGAGCAGTTTCTGAGAATGCTTCTGTCTAGTATTTTATAGGAAGATATTCCCGTTTCCAACGAAATCTTCACAGCTATCCAAATATCCACTTTCAGATTCTACAAAAAGAGTGTATCAAAAGTGCTCTGTCAAAAGGAAGGTTCTTCTCTGTTAGGTGAGTGCATACGTCATAAAGGAGTTTCTGAGAATGTTTCTGTCTAGTGGTTATGGGAAGATATTTGCTTTTTCACCGTAGGCCTCAGAGCGCTCCAAATATCCACTTGCACATACTACAAAAAGAGTGCCTCAAAGCTGCTCTCTGAAACGGAATGTTCAACTCTATGAGTTGAATGCAAACATCACAAAGACGTCTCTGAGAATGCTTCTGTCTAGATTTGATATGAAGATATTCCCGTTTCCAAAGAAATCTTCAAATCTATCCAAATGTCCACTTGCAGATTCAACAAAAAGTGTTTTTCAGAACTCCTCTATCAAAAGAAAGATCCACCTCTGTTAGCTGAGTTCACACATCACAAACAAGTTTATGAGAATGCTTCTGTCTAGTTTTTATTTGAAGATATTTCCTTTCTCACCATAGACCTGAAAGCTGTCCTAATGTTCACTCCCAGATACTACAGAAAGAGTGTTTCAAAACTGCTGTACGAAAGGGAATGTTCAACTCTGTGACTTGAATGCACACATCACAAAGAAGCTTCTGAGGATGCTGCTGTCTACTTTTTATACGTAATCCCGTTTCCAATGAAATCCTCCAAGCTATCCAAATATCCACTTGCAGATTCTACAGAAAGACTGTTTCAAAACTGCTCTGTCAATAGAAAGGTTCAACTCTGTTAGCTGCGTGCATATATCCCAAAGAAGATTCTGAGATTGCTTCTGTCTAGTTTTTATGGGAAGATATTTCCCTTTTCATCGTAGGTGTCAAGGCGCTCCAAATGTCCACTTCCAGATACAACAAAAAGAGTGTTTCAAACCTACTCTGTGAAAGGGAATATTCAACACTGTGACTTGAATGCACATATCACAAAGAAGTTTCTGAGAATGCTTCTGTCGAGATTTTATATGAAGATATTCCCGTTTCCAACGAAATCCTGAAATCTATCCAAATATCCCCTCGCAGATTCTACAAAAAGAGTGTTTCAAAACTGCTCTGTAAAAAGAAAGGTTCAACTCTGTTAGTTGAGTACACACATCACAAATAAGTTTCACAGAATGCTTCTTTCTAGCTTGTAGGGGAAGATATTCCCTTTATCACCATGGGCCTCAAACAGTCCGAAACGTCCACTTCCATATACTACAAAAAGAGCGTTTCAAACCTGCTAAATGAAAGGCAATGTTCAACTCTGTGACTTGAATGCAGACATCACAGAGCAGTTTCTGAGAATGCTTCTGTCTAGATTTTGTAGGAAGATATTCCCGATTCCAACGAAATCTTCACAGCTATCAAAATATCCACTTGCAGATTCTACAAAAAGAGTGTATCAAAACTGCTCTGTCAAAAGGAAGGTTCTTCTCTGTTAGGTGAGTGCATACGTCATAAAGGAGTTTCTGAGAATGTTTCTGTCTAGTGGTTATGGGAAGATATTTGCTTTTTCACCGTAGGCCTCAGAGCGCTCCAAATATCCACTTCCACATACTACAAAAAGAGTGCTTCAAAGCTGCTCTCTGAAAGGGAATGTTCAACTCTATGAGTTGAATGCAAACATCACAAAGACGTTTCTGAGAATGCTTCTGTCTAGATTTGATATGAAGATATTCCCGTTTCCAACGAAATCTTCAAATCTATCCAAATGTCCACTTGCAGATTCAACAAAAAGTGTTTTTCAGAACTGCTCTATCAAAAGAAAGATCCTCCTCTGTTAGCTGAGTTCACACATCACAAACAAGTTTATGAGAATGCTTCTGTCTTGTTTTTATTAGAAGATATTTCCTTTCTCACCATAGACCTGAAAGCTGTCCTAATGTTCACTTCCAGATACTACAGAAAGAGTGTTTCAAAACTGCTGTACGAAAGGGAATGTTCAACTCTGTGACTTGAATGCACACATCACAAAGAAGTTTCTGAGGATGCTGCTGTCTACTTTTTATACGTAATCCCGTTTCCAACGAAATCCTCCAATCTATCCAAATATCCACTTGCAGATTCCACAGAAAGACTGTTTCAAAACTGCTCTGTCAATAGAAAAGTTCAACTCTGTTAGCTGCGTGCATATATCCCAAAGAAGATTCTGAGATTGCTTCTGTCTAGTTTTTATGGGAAGATATTTCCCTTTTCACCTTAGGCGTCAAGGCGCTCCAAATGTCCACTTCCAGATACTACAAAAAGAGTGTTTCAAACCTACTCTGTGAAAGGGAATATTCAACTCTGTGACTTGAATGCAGATATCACAAAGAAGTTTCTGAGAATGCTTCTGCCTAGTTTTTATGTGAAGATATTCCCGTTTCCAACAAAATCCTCAAAGCTAGCCAAATATCCACTTGCAGACTCTACAAAAAAGAATGTTTGAAAACTGCTCTATCAAAAGAAAAGTTCAACTCTGTTAGTTGAGTAAACACATCACAAACAAGTTTCACAGAATGCTTCTTTCTAGCTTGTAGGGGAAGATATTCCCTTTATCACCATGGGCCTCAAACCGTCCGAAACGTCCACTTCCATATACTACAAAAAGAGCGTTTCAAACCTGCTCTATGAAAGGTAATGTTCAACTCTGTGACTTGAATGCAGACATCACAGAGCAGTTTCTGAGAATGCTTCTGTCTAGATTTTATAGGAAGATATTCCCGTTTCCAACGAAATCTTCACAGCTATCCCAATATCCACTTGCAGATACTACAAAAAGAGTGTATCAAAACTGCTCTGTCAAAAGGAAGGTTCTTCTCTGTTGGGTGAGTGCATACGTCATAAAGGAGTTTCTGAGAATGTTTCTGTCTAGTGGTTATGGGAAGATATTTGCTTTTTCACCGTAGGCCTCAGAGCGCTCCAAATATCCACTTGCACATACTACAAAAAGAGTGCCTCAAAGCTGCTCTCTGAAACGGAATGTTCAACTCTATGAGTTGAATGCAAACATCACAAAGACGTTTCTGAGAAAGCTTCTGTCTAGATTTGATATGAAGATATTCCCGTTTCCAACGAAATCTTCAAATCTATCCAAATGTCCACTTGCAGATTCAACAAAAAGTGTTTTTCAAAACTGCTGTATGAAAAGAAAGATCCACCTCTGTTAGCTGAGTTCACACATCACACATGAGAATGCTTCTGTCTAGTTTTTATTTGAAGATATATCCTTTCTCACTATAGACCTGAAAGCTCTCCTAAAGTTCACTTCCAGATACTACAGAAAGAGTGTTTCAAAACTGCTGTACGAAAGGGAATATTCAACTCTGTGACTTGAATGCACGCATCACAAGGAAGTTTCTGAGGATGCTGCTGTCTACTTTTTATACGTAATCCTGTTTCCAACGAAATCCTCCAAGCTATCCAAATATCCACTTGCAGATTCCACAGAAAGACTGTTTCAAAACTGCTCTGTCAATAGAAAGGTTCAACTCTGTTAGCTGCGTGCATATATCCCAAAGAAGATTCTGAGATTGCTTCTGTCTAGTTTTTATGGGAAGATATTACCCTTTTCACCGTAGGCGTCAAGGCGCTCCAAATGTCCACTTCCAGATACTACAAAAAGAGTGTTTCAAACCTACTCTGTGAAAGGGAATATTCAACTCTGTGACTTGAAGGCAGATATCACAAAGAAGTTTCTGAGAATGCTTCTGTCGAGATTTTATATGAAGTTATTCCCGTTTCCAACGAAATCCTGAAATCTATCCAAATATCCCCTCGCAGATTCTACAAAAGAGTGTTTCAAAACTGTTCTGTAAAAAGAAAGGTTCAACTCTGTTAGTTGAGTACACACATCACAAACAAGTTTCACAGAATGCTTCTTTCTAGCTTGTAGGGGAAGATATTTCCTTTATCACCATGGGCCTCAAACCGTCCGAAACGTCCACTTCCATATACTAAAAAAAGAGTGTTTGAAAGCTGCTCTATGAAAGGCAATGTTCAACTCTGTGACTTGAATGCAGACATCACAGAGCAGTTTCTGACAATGCTTCTGTCTAGATTTTATAGGAAGATATTCCCGTTTCCAACGAAATCTTCACAGCTATCCAAATATCCACTTGCAGATCCTACAAAAAGAGTGTATCAAAACTGCTCTGTCAAAAGGAAGGTTCTTCTCTGTTAGGTGAGTGCATACGTCATAAAGGAGTTTCTGAGAATGTTTCTGTCTAGTGGTTATGGGAAGATATTTGCTTTTTCACCTTAGGCCTCAGAGCGCTCCAAATATCCCCTTGCACATACTACAAAAAGAGTGCTTCAAAGCTGCTCTCTGAAAGGGAATTGTTCAACTCTATGAGTTGAATGCAAACATCACAAAGACGTTTCTGAGAATGCTTCTGTCTAGATTTGATATGAAGATATTCCCGTTTCCAACGAAATCTTCAAATCTATCCAAATGTCCACTTGCAGATTCAACAAAAAGTGTTTTTCAGAACTGCTCTATCAAAAGAAAGATCCCCCTCTGGTTAGCTGAGTTCACACATCACAAACAAGTTTATGAGAATGCTTCTGTCCAGTTTTTATTTGAAGATATTTCCTTTCTCACCATAGAGCTGAAAGCTGTCTTAATGTTCACTTCCAGATAATACAGAAAGAGTGTTTCAAAACTGCTGTACGAAAGGAAATGTTCAACTCTGTGACTTGAATGCACACATCACAAAGAAGTTTCTGAGGATGCTGCTGTCTACTTTTTATACGTAATCCCATTTCCAACGAAATCCTCCAAGCTATCCAAATATCCACTTGCAGATTCCACCGAAAGACTGTTTCAAAACTGCTATGTCAATAGAAAAGTTCAACTCTGTTAGCTGTGTGCATATATCCCAAAGAAAATTCTGAGATTGCTTCTGTCTAGTTTTTATGGGAAGATATTTCCCTTTTCACCGTAGGCGTCAAGGCGCTCCAAATGTCCACTTCCAGATACTACAAAAGGAGTGTTTCAAACCTACTCTGTGAAAGTGAATATTCAACTCTGTGACTTGAATGCAGATATCACAAAGAAGTTTCTGAGAATGCTTCTGTCGAGATTTTATATGAAGATATTCCCGTTTCCAATGAAATCCTGAAATCTATCCAAATATCCCCTCGCAGATTCTACAAAAGAGTGTTTCAAAACTGCTCTGCAAAAAGAAAGGTTCAACTCTGTTAGTTGAGTACACACATCACAAACAAGTTTCACAGAATGCTTCTTTCTAGCTTGTAGGGGAAGATATTCCCTTTATCACCATGGGCCTCAAACCGTCCGAAACGTCCACTTCCATATACTACAAAAAGAGCGTTTAAAACCTGCTCTAGGAAAGGCAATGTTCAACTCTGTGACTTGAATGCAGACATCACATAGCAGTTTCTGAGAATGCTTCTGTCTAGATTTTATAGGAAGATATTCCCGTTTCCAACAAAATCTTCACAGGTATCCAAATATCCACTTGCAGATTCTACAAAAAGAGTGTATCAAAACTGCTCTGTCAAAAGGGAGGTTCTTCTCTGTTAGGTGAGTGCATACGTCATAAAGGAGTTTCTGAGAATGTTTCTGTCTAGTGGTTATGGGAAGATATTTGCTTTTTCACCGTAGGCCTCAGAGAGCTCCAAATATCCACTTGCACATACTACAAAAAGAGTGCCTCAAAGCTGCTCTCTGAAACGGAATGTTCAACTCTATGAGTTGAATGCAAACATCACAAAGACGTTTCTGAGAATGCTTCTGTCTAGATTTGATATAAAGATATTCCCGTTTCCAATGAAATCTTCAAATCTATCCAAATGTCCACTTGCAGATTCAACAAAAAGTGTTTTTCAGAACTGCTCTATCAAAAGAA
The DNA here is from genome assembly GCF_000001405.40 of Homo sapiens. Classification (NCBI taxonomy): domain Eukaryota; kingdom Metazoa; phylum Chordata; class Mammalia; order Primates; family Hominidae; genus Homo; species Homo sapiens. Next base: position 16,722,429 of record NC_000014.9, on the reverse strand, counting down.
AGATCCACCTCTGTTAGCTGAGTTCACACATCACAAACAAGTTTATGAGAATGCTTCTGTCTAGTTTTTATTTGAAGATATTTCCTTTCTCACCATAGACCTGATAGCTGTCCTAATGTTCACTTCCAGATACTACAGAAAGAGTGTTTCAAAACTGCTGTACGAAAGGGAATGTTCAACTCTGTGACTTGAATGCACACATCACAAAGAAGTTTCTGAGGATGCTGCTGTCTACTTTTTATACGTAATCCCGTTTCCAACGAAATCCTCCAATCTATCCAAATATCCACTTACAGATTCCACAGAAAGACTGTTTCAAAACTGCTCTGTCAATAGAAATGTTCAACTCTGTTAGCTGCGTGCATATATCCCAAAGAAGATTCTGAGATTGCTTCTGTCTAGTTTTTATGGGAAGATATTTCCCTTTTCACCGTAGGCGTCAAGGCGCTCCAAATGTCCACTTCCAGATACTACAAAAAGAGTGTTCCAAACCTACTCTGTGAAAGGGAATATTCAACTCTGTGACTTGAATGCACATATCACAAAGAAGTTTCTGAGAATGCTTCTGTCGAGATTTTATATGAAGATATTCCCGTTTCCAACGAAATCTTGAAATCTATCCAAATATCCCCTCGCAGATTCTACAAAAAGAGTGTTTCAACACTGCTCTGTAAAAAGAAAGGTTCAACTCTGTTGGTTGAGTACACACATCACAAACAAGTTTCACAGAATGCTTCTTTCTAGCTTGTAGGGGAAGATATTCCCTTTATCACCATGGGCCTCAAACCGTCTGAAACGTCCACTTCCATATACTACAAAAAGAGCATTTCAAACCTGCTCTATGAAAGGCAATGTTCAACTCTGTGAGTTGAATGCAGACATCACAGAGCAGTTTCTGAGAATGCTTCTGTATAGATTTTATAGGAAGATATTCCCGTTTCCAACGAAATCTTCACAGCTATCCAAATATCCACTTGCAGATTCTACAAAAAGAGTGTATCAAAACTGCTCTGTCAAAAGGAAGGTTCTTTTCTGTTAGGTGAGTGCATACGTCATAAAGGAGTTTCTGAGAATGTTTCTGTCTAGTGGTTATGGGAAGATATTTGCTTTTTCACCTTAGGCCTCAGAGCGCTCCAAATATCCACTTGCACATACTACAAAAAGAGTGCCTCAAAGCTGCTCTCTGAAACGGAATGTTCAACTCTATGAGTTGAATGCAAACATCACAAAGACGTTTCTGAGAATGCTTCTGTCTAGATTTGATATGAAGATATTCCCGTTTCCAACGAAATCTTCAAATCTATCCAAATGTCCACTTGCAGATTCAACAAAACGTGTTTTTCAGAACTGCTCTATCAAAAGAAAGATCCACCTCTGTTAGCTGAGTTCACACATCACAAACAAGTTTATGACAATGCTTCTGTCTACTTTTTATTTGAAGATATTTCCTTTCTCACCATAGACCTGAAAGCTGTCCTAATGTTCACTTCCAGATACTACAGAAAGAGTGTTTCAAAACTGCTGTACGAAAGGGAATGTTCAACTCTGTGACTTGAATGCACACATCACAAAGAAGTTTCTGAGGATGCTGCTGTCTACTTTTTATACGTAATCCCGTTTCCAACGAAATCCTCCAAGCTCTCCAAATATCCACTTGCAGATTCCACAGAAAGACTGTTTCAAAACTGCTCTGTCAATAGAAAGGTTCAACTGTGTTAGCTGCGTGCATATATCCCAAAGAAGATTCTGAGATTGCTTCTGTCTAGTTTTTATGGGAAGATATTTCCCTTTTCACCGTAGGCGTCAAGGCGCTCCAAATGTCCACTTCCAGATACTACAAAAAGAGTGTTTCAAACCTACTCTGTGAAAGGGAATATTCAACTCGGTGACTTGAATGGAGATATCACAAAGAAGTTTCTGAGAATGCTTCTGTCGAGATTTTATATGAAGATATTCCCGTTTCCAACGAAATCCTGAAATCTATCCAAATATCCCCTCGCAGATTCTACAAAACGAGTGTTTCAAAACTGCTCTGTAAAAAGAAAGGTTCAACTCTGTTAGTTGAGTACACACATCACAAACAAGTTTCACACAATGCTTCTTTCTAGCTAGTAGGGGAAGATATTCCCTTTATCACCATGGGCCTCAAACCGTCCGAAACGTCCACTTCCATATACTACAAAAAGAGCGTTTCAAACCTGCTCTATGAAAGGCAATGTTCAACTCTGTGACTTGAATGCAGACATCACAGAGCAGTTTCTGAGAATGCTTCTGTCTAGATTTTATAGGAAGATATTCCCGTTTCCAACGAAATCTTCACAGCTATCCAAATATCCACTTGCAGATTCTACAAAAAGAGTGTATCAAAACTGCTCTGTCAAAAGGAAGGTTCTTTTCTGTTAGGTGAGTGCATACGTCATAAAGGAGTTTCTGAGAATGCTTCTGTCTAGTGGTTATGGGAAGATATTTGCTTTTTCACCATAGGCCTCAGAGCGCTCCAAATATCCACTTGCACATACTACAAAAAGAGTGCTTCAAAGCTGCTCTCTGAACGGGAATGTTCAACTCTATGAGTTGAATGCTAACATCACAAAGACGTTTCTGAGAATGCTTCTGTCTAGATTTGATATGAAGATATTCCCGTTTCCAACGAAATCTTCAAATCTATCCAAATGTCCACTTGCAGATTCAACAAAAAGTGTTTTTCAGAACTGCTCTATCAAACGAAAGATCCACCTCTGTTAGCTGAGTTCACACATCACAAACAAGTTTATGAGAATGCTTCTGTCTAGTTTTTATTTGAAGATATTTCCTTTCTCACCATACACCTGAAAGCTGTCCTAATGTTCACTTCCAGTTACTACAGAAAGAGTGTTTCAAAACTGCTGTACGAAAGGGAATGTTCAACTCTGTGACTTGAATGCACACATCACAAAGAAGTTTCTGAGGATGCTGCTGTCTAATTTTTATACGTAATCCCGTTTCCAATGAAATCCTCCAAGCTATCCAAATATCCACTTGCAGATTCCACAGAAAGACTGTTTCAAAACTGCTCTGTCAATAGAAAGGTTCAACTCTGTTAGCTGCGTGCAAATATCCCAAAGAAGATTCTGAGATTGCTTCTGTCTAGTTTTTATGGGAAGATATTTCCCTTTTCAAAGTAGGTGTCAATGTGCTCCAAATGTCCACTTCCAGACACTACAAAAAGAGTGTTTCAAACCTACTCTGTGAAAGGGAATATTCAACTCTGTGACTTGAATGCAGATATCACAAAGAAGTTTCTGAGAATGCTTCTGTCGAGATTTTATATGAAGATATTCCCGTTTCCAACGAAATCCTGAAATCTATCCAAATATCCCCTCGCAGATTCTACAAAAAGAGTGTTTCAAAACTGCTCTGTGAAAAGAAAGGTTCAATTCTGTTAGTTGAGTACACACATCACAAACAAGTTTCACAGAATGCTTCTTTCTAGCTTGTAGGGGAAGATATTCCCTTTATCACCATGGGCCTCAAACCGTCCGAAAAGTCCACTTCCATATACTACAAAAAGAGCATTTCAAACCTGCTCTATGAAAGGCAATGTTGAACTCTGTGACTTGAATGCAGACATCACAGAGCAGTTTCTGAGAATGCTTCTGTCTAGATTTTATAGGAAGATATTCCCGTTTCCAACGAAATCTTCACAGGTATCCAAATATCCACTTGCAGATTCTACAAAAAGAGTGTATCAAAACTGCTCTGTCAAAAGGAAGGTTCTTCTCTGTTAGTTGAGTGCATACGTCATAAAGGAGTTTCTGAGAATGTTTCTGTCTAGTGGTTATGGGAAGATATTTGATTTTTCACCTTAGGCCTCAGAGCGCTCCAAATATCCCCTTGCACATACTACAAAAAGAGTGCTTCAAAGCTGCTCTCTGAAAGGGAATGTTCAACTCTATGAGTTGAATGCAAACATCACAAAGACGTTTCTGAGAATGCTTCTGTCTAGATTTGAAATGAAGTTATTCCCGTTTCCAACGAAATCTTCATATCTATCCAAATGTCCACTTGCAGATTCAACAAAAAGTGTTTTTCAGAACTGCTCTATCAAAAGAAAGATCCACCTCGGTTAGCTGAGTTCACACATCACAAAGAAGTTTATGAGAATGCTTCTGTCTAGTTTTTATTTGAAGATATTTCCTTTCTTACCATAGAGCTGAAAGCTGTCCTAATGTTCACTTCCAGATACTACAGAAAGAGTGTTTCAAAACTGCTGTACGAAAGGGAATGTTCAACTCTGTGACTTGAATGCACACATCACAAAGAAGTTTCTGAGGATGCTGCTGTCTACTTTTTATACGTAATCCCGTTTCCAACGAAATCCTCAAAGCTATCCAAATATCCACTTGCAGATTCCACAGAAAGACTGTTTCAAAACTGCTCTGTCAATAGAAAGCTTCAACTCTGTTAGCTGCGTGCATATATCCCAAAGAAGATTCTGAGATTGCTTCTGTCTAGTTTTTATGGGAAGATTTTTCCCTTTTCACCGTAGGTGTCAAGGCGCTCCAAATGTCCACTTCCAGATACTACAAAAAGAGTGTTTCAAACCTACTCTGTGAAAGGGAATATTCAACTCTGTGACTTGAATGCACATATCACAAGGAAGTTTCTGAGAATGCTTCTGTAGAGATTTTATATGAAGATATTCCCGTTTCCAACGAAATCCTGAAATGTATCCAAATATCCCCTCGCAGATTCTACAAAAAGAGTGTTTCAAAACTGCTCTGTAAAAAGAAAGGTTCACCTCTGTTAGTTGAGTACACACATCACAAACAAGTTTCACAGAATGCTTCTTTCTAGCTTGTAGGGGAAGATATTCCCTTTATCACCATGGGCCTCAAACCGTCCGAAACGTCCACTTCCATATCCTACAAAAAGAGTGTTTCAAACCTGCTCTATGAACGGCAATGTTCAACTCTGTGACTTGAATGCAGACATCACAGAGCAGTTTCTGAGAATGCTTCTGTCTAGATTTTATAGGAAGATATTCCCGTTTCCAACGAAATCTTCACAGGTATCCAAATATCCACTTGCAGATTCTACAAAAAGAGTGTAACAAAACTGCTCTGTCAAAAGGAAGGTTCTTCTCTGTTAGGTGAGTGCTTACGTCATAAAGGAGTTTCTGAGAATGTTTCTGTCTAGTGGTTATGGGAAGATATTTTCTTTTTCACCGTAGGCCTCAGAGCGCTCCAAATATCCACTTGCACATACTACAAAAAGAATGTTTCAAAGCTGCTCTCTGAAAGGGAATGTTCAACTCTATGAGTTGAATGCAAACATGACAGAGACGTTTCTGAGAATGCTTCTGTCTAGATTTGATATGAAGATATTCCCGTTTCCAACGAAATCTTCAAATCTATCCAAATGTCCACTTGCAGATTCAACAAAAAGTGTTTTTCAGAACTGTTCAATCAAAAGAAAGATCCACCTCTGTTAGCTGAGTTCACACTTCACAAACAAGTTTATCAGAATGCTTCTGTCTAGTTTTTATTTGAAGATATATCCTTTCTCACTATAGACCTGAAAGCTGTCCTAAAGTTCACTTCCAGATACTACAGAAAGAGTGTTTCAAAACTGCTGTATGAAAGGGAATGTTCAACTCTGTGACTTGAATGCACACATCACAAGGATGTTTCTGAGGATGCTGCTGTCTACTTTTTATACGTAATCCCGTTTCCAACGTAATCCTCCAGGCTATCCAAATATCCACTTGCAGATTCCACAGAAAGACTGTTTCAAATCTGCTCTGTCAATAGAAAAGTTCAACTCTATTAGCTGCGTGCATATATCCCAAAGAAGATTCGGAGATTGCTTCTGTCTAGTTTTTATGGGAAGATATTTCCCTTTTCACCGTAGGCGTCAGGGCGCTCCAAATGTCCACTTCCAGATACTACAAAAAGAGTGTTTCAAACCTACTCTGTGAAAGGGAATATTCAACTCTGTGACTTGAATGCACATATCACAAGGAAGTTTCTGAGAATGCTTCTGTCGAGATTTTATATGAAGATATTCCCCTTTCCAACGAAATCCTGAAATCTATCCAAATATCCCCTCGCAGATTCTACAAAAAGAGTGTTTCAAAACTGCTCTGTAAAAAGAAAGGTTCAACTCTGTTAGTTGAGTACACACCTCACAAACAAGTTTCACATAATGCTTCTTTCTAGCTTGTAGGGGAAGATATTCCCTTTATCACCATGGGCCACAAACCGTCCGAAACGTCCACTTCCATATACTACAAAAAGAGCGTTTCAAACGTGCTCTATGAAAGGCAATGTTCAACTCTGTGACTTGAATGCAGACATCACAGAGCAGTTTCTGAGAATGCTTCTGTCTAGATTTTATAGGAAGATATTCCCGTTTCCAACGAAATCTTCACAGCTATCCAAATATCCACTTGCAGATTCCACAAAAAGAGTGTATCAAAACTGCTCTGTCGAAAGGAAGGTTCTTCTCTGTTAGGTGAGTGCATACGTCATAAAGGAGTTTCTGAGAATGTTTCTGTCTAGTGGTTATGGGAAGATATTTGCTTTTTCACCGTAGGCCTCAGAGCGCTCCAAATATCCACTTGCACATACTACAAAAAGAGTGCTTCAAAGCTGCTCTCGGAAAGGGAATGTTCAACTCTATGAGTTGAATGCAAACATCACAAAGACGTTTCTGAGAATGCTTCTGTCTAGATTTGATATGAAGATATTCTCGTTTCCAAAGAAATCTTCAAATCTATCCAAATGTCCACTTGCAGATTCAACAAAAAGTGTTTTTCAGAACTGCTCTATCAAAAGAAAGATCCACGTCTCTTAGCTGAGTTCACAGATCACAAACAAGTTTATGAGAATGCTTGTGTCTAGTTTTTATTTGAAGATATTTCCTTTCTCACCATAGACCTGAAAGCTGTCCTAATGTTCACTTCCAGATACTACAGAAAGAGTGTTTCAAAACTGCTGTACGAAAGGGAATGTTGAACTCTGTGACTTGAATGCACACATCACAAAGAAGTTTCTGAGGATGCTGCTGTCTACTTTTATACGTAATCCCGTTTCCAACGAAATCCTCCAAGCTATCCAAATATCCACTTGCAGATTCCACAGAAAGACTGTTTCAAAACTGCTCTGTCAATAGAAAGGTTCAACTCTGTTAGCTGCGTGCATATATCCCAAAGAAGATTCTGAGATTGCTGCTGTCTAGTTTTTATGGGAAGATATTTCCCTTTTCACCGTAGGCGCCAAGGACGCTCCAAATGTCCACTTCCAGATACTACAAAAAGAGTGTTTCAAACCTACTCTGTGAAAGGGAATATTCAACTCTGTGACTTGAATGCACATATCACAAAGAAGTTTCTGAGAATGCTTCTGTCGAGATTTTATATGAAGATATTCCCGTTTCCAACGAAATCCTGAAATCTATCCAAATATCCCCTCGCAGATTCTACAAAAAGAGTGTTTCAAAACTGCTCTGTAAAAAGAAAGGTTCAACTCTGTTAGATGAGTACACACATCACAAACAAGTTTCACAGAATGCTTCTTTCTAGCTTGTAGGGGAAGATATTCCCTTTATCACCATGGGCCTCAAACCGTCTGAAACGTCCACTTCCATATACTACAAAAAGAGCATTTCAAACCTGCTCTATGAAAGGCAATGTTCAACTCTGTGACTTGAATGCAGACATCACAGTAGCAGTTTCTGAGAATGCTTCTGTCTAGATTTTATAGGAAGATATTCCCGTTTCCAACGAAATCTTCACAGGTATCCAAATATCCACTTGCAGATTCTACAAAAAGAGTGTATCAAAACTGCTCTGTCAAAAGGAAGGTTCTTCTCTGTTAGGTGAGTGCATACGTCATAAAGGAGTTTCTGAAAATGTTTCTGTCTAGTGGTTATGGGAAGATATTTGCTTTTTCCCCGTAGGCCTCAGGGCGCTCCAAATGTCCACTTGCACATGCTACAAAAAGTGCTTCAAAGCTGCTCTCTGAAAGGGAATGTTCAACTCTATGAGTTGAATGCAAACATCACAAAGACGTTTCTGAGAATGCTTCTGTCTAGATTTGATATGAAGATATTCCCGTTTCCAACGAAATCTTCAAATCTATCCAAATGTCCACTTGCAGATTCAACAGAAAGTGTTTTTCAGAACTGCTCTATCAAAAGAAAGATCCACCTCTGTTAGCTGAGTTCACACATCACAAACAAGTTTATGAGAATGCTTCTGTCTAGTTTTTATTTGAAGATATATCCTTCCTCACTATAGACCTGAAAGCTCTCCTAAAGTTCACTTCCAGATACTACAGAAAGAGTGTTTCAAACCTGCTGTACGAAAGGGAATTTTCAACTCTGTGACTTGAGTGCACACATCACAAGGAAGTTTCTGAGGATGCTGCTGTCTACTTTTTATACGTAATCCCGTTTCCAAAGAAATCCTCCAATCTATCCAAATATCCACTTGCAGATTCCACAGAAAGACTGTTTCAAATCTGCTCTGTCAATAGAAAGATTCAACTCTGTTAGCTGCGTGCATATATCCCAAAGAAGATTCTGAGATTGCTTCTGTCTAGTTTTTATGGGAAGATATTTCCCTTTTCACCGTAGGTGTCAAGGCGCTCCAAATGTCCACTTCCAGATACTACAAAAAGAGTGTTTCCAACCTACTACTGTGAAAGGGAATATTCAACTCTGTGACTTGAATGCACATATCACAAAGAAGTTTCTGAGAATGCTTCTGTCGAGATTTTATATGAAGATATTCCCGTTTCCAACGAAATCCTGAAATCTATCCACATATCCCCTCGCAGATTCTACAAAAAGAGTGTTTCAAAACTGCTCTGTAAAAAGAAAGGTTCAACTCTGTTAGTTGAGTACACACATCACAAACAAGTTTCACAGAATGCTTCTTTCTAGCTTGTAGGGGAAGATATTCCCTTTATCACCATGGGCCTCAAACCGTCCGAAAAGTCTACTTCCATATACTACAAAAAGAGCGTTTCAAACCTTCTCTAGGAAAAGCAATGTTCAACTCTGTGACTTGAATGCAGACATCACAGAGCAGTTTCTGAGAATGCTTCTGTCTGGATTTTATAGGAAGATATTCCCGTTTCCAACGAAATCTTCACAGCTATCCAAATATCCACTTGCAGATTCTACAAAAAGAGTGTATCAAAACTGCTCTGTCAAAAGGAAGTTTCTTCTCTGTTAGTTGAGTACATACGTCATAAAGGAGTTTCTGAGAATGTTTCTGTCTAGTGGTTATGGGAAGATATTTGCTTTTTCACCGTAGGCCTCAGAGCACTCCAAATATCCACTTGCACATACTACAAAAAGAGTGCTTCAAAGCTGCTCTCTGAAACGGAATGTTCAACTCTATGAGTTGAATGCAAACATCACAAAGACGTTTCTGAGAATGCTTCTGTCTAGATTTGATATGACGATATTCCCGTTTCCAACGAAATCTTCAAATCTATCGAAATGTCCACTTGCAGATTCAACAAAACGTGTTTTTCAGAACTGCTCTATCAAAAGAAAGATCCACCTCTGTTAGCTGAGTTCACACATCACAAACAAGTTTATGAGAATGCTTCTGTCTAGTTTTTATTTGAAGATATTTCCTTTCTCACCATAGACCTGAAAGCTGTCCTAATGTTCACTTCCAGATACTACAGAAAGAGTGTTTCAAAACTGCTGTACGAAAGGGAATGTTCAACTCTGTGACTTGAACGCACACATCACAAAGAAGTTTCTGAGGATGCTGCTGTCTACTTTTTATACGTAATCCCGTTTCCAACGAAATCCTACAAGCTATCCAAATATCCACTTGCAGATTCCACAGAAAGACTGTTTCAAAACTGCTCTGTCAATAGAAAGGTTCAACTCTGTTAGCTGCGTCCATATATCCCAAAGAAGATTCTGAGATTGCTCTGTCTAGTTTTTATGGGAAGATATTTCCCTTTTCACCGTAGGCGTCAAGGCGCTCCAAATGTCCACTTCCAGATACTACAAAAAGAGTGTTTCAAACCTACTCTGTGAAAGGGAATATTCAACTCTGTGACTTGAAGGCAGATATCACAAAGAAGTTTCTGAGAATGCTTTCTGTCGAGATTTTATATGAAGATATTCCCGTTTCCAAGGAAATCCTGAAATCTATCCAAATATCCCCTCGCAGATTCTACAAAAAGAGTGCTTCAAAACTGCTCTGTAAAAAGAAAGGTTCAACTCTGTTAGTTGAGTACACACATCACAAACAAGCTTCACAGAATGCTTCTTTCTAGCTTGTAGGGGAAGATATTCCCTTTATCACCATGGGCCTCCAACCGTCCGAAACATCCAGTTCCATATACTACAAAAAGAGCGTTTCAAATCTGCTCTATGAAAGGCAATGTTCAACTCTGTGACTTGAATGCAGACATCACAGAGCAGTTTCTGAGAATGCTTCTGTCTAGATTTTATAGGAAGATATTCCCGTTTCCAACGAAATCTTCACAGCTATCCAAATATCCACTTGCAGATTCTACAAAAAGAGTGTATCAAAACTGCTCTGTCAAAAGGAAGGTTCTTTTCTGTTAGGAGAGTGCATACGTCATAAAGGAGTTTCTGAGAATGTTTCTGTCTAGTGGTTATGGGAAGATATTTGCTTTTTCACCGTAGGCCTCAGAGCGCTCCAAATATCCACTTGCACATACTACAAAAAGAGTGCTTCAAAGCTGGTCTCTGAAACGGGAATGTTCAACTCTATGAGTTGAATGCAAACATCACAAAGACGTTTCTGAGAATGCTTCTGTCTAGATTGGATATGAAGATATTCCCGTTTCCAACGAAATCTTCACATCTATCCAAATGTCCACTTGCAGATTCAACAAAAAGTGTTTTTCAGAACTGCTCTATCAAAAGAAAGATCCACCTCTGTTAGCTGAGTTCACACATCACAAACAAGTTTATGAGAATGCTTCCGTCTAGTTTTTATTTGAAGATATATCCTTTCTCACTATAGACCTGAAAGCTGTCCTAAAGTTCACTTCCAGATACTACAGAAAGAGTGTTTCAAATCTGCTGTACGAAAGGGAATGTTCAACTCTGTGACTTGAATGCACACATCACAAGGATGTTTCTGAGGATGCTGTGGTCTACTTTATATACGTAATCCCGTTTCCAACGAAATCCTCCAAGCTATCCAAATATCCACTTGCAGATTCCACAGAAAGACTGTTTCAAAACTGCTCTGTCAATAGAAAGGTTCAACTCTGTTAGCTGCGTGCATATATCCCAAAGAAGATTCTGAGATTGCTTCTGTCTAGTTTTTATGGGAAGATATTTCCCTTTTCACCGTAGGTGTCAAGGCGCTCCAAATGTCCACTTCCAGATACTACAAATAGAGTGTTTCAAACCTACTCTGTGAAAGGGAATATTCAACTCTGTGACTTAAAGGCAGATATCACAAAGAAGTTTCTGAGAATGCTTCTGTCGAGATTTTATATGAAGATACTCCCGTTTCCAACGAAATCCTGAAATCTATCCAAATATCCCCTCGCAGATTCTACAAAAAGAGTGTTTCAAAACTGCACTGTAAAAAGAAAGGTTCAACTCTGTTAGTTGAGTACACACATCACAAACAAGTTTCACAGAATGCTTCTTTCTAGCTTGTAGGGGAAGATATTCCCTTTATCACCATGGGCCTCATACCGTCCGAAACGTCCACTTCCATATACTACAAAAAGAGCGTTTCAAACCTGCTCTATGAAAGGCAATGTTCAACTCTGTGACTTGAATGCAGACATCACAGAGCAGTTTCTGAGAATGCTTCTGTCTAGATTTTATAGGAAGATATTCCCGTTTCCAACGAAATCTTCACAGCTATCCAAATATCCACTTGCAGATTCTACAAAAAGAGTGTATCAAAACTGCTCTGTCAAAAGGAAGGTTCTTCTCTGTTAGGTGAGTGCATACGTCATAAAGGAGTTTCTGACAATGTTTCTGTCTAGTGGTTATGGGAAGATATTTGCTTTTTCACCTTAGGCCTCGGAGCGCTCCAAATATCCCCTTGCACATACTACAAAAAGTGTGCTTCAAAGCTGCTCTCTGAAACGGAATGTTCAACTCTATGAGTTGAATGCAAACATCACAAAGACGTTTCTGAGAATGCTTCTGTCTAGATTTGATATGAAGATATTCCCGTTTCCAACGAAATCTTCAAATCTATCCAAATGTCCACTTGCAGATTCAACAAAGTGTTTTTCAGAACTGCTCTATCACAAGAAAGATCCACCTCTGTTAGCTGAGATCACACTTCACAAACAAGTTTATCAGAATGCTTCTGTCTAGTTTTTATTTGAAGATATTTCCTTTCTCACGATAGACCTGAAAGCTGTTCTAATGTTCACTTCCATATGCTACAGAAAGAGTGTTTCAAAACTGCTGTACGAAAGGGAATGTTCAACTCTGTGACTTGAATGCACACATCACAAAGAAGTTTCTGAGGATGCTGCTGTCTACTTTTTATACGTAATCCCGTTTCCAAGGAAATCCTCCAAGCTATCCAAATATCCACTTGCAGATTCCACAGAAAGACTGTTTCAAAACTGCTCTGTCAATAGAAAGGTTCAACTCTGTTAGCTGCGTGCATATATCCCAAAGAAGATTCTGAGATTGCTTCTGTCTAGTTTTTATGGGAAGATATTGCCCTTTTCACCGTAGGCGTCGAGGCGCTCCAAATGTCCACTTCCAGATACTACAAAAAGAGTGTTTCAAACCTACTCTGTGAAAGGGAATATTCAACTCTGTGACTTGAATGCACATATCACAAAGAAGTTTCTGAGAATGCTTCTGTCGAGATTTTATATGAAGATATTCCCGTTTCCAACGAAATGCTGAAATGTATCCAAATATCCCATCGCAGATTCTACAAAAAGAGTGTTTCAAAACTGCTCTGTAAAAAGAAAGGTTCAACTCTGTTAGTTGAGTACACACATCACAAACAAGTTTCACAGAATGCTTCTTTCTAGCTTGTAGGGGAAGATATTCCCTTTATCACCATGGGCCTCAAACCGTCCGAAACGTCCACTTCCATATACTACAAAAAGAGCGTTTCAAACCTGCTCTATGAAAGGCAATGTTCAACTCTGTGACTTGAATACAGACATCGCAGAGCAGTTCCTGAGAATGCTTCTGTCTAGATTTTACAGGAAGATATTCCCGTTTCCAACGAAATCTTCACAGCTATCCAAATATCCACTTGCAGATTCTACAAAAAGAGTGTATCAAAACTGCTCTGTCAAAAGGAAGGTTCTTCTCCGTTAGTTGAGTACATACGTCATAAAGGAGTTTCTGAGAATGTTTCTGTCTAGTGGTTATGGGAAGATATTTGCTTTTTCACCGTAGGCCTCAGAGCGCTCCAAATATCCACTTGCACATACTACAAAAAGAGTGCTTCAAAGCTGGTCTCTGAAACGGAATGTTCAACTCTATGAGTTGAATGCAAACATCCCAAAGACGTTTCTGAGAATGCTTCTGTCTAGATTTGATATGAAGATATTCCCGTTTCCAACGAAATCTTCAAATCTATCCAAATGTCCACTTGCAGATTCAACAAAAAGTGTTTTTCAGAACTGCTCTATAAAAAGAAAGATCCACCTCTGTTAGCTGAGTTCACACATCACAAACAAGTTTATGAGAATGCTTCTGTCTAGTTTTTATTTGAAGATATTTCCTTTCTTACCATAGACCTGAAAGCTCTCATCACGTTCACTTCCAGATACTACAGAAAGAGTGTTTCAAAACTGCTGTACGAAAGGGAATGTTCAACACTTTGACTTGAATGCACACATCACAAAGAAGTTTCTGAGAATGCTGCTGTCCAATTTTTATACGTAATCCCGTTTCCAACGAAATCCTCCAAGCCATCCAAATATCCACTTGCAGATTCCACAGAAAGACTGTTTCAAAACTGCTCTGTCAATAGAAAGGTTCAACTCTGTTAGCTGCGTGCATATATCCCAAAGAAGATTCTGAGATTACTTCTGTCTAGTTTTTATGGGAAGATATTTCCCTTTGCACCGTAGGTGTCAAGGCGCTCCAAATGTCCACTTCCAGATACTACAAAAAGAGTGTTTCAAACCTACTCTGTGAAAGGGAATATTCAACTCTGTGACTTGAATGCACATATCACAAAGAAGTTTCTGAGAATGCTTCTGTCGAGATTTTATATGAAGATATTCCCGTTTCCAACGAAATCCTGAAATCTATCCAAATATCCCCTCGCAGATTCTACAAAAAGAGTGTTTCAAAACTGCTCTTTAAAAAGTAAGGTTCAACTCTGTTAATTGAGTACACACATCACAAACAAGTTTCACAGAATGCTTGTTTGTAGCTTGTAGGGAAAGATATTCCCTTTATCACCATGGGCCTCAAACCGTCCGAAACGTCCACTTCCATATACTTCAAAAAGAGCGTTTCAAACCTGCTCTATGAAAGGCAATGTTCAACTCTGTGACTTGAATGCAGACATCACAGAGCTGTTTCTGAGAATGCTTCTGTCTAGATTTTATAGGATGATATTCCCGATTCCAACGAAATCTTCACAGCTATCCAAATATCCACTTGCAGATTCTACAAAAAGAGTGTATCAAAACTGCTCTGTCAAAAGGAAGGTTCTTCTCTGTTAGGTGAGTGCATACGTCATAAAGGAGTTTCTGAGAATGTTTCTGTCTAGTGGTTATGGGAAGATATTTGCTTTTTCACCTTAGGCCTCAGAGCGCTCCAAATATCCCCTTGCACATCCTACAAAAAGAGTGCTTCAAAGCTGCTCTCTGAAAGGGAATGTTCAACTCTATGAGTTGAATGCAAACATCACAAAGACGTTTCTGAGAATGCTTCTGTCTAGATTTGATATGAAGATATTCCCGTTTCCAACGAAATCTTCAAATCTATCCAAATGTCCGCTTGCAGATTCAACAAAACGTGTTTTTCAGAACTGCTCTATCAAAAGAAAGATGCCACGTCTCTAAGCTGAGTTCACACATCACAAACAAGTTTATGAGAATGCTTCTGTCTAGTTTTTATTTGAAGATATTGCCTTTCTCACCATCGACCTGAAAGCTGTCCTAATGTTCACTTCCAGATACTACAGAAAGAGTGTTTCAAAACTGCTGTACGAAAGGGAATGTTCAACTCTGTGACTTGAATGCACACATCACAAAGAAGTTTCTGAGGATGCTGCTGTCTACTTTTTATACGTAATCCCGTTTCCAATGAAATCCTCCAATCTATCCAAATATCTACTTGCAGATTCCACAGAAAGACTGTTTCAAAACTGCTCTGTCAATAGAAAGGTTCAACTCTGTTAGCTGTGTGCATATATCCCAAAGAAGATTCTGAGATTGCTTCTGTCTAGTTTTTATGGGAAGATATTTCCCTTTTCACCGTAGGCGTCAAGGCGCTCCGAATGTCCACTTCCAGATACTACAAAAAGAGTGTTTCAAACCTCCTCTGTGAAAGGGAATATTCAACTCTGTGACTTGAATGCACATATCACAAAGAAGTTTCTGAGAATGCTTCTGTCGAGATTTTATATGAAGATATTCCCGTTTCCAATGAAATCCTGAAATCTATCCAATTATCCCCTCGCAGATTCTACAAAAAGAGTGTTTCAAAACTGCTCTGTAAAAAGAAAGGTACAACTCTGTTAGTTGAGTACACACATCACAAACAAGTTTCACAGAATGCTTCTTTCTAGCTTGTAGGGGAAGATATTCCCTTTATCACCATGGGCCTCAAACCGTCCGATAAGTCCACTT
The DNA here is from genome assembly GCF_000001405.40 of Homo sapiens. Taxonomy (NCBI): domain Eukaryota; kingdom Metazoa; phylum Chordata; class Mammalia; order Primates; family Hominidae; genus Homo; species Homo sapiens. Next base: position 16,706,620 of record NC_000014.9, on the reverse strand, counting down.
CCATATACTACAAAAAGAGCGTTTCAAACCTGCTCTATGAAAGGCAATGTTCAACTCTGTGACTTGAATGCAGACATCACAGCAGCAGTTTCTGAGAATGCTTCTGTCTAGATTTTATAGGAAGATATTCCCGTTTCCAACGAAATCTTCACAGCTATCCAAATATCCACTTGCAGATTCTACAAAAAGAGTGTATCAAAACTGCTCTGTCAAAAGGAAGGTTCTTCGCTGTTAGTTGAGTACATACGTCATAAAGGAGTTTCTGAGAATGTTTCTGTCTAGTGGTTATGGGAAGATATTTGCTTTTTCACCGTAGGCCTCACAGCGCTCCAAATATCCCCTTGCACATACTACAAAAAGAGTGCTTCAAAGCTGCTCTCTGAAACGGAATGTTCAACTCTATGAGTTGAATGCAAACATGACAAAGACGTTTCCGAGAATGCTTCTGTCTAGATTTGATATGAAGATATTCCCATTTCCAACGAAATCTTCAAATCTATCCAAATGTCCACTTGCAGATTCAACAGAAAGTGTTTTTCAGAACTGCTCTATCAAAAGAAAGATCCACCTCTGTTAGCTGAGTTCACACATCACAAACAAGTTTATGAGAATGCTTCTGTCTAGTTTTTATTTGAAGATATTTCCTTTCTCACCATAGACCTGAAAGCTGTCCTAATGTTCACTTCCAGATACTACAGAAAGAGTGTTTCAAAACTGCTGTACGAAAGGGAATGTTGAACTCTGTGACTTGAATGCACACATCACAAAGAAGTTTCTGAGAATGCTGCTGTCTACTTATTATACGTAATCCCGTTTCCAACGAAATCCTCCAAGCTATCCAAATATCCAGTTGCAGATTCCACAGAAAGACTCTTTCAAAACTGTTCTGTCAATAGAAAGGTTCAACTCTGTTAGCTGCGTGCATATATCCCAAAGAAGATTCTGAGATTGCTTCTGTCTAGTTTTTATGGGAAGATATTTCCCTTTTCACCGTAGGCGTCAAGGCGCTCCAAATGTCCACTTCCAGATACTACAAAAAGAGTGTTTCAAACCTACTCTGTGAAAGGGTATATTCAACTCTGTGACTTGAATGCACATATCACAAAGAAGTTTCTGAGAATGCTTCTGTCGAGATTTTATATGAAGATATTCCCGTTTCCAACGAAATCCTGAAATCTATCCAAATATCCCCTCACAGATTCTACAAAAGGAGTGTTTCAAAACTGCTCTGTAAAAAGAAAGGTTCAACTCTGTTAGTTGAGTACACACATCACAAACAAGTTTCACAGAATGCTTCTTTCTAGCTGGTAGGGGAAGATATTCCCTTTATCACCATGGGCCTCAAACCGTCCGAAACGTCCACATCCATATACTACAAAAAGAGCGTTTCAAACCTTCTCTATGAAAGGCAATGTTCAACTCTGTGACTTGAATGCAGACATCACAGAGCAGTTTCTGAGAATGCTTCTGTCTAGATTTTATAGGAAGATATTCCCGTTTCCAAAGAAATCTTCACAGCTATCCAAATATCCACTTGCAGATTCTACAAAAAGAGTGTATCAAAACTGCTCTGTCAAAAGGAAGGTTCTTCTCTGTTAGGTGAGTGCACACGTCATAAAGGAGTTTCTGAGAATGTTTCTGTCTACTGGTTATGGGAAGATATTTGCTTTTTCACCGTAGGCCTCAGAGCGCTCCAAATATCCACTTGCACATGCTACAAAAAGAGTGCTTCAAAGCTGCTCTCTGAAACGGAATGTTCAACTTCTATGAGTTGAATGCAAACATCACAAAGACGTTTCTGAGAATGCTTCTGTCTAGATTTGATATGAAGATATTCCCGTTTCCAACTGAAATCTTCAAATCTATCCAAATGCCCACTTGCAGATTCAACAAAAAGTGTTTTTCAGAACTGCTCTATCAAAAGAAAGATCCACCTCTGTTAGCTGAGTTCACACATCACAAACAAGTTTATGAGAATGCTTCTGTCTAGTTTTTATTTGAAGATATTTCCTTTCTCACCATAGACCTGAAAGCTGTCGTAATGTTCACTTCCAGATACTACAGAAAGAGTGTTTCAAAACTGCTGTACGAAAGGGAATGTTCAACTCTGTGACTTGAATGCACACATCACAAAGAAGTTTCTGAGGATCCTGCTTTCTACTTTTTATACGT